>NC_000004.12:6039005-6345502 GCF_000001405.40 Homo sapiens
CTTCCTGACTGTTCATGAGAATCCAGGGGCTGCGTCAGAACTCCTGTCTACCCATGCAACTGAAATCCCACTGGGAGCACAGTGCCCATGGCAGGCTTTCAAACACTCCAAGTGTGAAGGTAGCTTCTGTATGGTGGCAGAACCAGCATGCAGGGGCCTCTTCTGCAGATTCAGCATTCTTAGGGGCCCCTCAGGCCTTCCTGAGTTGGTGCTTAGACAAAGGAAGGGTGGACCCCAAGGTGTTCCGAAGTGTGTTTTGGGAAATGCCAGTTCTGCAAGATGTCCCTTGAAAAAAGGTCCAGTGATTCACTGAACTTGGCACACCACTTGCTTACATTCCTCTCGGAGCCTCAACTCACCCTTTAGCACGCTAAGACCCCAAGAAGTCCTTCAGAGTTTTCCAACTTTATTGCGCTACGCTTTGCGGGACCCTAAGTTCCATCTAAAATCACATTCCTTGGAGTTTTTTTGGAAAACACTAGGGAAGAACAGGGATGCATGACGGGGATGGCCCAGCCTGCAGGGTGTTTTCAAAAGCACCAAGCCTGGACCAAAACACGAATGGAGAATGTCTCCATTCGTTAGTTGCCCTCAACACTACTGAAATGTCGTGTAACCAGAAACGATAGCCCAGAGGGAAATGCTGTGTCTTGATAAGGTTTAGTTCATTCTGATCTTCTACATCTCCTGCTCCTAGTCTCAAGGGATTCAAGCCTCACAGCCTCGACAGGAAGGGACAAGGGTCATAGCTAGTTGCACCGGCCTTCATGTCTAAATCTCCTGTCCATTTGAGCTAAGCCCATGCTACCTGCTCTCTGTCTTCCTGGAGCCTGTCATGGGAAGTAGAGTTTTAAAGTCATTTTTTTTTTAGTGATTGGCTCTGCATTTTGTAGGTGCAAACCCATTTTTGTAAAATTATTTTAACTACAAATGATCTGGGCAGAGATTTGCTCAAGACTCTGTACCACGCTAGCTTCTTCCTACAAGGAATGACATTGAACTCTAAATTCTCTCTCCTGCAGCGACAAGTTTCTATGATCTTACTCAACTCCCCTCCACCCCGAAGGAGAATTTCTCTCGTGCCAGGAGCACTTAGCTTTGAGTGTGAGGACACAGGAGTTTGAACATCATCCCACTGTATTTTAATCACCAGGACGCCCAGAATCAATTTTGCAACCCAAATGCAGTATTACATCCGACCTTATACCTCGTCCCTTCGGTTCTGAAAATCACCTGGCTTCATCTAATTGCTTTACCTCTGCGTTCCTTTGTGATCATCTCTTTTTCCTATTTATAGGAAAACTTGCTTTGGGACTTTAAGTCTAAATATTTAAGTAAAATCAAACATAAAAGAAATATAGTTTCTTCTCATTCATCTCAAATGATTACTAGAATTTAAGAAGCATGTCTAAGAAAACCATTAAAGTAACTTTGAATATTTTTGAAAATCACGATTGATTTGGAAAAAGGGACAGTCTGTACGGTCATTCCAGTCACAAGGTGGAGATGGCATTTTTATCACTCCTGTTTGGCACTGGGGAGCGCCCTAAATGCAGTTTCAGCCCCAGAGGAAAAAGCAGCCTCTAATGTGGAGTCTAAGAAGCCAAAGTGTCAAACCCACTTCTGGTCCTACCAGGTAAGCCTGGTCAAGGGCTTGCTTCCGGTAGTCGAGCTCCTCTTCCAGGTAGCCCTTCTGCCTGCTGAACAGGTCCTGAGAAAGAGGGAGGCGCCATCAGGGACCAGCGTCAGAACAGGAATCCATGACAGCTTCAGAGCCCGTTTGCTAGAGAGTGGCAGTCTCACCGAATTGGGGGCACTCAGATGAGAAGGGACTTGGTGGTCTTCCCCGTTTGCCCCCACATGAATCACCCAGCAGGAGCCTCACTGACCTGGGGCACCCTTGACAGCCACACCTGGATCCTTGGTGAAGACTATCCCATTCCTCCTGCTTCCCTGCCTCTTGGGTACCTGACTGTAAAGAAGGGACCCACCTCAAACCAAGGCGCAAGTCACAGGAGTCCTTCTAGGTTCCTCCTGCTACATCCTAGTGGCCCCTGAAGACTGTCTTCATGGTTCCCAGATGTGGCTCTTCCTTCCTGCCTGAATTGCATCACCCACCTCCCGATTGGTCTCACTGAGCACACTTCTCCCTGCCTCCCACATACCTGGGTCACTGTCTAAGACCCTGCAAGCATGATCTCTCCGGAGTGCAAATCTCTTTTTATGACTGATTTGAGGGTTTCAGGGTTAGAATTCATCTCCTGTAGCCACTTCCTTTTATAGACAAGGAAGGAAAGAGCCAGGGAGGACCAGAGCCTTGCCTTAGATGCCACAGTTCAGTGATGGCAGAGGTGGGAGTAGAAACCCAGGCCTTCTGGCATCAGTCAGGGCTCTTGCCACACCACACCCTGCTCCTAGGCCACACTAGTCCTTCCACCTTCCTCCTTCTCCTCCCATTTCCATTTCTCCTTGGAGAACTCGAATTGGCCTTTGACTACTCAAGAACCACGTCTTCTGGGAAGCCTTCTCTGTCCTCCCCAGGCTCCCCATACATCCATAGTCCCAGTGAATAACCACCACCACCATTTGTCAGGTACCCAAGGTGCCAAGCACAGTGCAACCCTGGTTATGTATGTAGCATTTCTCATCCCACAACCCAGCAAAGCACAGACTGGAATTTCCCATTCATCAATGAGAAAACTAAAGTCCAGTTTCCCAAGTTTTCATGGCCAGCAAAGATTTGAGCCATGCCCATGTGTTCCTAGAGTCACTGCGCCAGCATTTCCATATCTGGGCTGTGTCTCTCCTAACATCCTCATGCTGCATTCACGTGAGCTCATGAACGCATGACCCTGCAGGTCTGTGAGCTTGCTCCTGGTGGCAGGGACCCCACTTATTCATTACTAAGCCTCTAATCCTGCCATAGCACCTGGGACACAGCAGAGGCTCTGAAAATATGTATTCGATGAGTAATTGAGCGAGTGAAAGAGTAAGTAAATGGGTGACAATTACTTAGAACAACCACTGGGGCAAAAGCAAAATTGAGAAATGCATGCAAATCATTAGGAAAACACATGCAAAGCCTTCCTGCAAATCAACCTCTCTGAGCTCTTTGAACCCTCTCCCCCACCCCCAGGCAGTCAAATCTTTTACCTTCTCCTTCTCCAGGTCCAGCATCTTCTGGGTCAGGGCGGCCTCGGTCCCCTCTATTTGCTTCAGCCACTAGAAAACAGCAGGGACAGGACGGGTGCAGCAAAGTGAGAGTCAGAACCCAAGGGGCTGTGGAATTTCACAGGTGTGTGAATTTCATAGATCGGCTTCCTCAGAGTGTGCTCAGGAATGGGTCAGGTCATGGCACACACATGCCTGATCTGTGGATGGCGTGGTTGTGTGTGCATGGTCCAGCCTGCATGTGCAGGAGGTCTTAGGTGTGAGTGTGACATGTACGTGGTGTGGAAGCTGGATTCAGAGCCTGGATGGACCCGAGTGTGGGCGGCTGCGAGTGTGTGCAGCAGAGGAAGTGGTGTGGTATAGCTGATGTCAATGAGTGCCTGCTCTGTGCTGATGCTTCACACAGGAGACCTCATCTGACTCTCTTACGACCACCCCAAGCAGTAGGCAGCGTCACCCCTATTTTGCAGGTAAAGACATGGAGGCTGAGTTAAGTAACTTGTCCAAGGTCACACGGGTGCAGAATGGAGATTTGGAACCCAGCCTGCAGGATGCCAAAGCCACTGCCCTCATCCCTCCAGCAACGTGAGTTGGAGCAGCCCAGAGTGCCTGGTGCCACCATGAGAGGAGGTGGAATCACACACAGGGTAGGGGGTGTAGGAGCATGAAAGCAGGGTTCATGCCAGGACATGAGGGCGCAGGCACGGAGAGTACGGGGTGAACAGGCGGGGCGTGCACCTGAGCGGCAGGTAAGGGAGTGGGAGCTCTGTCCACGTTCCCTCTGGGGTCTGGGCTGGGGGTGAGCACGGAGGCAGGTGTCATACGTGGATGTGCCTCTACGAGGAGCCCCTAAAACGGGAGGAAGTCCAGGCCAGCACAGGGTGGCTGCCCTGTGGGGGAGGGCTGTGGGGAGATCAGGGCACCTAGGGGTGTCCGGGTTTGACAACACCATTGACCTCCTCATTGCTAAGGCTGTCGGATGGCCTCCCACTGCCAGGCCCCAGCTGCGGAGCGCCCTCTTTCCCGACCCCAGGCCCCGCTGTAGAGTGCTTTTCCTGCCACCAGATCCCGGCTGTGGAGCACCCCCTTTCCTGACTCCAGGCCTTGGCTGCAGAAAGCCCCCTTTCCCGACCCCAGGCTCCCCCAGCTTCCTTGTACTCCTTGCTTTCCCTCTCCTCTGGCGGCAGCTGGTCACCCTCGCCAGGTCACCCCGCACTCGTGAGGTCCTGGAGCCCTGCCCTCGGCCTTCTCCACCTTACTCTGCCCTCCCCCGGGATCCACCCTCCCTACCCTCTCTGAAATGTCTCATACCCAGATCTGCCCCACCACGCCCTGTGTGCCGCTGCCTCCTGCACCCCTCCACTCCCAAGCCTCAAGGCATCTCCAGGGCCTGCCAGGACCCCTGATGGGGAAGAGTGCCCCCTCCTTCCTTCCGTCCACTTCCAACATATTGGCTTTGCCTCCTTCTGGTTCTCAAACCCACCCGCAGCACTCCCTCCCCATCACCAACCCCCCATTCCCCTTTCAGCCCCCAGGTTCATATCTGAATCCTCCCCACACACCCCAAATTCCTTTCTGCCCCCCCAGCCAGCAAGTTCCCTAAAAAACACACATGGGCTCATGGAACATCCCTGTTCTGCTCAGAGACCTCCAAAGACATCCCAGCACCCCCGACAACACTGGCAAGGCCCCAGTGTGGGGTGGCCCCTGTGATGCTCACAGCCTCATCAGTCAGCACTCTCCTGTCCCCACTGAAATCCCAGGCCCTGGTCATCCTAACTACACAGAGCTCCTCGAACATGCCCAGCCTTTCCATGTGCTGTCCCTACCTCTCCTGGCCCCAGCCTCAGCCCCAGGCCTTTAACAAGCTAGCATCACTCAGTCTTCAGGCCCTGAGCTAGCTGTCACCTCCTCCAGGAAGCCTACCCTGCTTGAGTCCGTGGGGTCAGCTAACCTCCATGGTGCCCATGTCAGTCATCTTGTGAATGCCGGGTCGTAGCACTCACCTGACAGCGCTGTTGTCTGTTTCACCCCTCACCCCGCTGCCCCCCTTGAAGGTGGGGACCACATTTGCCTCCTGTTGGACTTCCTTGCCTGGCACAGGGCTTGACACAAGCAGGTGCCTAATAAACTTCTGTCGAATGAAGGAGAATCAAGGCTGTGCAGGTTGGTGGGGTGTGTGCTGCCTGAACAGAGGGGACTAGAACTGATCGGCTCCTGCCACAGAACTCCTTCCCTAACGCCACAGTGAGCTCGGCCCCCAGTACGGGCTCTGTGCCAGCCACGGTGGCAGCACCCAGCACCCTGTGCCAGCCGCGGTGGCCAGCACTTCCTCAAACAAGGCTCAGACAAGATGCGTGGTTTCTTAGAAACAGATAAGCATATTTTGGATGGGGAGTTACAGGTATTTCAGTTTTAATATCCTCATGCAAGCAGTCATAAAATGAATAAAATTAAAATGGGAAATCCAGGTTTGGATGATTACAACATGCTGCTCTCAGAACGGTTTCTGCAGAACACAGTGTTGAGATTTGTTGCTGCTGTCGTTTAAAAAATTGCATATAAAAAATAAATTCAACAAGACCTTTTAGCAACGGGGAGAGAACATGAAAGCAGAGAGAGCTGGCCATGAGGACCCCCGACCACGTGAGATCAGAAATTTAATATCAAAGAGTTTGGCCAGATAGCTGTGGAGGCTCAGTCACTCCTGGGAGAAACAGCGTTCATGGTTCTGCTCCAACCCCAGGAGAGGGGGTCTCAGGCTGGGGAGGAGAAGTGAGTCCACTCACAGGGAGGTGCTGATGAACTGAGCAGCCTCATGGGGGCAGCATGCTGCAGGGTGGGGGCTGCTCTCCGCGCCCCGCCTCCCAGGGCCCCTCAGGTGCAGAGCCTGGATCCCCTGCAACTGGTGGGGCTCATCTCTCCTCCCTCCCTTTGGGGATGGTCCCAAGGCTTCGACTCACGGCCAACTATTAGAAAGTCAGACTATGGCTCAGACCTATGCCTCATTCTCCTATCCATCGTTACTAGTGAGAACATGGCCTTTAAGACATTCCCACCTGGCTGAGGCCGGTGTCTTTTTCTCGATCCACTTTGAACTTGAGGGAGAAGAGATATGACTGCTATGATTTATAAACCCTCCAATGTCTCATGGTTCAGGTTCTCTGTGGGGCACGTGCCATGTGCCGAGGTGAGTGAGACCTTGCCTGATCCTATACGTGGCTAACCAGAGTGGGGCTGATGGGTGCCAGGACGGATGCCTGTGTCCTGATGACTGGGCAGGGCCTCAGTGGGCGGAGATGAGGAAAGCATGTGCCCAGGGCAAGATGCTGTTTGTAGCGAAATCAACACAGGCACATCATAGGACATTCCTTCAGGTTGCACTTCACCTACACACTAAGAAACTGGCTTCGAGGCTGGGTGAGGTGTCTCATACCTGTAATCCCAGCACTTTGGGAGGCCAAGGCGGGTAGATCACTTGAGGTCAGGAGTTTGAGACCAGCCTAACCAACATGGAGAAACCCGTCTCTACTAAAAATACAAAAATTAGCCGGACGTGGCGGCATATGCCTATAATCCCAGCTGCAGGAGGCTGAAGCACGAGAATCACTTGAACCTGGGAGGTGGAGGTTGCAGTAAGCTGAGATCGTGCCACTGCACTCCAGCCTGGGTGACAGAGTGAGACTCTGTCTCAAAAAAAAAAATTAATGCCTCTAAGGGAACATTGACATTGACTTCCACTTATTCGGATACCCGTATGGAATGACAATTTTTAAAATAAAGAGTATTTAGTGGAGCAGGGGTTAACTGGGGCCTGTCAGCAAGCCTTCCCTGGCAGTGACATTGCAGGTGCTCACCCCCTTTGCAAACTTCCCTGCAGTGCCTGTCGGCTCTAGGGTGACCAGCTTGTCCCTGTTGGCCCACGACTGTCCCTGTTTTAGCACTGCAATTCTCACGTCCCAGGAAAGCTGTCAGTCCCAGGCAAAGCAGACTGTCAGTCCCCTAGTGGTCCTGCCAGGTTCTCAGGGGGTCCTGCTGATGCAGTTCCCACCCCACATGAAGGTCCACTTCTGGACCTGAGGAGCTCTTACACCAACATCCTCTCCAAGCTGGGAGGAGACGAGCGGCAACACCCAAGCTTACTGGACCTTTATCCACAGACAAATGGCAGGGCCAGTGTCTCCTAGAACCCAACCTGAGAAAACTCTGGTTTAAGTCTATTCCTCAAAGACGCGGAGCTGGGCACCTCTGTGCCAGGCTCAGAATCGGGGCCCCATAACCGTCAGTAGGGGTTGTGAGGGCCTGGCAGGCTAGGGCGACTGGCACAGCTCTCTAGCACGTAGGGCACAAGGCACAGCACCAGGCTGACCAGCTTGGGGAGGTTGGTGGTCAGGGGCAGGCGGGCGGCAGTGGGGGTGGGCAGGGTGCAAGCGGGGAGGTGGGCAGCTGCCAGGCGAGCAGAGCATGGTGAGGGTCAAGGCAGACAGTGGCCGGATCCCAGACAGGTTCCACCTCCTCAGCTGTCCTAGAGGGCTGCTAATCTCACAGATGCCCAGAGGATGAGGAGCGCTGGGGACCTAAGGTGCAGGCCTGGAACACCTGCTGTGGGTCGGGCGTGGGGAGGGGTACATCAGGAACGGCTCAGGTGGGAGAACTCAGCGCCCTGCAGAGGGCTGCTATCACTGAGGCTGAAAGCCTCCTGCCAGCTGGCGCCCTGGCCCTCCAACACCCCCTGCCCCAGCCCCAGGACGAACCAGCCACCCTGAGTCACCAGCAGGTTCCTGCTCCTTGCTCACCCGGTCCACAGGCATTGACCAAGCATCTCCAGGAAGCAAGCATGGCCCCAGGTGCTTGATTGAACCTGATGGCAATGCCTGATCCCACTGAAATATGCAGCCTCCTGGATTCCGACAGACACTGTGAGCCACCAGGATGCTCAGTGTCATGGCTGAGAGAGATGTGGTGAGAAACCGGCTGAAACCCCTGCAGCTGGCACGTGGTGTAGCCAAGACGCAAGCCAGGAGAGGCCTCCCCGACATCAAAGCGGACACTGGTGGATGTGACATCTCCACGTCTCCCAGGGCCGTGCTCAGCACTTGACACTAAGATGCTCTTTCTCAGTAAATATTCCAGTAGATGTTGAATAAGCTGAGTCATAAGTGTTTAATCAGCACTTTGTGTGACTACACGGAGCACTGTTGGAGGAGCCTAGGCAGCCACGGAGGGTTTTGCTGCTGGAAAGGAAGGTGCTGAATATGCCCCATGTGCCCCGCCCCGTGCCTGCACCTGCACCTGATAGCCACCAGCCGGCCAGGTGTGAGTCATCCCCGTCCCGCGGTTCACCAGAAGACACAAGCTCAGCCAGGTTTAGTGATGATAGGAACAGGAGAAAGCTGAGTTCCAATCCTCTCACTGCCTACCAGTGTGACCTTGGGCAAGGTTTGGCCATAAGTCTTGTTACCAACATTTAGTATCCTTTACTTGATTGAGGGATTGAACAGATGCCCTGGGAAGGAAACTATTTCTATTTTAAATGCCCTTCCAGCAATTCTGGAAAGAATCCCAACTAAGATCATTAAGACCTCATCACTGCAAAAATAGCATTTTAAAGTTGAACCCATATGCTTTGAAAGGAAAAGGTCTTTAGCCACAAACAGTTGTATATTTCTAACACACCATAAACCAGTGTAAAAGGCAAACAAATCAGGAATGTGTTTTGTAACAAACAGGTCAAAAAGTTAGTATTTTTAATATGTAAAGCACTCAGAGAAGTCAGTAAGAAAGACAATGACAATGAATACATATTTGTCAAATGAATGAATGGATGGATGGGTGAACAAATCCAATGGAAAACCCTCAAAATAAATGCAATTACAATTCACAAGGAAGGAGAAGAAAATAGATAATACACATAAAAAACTCAGTATCACTAGCACTGAAATAAAAATTAAAACAATGACGTGATACGGTTTTCACCATCAAATGGGCAAAGTTCTTTTCAGCGGTAACATGCCATGTCAAGCATAAATCAACAACGTGTAAGGCTGCAGGTAGGAGGGTATCTGGTGCCGCTTTTCTGGACACTGTTTTGACAATGCCGTAGTCCTTCAAGACATTCTTACTATTTGGCCCAGTCATTCTGCTTCTAAAATATATCTTATGGGCATATTTTAAGACGTAGATAGAAATTTATGTGTAAAAAATGTGCAGTTTACCACTGCATGATGGTAGAAAGAAATATATAACAGCTAAGAGGGGCTGAAGTAACTAACAGTATAACTGTGTGATGGAGAGATGCACAGCCATTTAAACACGTTTATGAACCATGTTAAATGGTATGGAGGATGTTTCTAAAGCCTGATGGAAAACTGGATGTCAAGTATCATTTCAACTAAGTTTAAAAACAATGGACGCAGGGAAACCACTGGAAGGAAATACACAAAAGTGACAGACTGTTTCCTCCACCGGGTTTTGATTTCCTCCTGCGTCTCTGGGTTTTCTACAGTGAGCATGTGGGACTTCCGTCATGAAGAGAACGGAAAGGCATGCATGTGCACGTGCAGACGCAGACGGACTGGAACGCATGCTCCCACGCAAAGCAAGACGCCAATGTACAGTTTCTTGTATGGTGCTGGGAAGCTGGGACAAGGTGTGAGCACAGAAATGCCGCTGGCTTCTACCTTTTCACACAGGGCAAGCACAGTTCCAGCTTGGATTATTGCAACCTGTTCTTCATTTCTCAAATTCTAAAACACAAAAATGGGCAAGGGCATTTGACACTGGATCCCAAATCCACGTGCAGACAGTCAGCACCAAGCAAGTTTTTTTTTTTCGTTGTTGTTGTTTGTTTTATTATGTTTGTTTGTTTTGAGACGGAGTCTCTCTCTGTCACCTGGGTTTGAGTGCAGTGGTGTGATCTCGGCTCACTGTAACCTCTGCCTCCTGGGTTCAAGTGATTCTCTTGCCTCAGCCTCCCGAGTAGCTGGGATTACAGCAGCTGGGATGCACACCACCACACCTGGATAGTTTTTGTATTTTTAGCAGAGACAGGGTTTCGCCATGTTGGCCAGGCTGGTCTCGAACTCCTGACCTCAGGTGATCCGCCAGCCTCAGCCTTCCAAAGTGCTGGGATTACAGGCGTGAGCCACCATGCCCCGCCAACACCAAGCGACTTTCCTAGCTTCTCTCTGAGCTGCACCCGAGGGTCAGCTCCCTCTCGCTAATGGGGCCAGCGCCTCAGGCAGACAGCTCCTGTCCCTCTGGTTGGGGACATTTCACAGAGTGGCACTAAGCTTTTGTGAAACATGGCTACATGCAAGCTCATCTTTCAGGACGGCAAAAAGATCCCTTTCTGATTTCAGCAATCTCGTGTGACTCCACCTGCATTCTGGGTAGGGATTCTGAGGCTTTCCCGTCCCCTCCTCACTCAACAGGCCAGGGGAATCTAACTTCGGAACCCCACTTCTGACGAATGCCAACCCCACCACCCACACAGGAACACGGCCATACAAAAGCCTTACATTGTACTTCTTAGATCTCTTACATCAGAGAGAAATTAAAAACAAAACAAAACAAAAGTCACACAGAATACACCCAGATCAAAACAAGAACACGAAAGCAGAAACCGATCGCTCATAGTTACCCCGTTATCGCCAAGGATATCTAATTTCTTCATAAGTTCAGAAACATTCACATCCTGGAAGAGATTTCCAACGTTCATTTTTGTGTGAGCTACAGAGACCAACCATACCAATTTCTAGGGCCACGGCCTTTCCTCTGGACAAGACACCGCGCTCTTTCTTTTCTTTTCTGGCCAAGTTTTGCGCCCAGCCGTTCCTCTGGGGAGTGAGGGAGAGAAGGCATAACTGCTGCTCATTTGCTGAGTGTTACACCAGCACAAACACTGCTTTCTAGAAAGGCCATGGAAGCGGGTGAGTCAGGACGCTGTCCCTGGAGCTGAGCAGGGCTCTAGGACACGGTAAACCCCGGGCCCTTCTAGCAACCACAGCCACCATCTACAGAACCTTGCTGCATGCCAGGCAGAGGGCCAGGCACTTGGAGTCTGTTCATGATGTGTCATCACCCCAGCTTCACGGTGTGGGTATTGTCATTTGGATTTCATAGCGAAGAGGCTAAGGCTCTGAAAGTTTACAGGCCAGAGCAGTGGTGGAACTGGGGTTCACACTCAGGGCTATACACCAAGCCTCTGCTGTTTTAAACATATGGGTCAAAATAGAGTCACATTTGGTGACCCTTTAATAAATGGACAAACTGTGACTTTCAACACAAGGGGTATCTCATGAAAATCAATTCTATCCCAGCACTCCCCCTTTGCAGCTGAGCCGGGCACTGAGCGAGCCCTTGGCTGGCATTCAGCAGAGGCACCCCCCAGGCACGCTACCTTAACTCCTTCCTGGTGACAGAACAGCTGGAGAGCGCTGCTGTGGTTCTCGGGGAAGGTGGTGATTTGGAGGTTAAATGCTGGCGACCTCCTCTCTCTCTCCTGGGGAAAAGATTCGGTTTAAAAACAGAATGTGACCGGATTATTTACCACTTGCCATTTTCCCACGTTACTCAGCAAAAACCAAGGAATTCCAGTGGGCACAGACGTTACTAAAAAGCACGAGTTCGGACTAGAAGCAGCCTCGTCCGTGAGCTACGACGTTTTCACGCCTTCCCACGCAGCAGTTCTCCATGGAAATGTGTTTACTTCTTCCCTATTCATCTAGGGAGAAATGGTTAACAGGGTACCGTGGCTTTATCCATTGTGAGATCAAAACCCAGGAAATCACAGAATTACAAAATTTAAAAAACACAGTTGCACTAAATTTGAATAGACAGCAAAAGCCACCAACTATGGTTTATTACTCTGTGCCAGGCACACCACTCTCCCGTCTAATCCTCACACTACCCCAGGAGGCAGGCTCATTGCTTTCATTCTGTAGACAAAGAGAAGGTGGTGGCCCAGGGAGGCTGTGTCTGAGGTCCCACGCTAGCAAGCGGCAGGGCCAGGACCCCAAAGGCTGACTTTCTTTCTTTTTCTTTCCTTTTTTTTTTTTTTTTGAGAGGGTGTTCTGTTCTTGTCGCCCAGGCTGGAGTGCAATGGCACAATCTTGGCTCACTGCAACCTCCACCTCCCGGGTTCAAGTGATTCTCCTGCCTCAGCCTCCCAAGTAGCTGGGATTACAGGCACGCGCCACCACACCGGGCTAATTTTGTATTTAGATTTTGTTTCTTTTTTAGTAGAGACGGGGTTTCACCATGTTGGCCAGGCTGGTCTTGAACTCCAGAGACCTCAGGTGATCCACCCGCCTCGGCCTCCCAAAGTGCTGGGATTACAGGCGTAAGCCACCTCGCCCGGCCCCAAAGGCTGACTTTCTGTTCTTTCCAATACAATCTGCCAATACCATTCACAATTGTTTTCTGAGCCACACTAACACAACAAGTGATCATTCTACCCCTGCCTTAGACTTACAGCAAAGCTCAATTAATTACTAAGGGAGGAAGAAGAGCAAGCCTTTTCCCAGAAGAGGTATTTATTAATCATACATAAATGACAAGGTTTTAAAAGGTCGGGAAAACCTAATTACTTACAGGGCTAAAGCACAGTGGCAGAACAGGACTCAGGTCTCAGATGTGTTTCCTGCACAGAATGGACTTTAAACACTTTAGCGATGGACAGATTTGTCATGGTGGGGCAGCAGAGAAGACCTTTTCAAATTACACCTTTAAATCAAACTGCTTTAGTTTGAGCAGAGTTACGGTAAGGTAAAAAATAACATGCTTTGGGCCATTCTAGCAGAATCTAGCTACAGAACCAATGGGCTTCTTGAATAATTCTACTAAGAGATGTAGCCAAGAGAGGCACGAATCTAGATGGCAGGGCTTAAGAAGATGCTCTGGGGTGAGACTGAAGGAAAGAGGGAGGGCTGGGCACTAATTCAATCAATTTCCATGAAGCCCTAACCTGACTAACCTAGGTTTGAAACAGTCTAGTAAGAAAACCTTATTTCCCTTATTAGCCAAAATTTAAAAAAATAAAATAAAAAAAAAACAAGCAAAAAAACAAATTTCATGATGGTTCCATTCCACAGATGACTTTCTACCAGCAAATTTACTTAAATGGCGTCCCCATAGAAAAAGTGGCCCCCAAAACTCAGATTTTATATGAACAAAAGTCATTTTGTAGGCCGGGCATGGTAGCTTATACCTGTAATCCCAGCACTTTGGGAGGCTGAGGCAGGTGGATCCCTTGAGGTCAGGAGTTTGAGACCAGCCTGGCCAACATGGCGAAACCTGTGTCTACTAAAAATACAAAAATTAGCTGGGTGAGGAGGTGTGTGCCTGTGATCCCAGCTACTAGGGAGGTTGAGGCCGGAGAATCACTCACACTCGGGAGGCAGAGGTTGCAGTGAGCCAAGAGTGCACCACGCCACTGTCCTCCAGCCTGGGTGACAGAGCGAGACTCTGTCCTAAAAAAAAAAAAAAAAAAAAAAAAGCCATTTTGTTTCTGGTGGTTCTGAAGGATGGTGGAGACCATTAAAGAAAACTCTAGTAAACTGGGTAGTGCTTATAGAATTCTCATGAGAAAGACTCATAACAAGGATTTGTGAAAGGTTCTCTAACAGCGGCAGGAGTATTAACAATGACCTCACATAACTTCCAATTCTGTCGCACAAATAAAATGCTCATGTCATGCTGAGCCAAGAGCTGAGTCACTCTTGGTGTGAGAAATACTCAGGCCACAGGTCCCTGCCCACACGACAAGGTACACACGGTCAGTTCTAATGCAGACAGAATTGTAACTCAAGCCGGCAGGAGAAAACAAAATTGGGGAAGCCACAGACACTGTGAAGGTGCTCACTTTGAGGGTTTCACGCATGCAAAGGTTTCAGCTGAGAGACAGCAGAGCTGCGCCACTACAGGTGCTTAGAGAAACTCATCACAAACTTAAGTGATGTTTAAAATGCCAATGATTTTTCAACAGAAACAAAAAAAAGGATTATGAAGTACCATGAGAGCAAGGCAATACAGTAACACACCCGAGGTAAGATTTCAGCTGGAAGCAGTAAGACCATTAGTATTCTTTCACTGAATCTCACTCGGTGCATTGGGGCAGTTCCTGAAGGAACAGGATTTCTACATGTGAACAGCAACTGATCTCCCTCCAGTAGTTTTGAGGTGCAGTTTGAGTTGCAAATAGTAATTTCTTTAGTCCAATATTGCTGCAATGCCTGGGTCTGTATTTACTGGATAAAAGAGTTTGAACAACGTAACTAGTTTTCTTAAACGCCTATGCAAATACATCCTTCTACCCTGTCTTTACTTACCTTGTGTTTACCTTGGCAAATAGAAAATGGGCCCAAACTGGCATTAAACACATTCTAGAGTCAATTGCTGGCTCAGGTCAGACTCTGCTATTTCAAAAGGTGAGATTTACTGCATGCAAGATCACTTAAAAAGGTGTGTTATTAATTGCAACAGTGCTTCCGTCTGGGTGTGCAGAATGCGTACCCGGTGACTACGCATGCAGGAAAGAAGTAGTTATGGAAATGAAACACAAATAAAAAAGGCAAAATATTGCAAAAACAAATTATTTTATTAAGTGCAAAACAAGCCATAGGCAATAAATATATTAGCTCTGGTACATGTCCATAGACTTGGGTGAGCACGCTCTCCAGAACACATTAAGGCAGTGAAATTATTCTGAACATACAGATTTAAAAAAAAAAAGAAAGAAAGAAAGAAAGAAACTATAACATGTCCCCTTTACACATGCTTGAAAACATCTGAGAGCTTTACATGAATTTCAGTTTGGGTTCAAAGAGAATGTCTGCTCCGTTTGAGAGTTTACAACAGATAGAGTCTCTTACTTCGAGTTCTAGCACTCTGAATTCTAACAGCTCGTTCTGATCCTTGGCGTCTTGCATTTCATTCTTCAGCTGGTTCTCTTCCATTTCCAGTCTGTAAATCTAGAGCAAAGATACCTGCGGATTAACAGGATGGGTGGGAGCACTGGGGTCCCCTGGTCACAGGCCACCTGACTGAGTGGCTGGAGGGAAACAGACGACTGGCCACGGAGGCAAGGGGCAGGAGAGGGCAGGGTTTGCAGCAAGCAAACGAATGAGGTAGGTGCTGCAGGTCCTTTTTGCTGATGCGGCTGGAAATGAAGGAGACAGAGGCTGGGCCAGGTTCACCCCTGCACCTCCGAGCCTGGCCCAGTGGAGTAGGGGCTACTTACATATTTGCTGAATAAATGAATGATGGGGAGACTGAGGCATGAAGCTATGAAGTCCCTTCCTTGAGGCCAAACACTGGGAAGCAAGAGTGCCACACCCAAAGCCTGTCCAGGTCTTTCCAACTCAAGCCCCACCAGATTCAACCCACCCAGACAGAGGCCCAGCCAGCTGCGGCAGGGAGGGCCCCTCCTGCTTCCCCACAGAGCTTGCAGAAGAAGCCGTAAAGGCAGGAGTTCTCTGAGAGCGCAGATCAGTGTGGGAAGTGACACCGCCTGCATCCCAGACCCAGCTGGGAGACGCTGGATCACTCAGCCCACTACTCCAGCCCTCACCTTCTGTCCAAGAAGGGAAACAGCAGCACCCATCGCCTGGCAGCAGCGAGAAGTCACTAAAATAACGCATGTACACGAGGGCTTTGAGTAAAGCCTCATAGCACCATTACAGAAGGCTAGAGGGGGGCCCTCTGCCAGGTGATCCCACCCCCGGGAGACCTTTAGAAATGGGATGAGGGGGTGAGGGTTTTCTGCGGCTCCCTGGATTTAGTGAACAAGACACCAAAGATGCTAAAATTCTCCCGAGGCCTGGGGTTGCTCGCTGTCCCAAATGCCCTTGTCCCAAATGCCCTTGAGAAATGCAGGGAAGGGAATGGGGCCACATGCTGGTTAGCAGCAGATTGGGGGCTGGGCCAAGGACCCCCACCAGGGCCAGGCCAGGTTCCTCCAGTCCTGGTGCCCCAGGATGCTTAAAAGCTGAGGCCTAACCTAGGGTCTGGCTGCACTTACTTGCAACATCCAGAGACAGTGGACTGGAGGCTGCCAGGGGCCGGGAGGCAGGGCAGAGGGGGGACTGCACATGGGCAGGAGGGGTCTTTATCAGGCTGATCATGTTCCAAAACTGCATTGCGGTGATGGTTGTGCAACACAGTAGATTTACAAAAAGAATAAGTGAATTGTACACCAATAAGGAAAAAATAAGCTACGATTTTAATTCCAAAGCATTAGAGCTACTCGCCAAGCAGACTCTCCGAGAGCTCTGGAAAGTTCCACAACCAGAAAGAGAAGAACAGAGGCCCAGTTCCCATTATGGGTCAGCTGCACTGGGCTGAGATGGCCTGAGGATCTGCCCATGGACCTGCCTCAGGCGCCCACCACACTGGTGGTTGAAGGGCTCTGGACCATAAAGCCACAGCAGAGGCGGCCTGGAGCCCAGTGTCAGGAAGATGGACCAGCCCAACAATAGGCCAGCCCTCCCCATTTCTTCAGTTGTCCCCAGAGGTCAGGGACAGCCCTCCCCATTTCTGCAGGTGTCCCCAGAGGTCGGGCCAGCCCTCCCCATTTCTGCAGGGTATCCCCAAAGGACAGGGCAGCTCTCCCAATTTCTGCAGTGTGTCCCCAGAGGACAGGCCAGCCCTCCCCATCTCTGCAGGGTATCCCCAGAGGTCGGGGCAGCCCTCCTTATTTCTGCAGAGTGTCCCCAGAGGACAGGGCTGCCCTCCCCATTTCTGCAGAGTGTCCCCAGAGGTCGGGGCAGCTCTCCCAATTTCTGCAGTGTGTCCCCAGAGGACAGGCCAGCCCTCCCCATCTCTGCAGGGTATCCCCAGAGGTCGGGGCAGCCCTCCTCATTTCTGCAGGGTGTCCCCAGAGGACAGGGCTGCCCTCCCCATTTCTGCAGAGTGTCCCTAGAGGTCGGGGCAGCCCTCCCCATTTCTGCAGGGTGTCCTTAGAGAACAAGGAAGCTCTCCCCATCTCTGCAGGGTGTCTGCAGAGGTTGGGACCTGTCCTCCCCATTTCTCCAGGGTGTCCCCAGAGGAGAGAACCTGCCCTCCCCATTTCTGCAGGGTGTCCCCAGAGGACATGGCCAGCCCTCCCCATTTCTGCAGGGGTCCCAGAGGTTGGGGCAGCCCTCCCCATTTCTGCAGGTGTCCCCAGAGGACAGGGCAGCTCTCCCTATTTCTGCAGGGTATCCCCAGAGGTTGGGGCCAGCCCTCCCCATTTCTGCAGAGTGGCCTGGGAAGACAGGCCAGGCCTCTCCATTTCTGTGGAGTACCCAAGGAGGATGACCTAAACCAGCTCTGCAGACCTGGTCCCAGAGGATAGAACCACAGATGTGGCTTTGATTCCATGTGAGGAAGACATCTCTCCTCATGGGAGGTGTGCAGGACCCGAGGCCCTGGTCACTGGAGTGCCCAAATGGCGCTGGGCACGACCCGTGTAGTCTGAGCAGGCCCGCGGGGTCCCAACTGCCCTGCGGCTGTGTGCTTCCCTGAGGTGGGGTCACGCACCTTTTCCAGCAAGTCTTGGTTTGTTCTGATGAGCAGCTGCTTCTCTTCAACCCACTTGGAATCCTAAGGAAAAGTACTAAATATGGTCACATTCATGGAAGCAAACAGATGGTCAAGTAACAAACTTTTAGTGAGAAAGGTCACTTTCTATGAAACTGACCATGGAAAGGTCATAAAAAATGACAGCCGTGATGTGCCCTCATTGTCCCTGTCCACTTTTAAACCCCAAAAAGAGAAACGGCTGGTTTGTGGGGCATCCCTTCTCCACTTCGTTCACATTCCCAAAAGCACAATGACTCCATTCTGTCCGTCTAATTAACAGAAACATGCCTCCAGGGTGACTGGTCCACACTGGCAGACCCTCCACGCATGCGGAAGGCTGACCTCATACCCCGCAGACTGGCCAGAGCCACACTGACATGCTTTTGTTCATTCCACTCTCTCTGCCTGCGATGCCCTTCCCACGTTTCTTTGCCTGGTCGTATCCTCTTGCATAAGTCCTGTGAGCACACGGCACCAAGTCCGTCTTGTCGCTGTGGCACCCTGAGCCTGGCACAGTGCCTGTCACATGGGGACAGGGGGACTCTGTGAATCCCGGAATGGATGGATGAAGGAATAAGTAAACGCATGGGAAGCCCTCTCCAACTCCCTCCTCCCTTCTCTGCTGGTCAGCCACAGAGCTGGGGCTGGGCTGAGGCCCCTCCCAAGCACCAGGCTGGGCCGGGCTCACTGAGTCTTGTTGTTCTAGGATGCTGAGAAGCAGAGGCCCGGCCTAGGGTCTGGTCCCAAGCACATGGAATGCACAGAAGAGGCCCTGGTTGCCTCCAGGCTTCTGTCTCCCTGGCACCTGGCACCTGCATCATCCTCATGCTGATCCATGTGTGGGCCTCACCAGGCTGCGAGCACCTGTGAGGAGTGGCTGTGCTCCACCCACCTTTTGTCTGTGGCATATTGTGGCCAAAAATGGCTGCAACACTCCCTCCCACCTCTGTGTGCACCCCCTCTGCCATGTGACTTGGCAGCTCCTCCCAGCAGGTGATGGGGTCCATTTCTTCAACCTCAAAGCTGGGCTGGGCCATGCCATGCTCTGGCTACTGGGATGTTAGCAGAGGTGACCTGAGCAGAGGTTTGGACCATCCTTGGGCCTTGGGCTTGCCCCCAAACCATGGGGAAAGAAGCCAGGTGGGCCTCCCTGAGGTGGAGGCACCTGGCCGGGAGCTGGCAGTCTGTGCCCAGCCTGAGCCCAGCCCAAACTGCTGATCCACAGAACTGTGTGCAAATAGAACCCCTGCTGTTCTAAATAACTAAGTATTGGGGTGGTTTGTTACTCAGCAACAGCAAACTGATTCAGCGTCCCAGGTACCAGCACTGGGCCTGGGATAGGTGAGAGTTCTGGGAAGTGCTTGCTGGATGAATGGACACAGGCTCAGCCTCAGACAGGTGCCATCCTCCAGCAGGCATGGAGGGCAGAGCAGGCCACACAGAGAGGACCTACCCCCCTGGGGGAGGCTAAGTGTGGCAAGTAGAAAAGTTCCTCTTCAAAGTTTCCCTTCTTATGAAAGAATAAATCATAAGTGTTAAAAATAATAGTTTCTTTTTAAAAACTAACTTCCTTCAAGCCTCCTTGCCTTTATACTAACAACTCTTTGTTAAGCCCCTCCTATGTAGCTGTTAGATATAAGGGAATAAGTACATTCTATGTCTTTGTACTTTAACCAAGATATTTGTTATAGACTTGCTCAAGCATGTCCCAGCTCGCAGCTTATGTCCCTTCCTTATTTGGAAATGTTATTACTTCTCTAAGTCTTTTCGAAAGCAACTTCCTCTTTCCCTTTGTTCTCTATTACCTTTACCTATCTAGAAAAGTTTTAAGTTATTAGTCAATTGGGTCTAGCTTAGACTGGGAGGTCCAGTTCCAGCCAATGGAGACAGGACACAGCAGTAAGGAACCAATGCATAAGGAATAAATATCCCTGCTTTTCTTTGCTCAATGTGCTCTCGTGGCAGGACTGCTGACAGGCAGCACCCTTTCTGCAGAAAGGAAAATTGCCTTGCTGAGAAAACTTTTTGTCTGAATGCTAATTTTTCCTTGCAGTGCCAAGGAATAAGCATTTACTTACAACACTAAGTTAGTTATAGACTGTGATCAGGCAAGTTACAGATATGTGGGCTCAGCCTGGAAGAGGGAAACTGAGGCTAGCAGCCTCAAAAAACAAAAAAGCCTTATCATCTCGCACCTGGATTTCTGCCCCAGCTACTCCTGGGTTCTCCTCTGTCCTCCTGCTTAATGTGTTAGGTATTATTATTAGCCCCATTTTAAAGATGAGGAAACGGAGGCACAAAGAGATTATGTTACTTGCCCAAGGTTATGCAACAAGGAAGTGGCAGAGCTGCCCTCTGACCCAGGTGGCCAGCTATAGCATGTGAGCTCTGCGTCACGATCCCACCGCATGGAGGATGCAGACCACAGTTTAGAGAAGCCATTCCAGAGGGCTGGGCACTCACATTCCCCCACGCAGTCCATTGGTAAAGTCTGCTGTGGTGACCTGCTCTGTGCCAGGCATGCATGCTGGTCGCTGGCCGTCCGCCTCCATGGGAACCTCAGTCTCAACCCCGAGCCCTGCGGCAGCCATTCTGAGCTGCCAGCTTTGCAGCTTTGCAGCTTTGCAGTGCTCTTCTGGAGCTGCTTCTGTTAAGCCGCCTGGAACCTCTTACACCCCTTGCTTCACACCCGCCTCCTCCCACTGTATCCCACCAGGCCTAGGAACTGTGGTAGACCTTGCCTGGCCTCCTCAGCCCCCCATAGATGCCTCTCTGCAGGCAGGGGTGGGGGCCACCAGACACTCCGTCTGCCCACACCCTCCTTGGCACCCTCACTGTTAGTGGGGCCACGTGACTGATGAATTTTGCTGAGGCAGCAAACAGCCAAGCAGAGGAAAAGTTCGAGATGGGGCAGTTCCAAGATGGTGGTGCCCCCCTCCCTGAATCCCTGAGAGGCCCTTGGGAGAAACAGGAGTGTGAACAGAATACACCTTGTCACATGGAGCCAGGGAGACGTTCAGGTTATGTCACCACAGCAGCACTTCTGACACAGAGGAGGCCGACCCATACGAACCTTCGCATGCCACCCCGAGAGGCCAGATTTCCACCCAGAGCCCTCTCTGGCTCCCCCACTCCAGGGGACAGGTCTAGGCCCAGGCATTGCTTTTCTGCTGTGTCTCACTGTCAACCAGCCTTGCCTAATCAAATGCAGTGGATGGGTAGGTGCAGTTGACTCTAACCTGAGCAGCACAGGACCAGACTGTTCTAAGACACAGAGGCCAGAGGTGGGGCCTCTGCAATAACCCAGGGTTAGTCATGGGTGCTGGTTCATTTTCACAATTAAAATCTTGATAGAAAATGACAGCTCTTCTTCAGGTTCAAGTCAAAAACAGCTTTGATCACACCTTTGCTTTTGGAATTACCTCTTTTTTGTGCATTTGGCAAACAAACAAAGAAAAAGCCAAGTTAGAATGCCATACCTTGTTTTGATTTTTTAACTCGGCACACAGGTACAGTAGGGAGCACATTCGTGCCTGGGTTCTGCTAGTGTTTTTTCCTCTAGCGTCTCTGGAGCTCCTGATCCAGCCCCACAGAATGTCCCCCTTGGCACAAGGGCGAGCCCCAGGGATACCACCAAGGGGACAGAAAGGCTAAGATTCACAGAGCACAGATCACTCCTGCTCACCTGTCCCTTCTCAACCAGTAACTTCTCCAAATCTTCGATTTTGGCCTGACACCTCAGCAGATCAGCTTGTAGCTGCTCCCGAGTCTGGAAGGGAAAAGACCAGGCAGTGAGCAGGTCACCTCCAATGGGTGACAGGGAAGCGGAAAGCGTCATGCCCCAATGCAAGCAATGCCTAGGGTCCTTATAGGCAAACCTTAGGAACAGGTTCACTTTTAGGAGCACGTATTCAACCTTGGCCTACTAGAAGCATGGCTCAGCTTCAAACACAAAAATCATTAAGAAGAGAACAGCCTTGTTTGGTTTTACAAACCAAAACTTGCTTGGCTTTACAGGCAAGGAAAATGAAGCCTGGAGAAGGGACCCTGTTTTTGAAGGGGGTGAGTGAGCCAGAAGCCAGCCACACTGGGGGCCCAGGCCCAGCTCTCTGACCAAGTCCAATCCTTACTGAACCTGAAGCTCATTCAGCCATCATCAGACTTCAACACGCTGGCACAATTGCATAGCCCCTGGCCCAGGCCCCTTATCACCTGCAGCAGGAGCTGCAAAGCAAAATACTTCAAGCACCAAGAAAGTCATATAAATAAGGGAAGTCAACTGGGTGTGGGGTAACAGGGAGTGGTGGGGACTGTGGCAAGCCAGAGGCACACGTCCCATCTCAGGGAGACACTGCTACCCAGCAGCAGCCACAAGAAATGGGACGCCTGTTGCTGCCAGATGTTCTGACCTTTCAAGAGAGGTCAGGAACCTGGATTTCTCTATAGAATCTCTTGATTTTTAAATGTTGGCAAGTAGATGAAATTTAAAAAGCGAAACAAAAATTATTCAGCCCACACAAAGCCTCACAGTTTCCCTCCTCTGACCTAGATGACAAAGACTGGGCCTTTTATGGTGGGACAAGCAGCTTCCCTCCCTGCTGACCTCACTCCCCCTTACTCCTGGCTCCCCGCTACAGGGCCACTGCTGCCCCTGGAACAAACTCCACGTGGGCGTGGCCTCTCCTCTCTGCCTTTGCCATCAGATTTGCCAGGCAATGCCCCATTCTGGCCCATCGCCTTTAAGACTACCAAAATCCATCCATTTGTGGAATTCCCAAACAGGGCTCTGAGAAAGAGCACAGGCCCTGAGTCCGAGAAACCTGGCCTCGACTCCCAGCTCTGTTCAGCATCATCTGGGTATTTGGGGGCAAGTTGCTCAGTTCTGAGCCTGTTTCCTCATTCGGAAGATCGGGTTAATTCCTCCTGCTTCAGGGGGCCAGTGTGGGGGTGAGATGGGGGAGGGGATGCAGGGAAGCACCCGTGTGTGCTCTCCGGGAGTCCTCCACACTCCCAGGAGGAAGCGAGAGCAGGCCCCAGTCTATGTGACTCCCGAAGGTGGGAGAAGGGCCAGTGGATGGAAGTTTCCAGAAGGCAGAGCTCAGCCTAGCCTGAGGAATGGCGTGGCCTGGACTGAGGTGGTCACAGGGCCCAGAGTGCCTTGGTGGCTGGGGAGCACCCTGAGAGTCCCTGCAAGTGTTCTGGTGGATGTCCTGGAGGGCGGGGGGCTGGCAGCCCTGGAGGGAGCGGAGCCTGAAGCCTGCAAGCCAGCCAAGTCTGTGATTTCATCACTTAGTGTTAAATTCTGAACACATGCTCTCCTCCAAACAGACGGCACAGGTGATATGTAGCGTTGCTTCCTCTAACAGCTCAATGTTCCAGAGCGCCTGCCATCACACCGAGGATGCAGAGAGGGATCTAGAATGTCACCACAGCAGAGACCTTGCTATGGGTTCCCCACCACCTCTCAGAATCCCCTCTGAGTGTCCAAGCCAGGGTATGTCACACTTCTGGAAAGGACCTACATGACCTGGCCTTCGGCCCCTCCCTCGAGCCCTGAGGCTGGCTGCACTCACCCGGGCCTCCCTCTCAGCGTCCAGCGTGCCTCCCACCTGCTCCTGGAGCAGGGCGTAGGCGCGTTGCAGGGCCTGGTACTCCCGGGTCAGCTGGCAGAAGCGCAGGTCAGCCTCCTCTCGGGCTGTGGCCTTCACATAATGGAGAAGAAAACAAATAATCAAGTGCAAAATTACAATAATAAATGATTTATGATTGATTTTAATAATAAACATAAATAAACACTTGCTATGGCTTTGAGTGCCAGGGTCAACTTAGACATCAAACGACCACATCTCACAGTGCTGCCAACAGGTGCTTAAGGAGCCTCGCATTGCCAGGAAGCAACTAGGGCATTGGAGGAAAGGGCTGCCAGGAGGAGGCACCTCCTCAGCCATCAGCACTCCTCCCAGGAGCTCCCACCCACAGGAATCACTTGAGTTATGTGGGAGCAGGTGGGAGAGAAAGGGCTGGTACCATGGAACCAGCCCCAACTCCAGAAGCAAAGGTCTCCATTGTAAAGGGTGTCCCCTCCCACTGAGCACCTCCCATTCTGGGAATTTATCCTAAAGAGATGGCCGGGCATGGTGGCTCACGCCTGTAATCCCAGCACTTTGGGAGGCTGAGGCAGATCACCTGAGGTCAGGAGTTTGAGACTAGCCTGGCCAACATGGCAAAACTCCATCTCTACTAAAATACAAAAATTAGCTGGTTATGGTGGTGGGCACCTGTAATTCCAGCTACTCGGGAGGCTGAGGCAGGAGAATTCCTTGAGCCTGGGAGGTGGAGGTTGCAGTAAGCCGAGATCATGCCACCGCACTCTAGCCTGGGCGACAGAGCTAGACTCCGTCTCCAAAAAAAAAAAAATGGCCACATAAGTGTGTAAAGACACAAATACGAAGGAGCTCCATGCATGGTTCACAGGTGTGGAAAACGACACAGCATAAATCCCTCATCAGTGCGTGCTGCTCATCCATGGGAAAGCCCCACATGGCCATGAGAGAGGATGAGGCAATCCCATGTTCTGGTGCTGAAAGATGCCTATTACATATCACTGGCTGGGAAAAAGCAAACTGAAAATCACGCATCCTGTTTTAAGTTAAACATAAAAGGCCCATGGCTGAGAACAAGACCCTAAAGCCTGAGTAGCCTAGTCCAGACCCCTGTGCAGGACAGGCTGATGGACTGTTGTGTGCCTCCAGCACTGGCCTGGCCCCTCCCTCCAGCCGGCACTTGGGCTGAGGCTGGTGGGCTGACGGGGAGGATGGTGTGTCTCTCCCAGTGTGAGAAAGGATGTCCAGGGGACGACCTGCAGAGGTGACATGTGTCCCCTAGAGTTTTGGCACAAGATGGAAGAGCAAAGAGAGGGCCACCTTGGGGTTGAATGTGCCAGCGCCTATAGCATGTGCCACATTTTCCTATGGCAAATAGACCCATGGGAGGAAACCAGCCTAGAAGTCATTCCAGATGGGACTCCACAGAAAATGCCACCAGGAGGGGACAAGGACAACAAGCAGGGGTGTGTGGGAGGCGGACCATTCAGAGACTCGGGATGTGGGGGCGCAAGGAGCTGCAGTGCCCAGTCCCTCACCAGGAAGCTGTGGGGTGCAGCACAGCAAGGGGAGCTTGTGGAGACCTGGAGAAGTGCTCCCTCGCGAGGTAGCGCGATCCACCTGCCCCTGCCGGAGGGCACTGCCCTGAGGGCCAGCTGCCCCGGCATATCCGCACCCCCTTCCCACTCTTGCTCTTCCCTGGGCTCAGAAAAAGCCACCAGGGGCCTGCATGGGAAGAGGCAGAAGAGCAAGGTAGGGAAACAGCAGCCAAGCCTGACGCAGGCCCTGGTGGGGAGCAAGGGGAAGGTCTGCGCTGAATGAAGTCTGCTGTTTAGGAAATTAATCAAATGTGATTATTCCCATCACTGGAAGGCATAGAAGCCCACAAGGTCTGCCTGAGATGTAATCAGCACTCCTGAAAGAATTCACCTGGGGAAGGTGAGTGAGAACGAAGCTGGTCTTTGCCCCCTCACGAATCCACCTTGCTCAAGAAGCTGGCTATGCACCCAGATGGGCACAGGTGGTCAGGACAGGGTGAGGCGGTGACCTTGGGGTGATGGGACTTCAGGGCTCTTCACCTTCTTCTTTATATATTTTTGGATTACATGCTTTATCTTAGTCAAGAAAGCAATGATGCTGTTTCTGCCCGGTGGTGTGTCCGTGTGTGCACACATGCGTGGGGACCAGGGAGAGACCATTACGCAGCAGTTTTAATTGCAAATGGTGAGGAAACCCAAGGCAACATCCCTCAATGACTCAGCTTGAACTTGGCAGCCACAGATTTCCTTGGTGGGGAAATCAGTGCTGGGGAAAGAAAGGGTCCCCACGTGCTGCCCTCCCATCGCCATTCATGGAGCCCACAGCTGTGGGGCCCGCCTTCCCTTCACACCATTGGCTTTGATAATGCACTGGTAGGAACTGGTCATCTGGGGTTCAGAACTATAGGCAAGGGAGCGAAACTTGCAACTATCAAAAGCAGGAGGTGCCGCCCCGAGAGCATCTGGGGTGAGGTCCCGCCCTCTCTGCAGGTTTGCTTACATCGTCCAAGTCTTCTTCGGGCGTGGCTGGGGTCCTGTCTGTCCTGTCTGTGTTGTAGGATGTTTCGGACAACGTTTCTGAGTCCACAGACTCCTCATCAAATCCAAAAAATGTCTCCACAACATGCTTCTGTAAAACGCAATTTGTATGATGTTAGCAACGACTGAGGATTGCCAGAGTCTACCAGTCCCTGGTCGTGGGCATGCCAGTGCAGGGGGGTGATGATTGACATTTGGGCCACTGGGGCATCACAAGATGCGGTTGGTGGGCTTCGTAACTGACTGGGTGGGATAAAAGGTGGCAGCAGGTGGCGGATGACCCTAGGGTTTACAGCCTGAGCGAGCTAGTCTGGCCCTGGTCCTGGCTCTGGCTCTCCAGCTGTAGACCTGTGCAAACCACTTGGCCCCTGGAGCACCAGCCTCCTTCTCTAGCAAATGGATTGAGAAGCCACCTCACCTGTGAGCACAAAAGGGGGCCATGCATGCCCTGTGCCCAGAAAGCAGCCCAGCACTCCGTCACGCTCCATGAGCAGCGCACTGGCTGTACCAAGGAGAAGGGGGACAGGGTCCAGGGAGATGCTCAGTTCTAAGGAGAAGAACTGGATGAATAAGGACAGCAGAGGGGGCAACAGCTTGAAGGAGTGGAGAGCCCAGCCATAGTCCTAGTACTCTGACTAGTGTGGCAAATGTGTGGCCCAAGTCCTGGCCAGACCCACACTTAGAGGCAATCTCTGCTTAACTTTTTATTATAGAAAACTGGGAAGATTCACAGAATGAGAAGGAATCATGTAATAGACCTTCACACGACCATCACTCAGATCCAGAGGCAAATTGTAAGGCTCTATGTGACGGCCTCTGAGTTGCCCTGCTGGCACTTCTCCCACTCCAAATATCATAGGATATGGGGCTTCATTCATCTGTCTATCAATTCATTCACTCAGAAAACACTGGCAAAGCTCCTTCTATGGGCCAGACACGGGGCAGGCCTGGGGAATACAATAGGATCATAACCAGGCCAGGTCCCTGCCCCAAGGAGCTTGCATCCCCTAGGGGCTACAGACCTCAACCCACAATCACCAGATCAATGTCTCTTATTTTAGGAACATAGCTTTTTTGGGTTTTTTTTTCCCAAACAGCCCCCGACAAGGATTTTTATTTGTTTTTACAATCAATGAATGCCTTTCAGACCATGAAGAATGAATCAAAACTGAATTCCAGAGCCCAGCCCAAGGCTCTGCTGGCTCATCCAAAACATGACTTCACCCAGAGCTCCCCCAACCCACAGAGAAAACCCAGGCACTCCCCACATACTAAGGGCCCCTCCCAGCCTGAGTGTTTTACCCAGATATCTGTAAATGTGAGAAAAATGTGACTGGCACCAGAGTTAATAATGTGATTAGGAAATAATTCAGACATAAGGCAAGGAAGAAGATGCAGGGACACCCTTGTCACCTTACACAGTTTCTGAAGGTGCTGCAAGGGAGGCACCCACCACCACACGTCACCCAGAACGTTCTTGCATTTGGCACCTGTCTTTCTGCTCACTGCATCACCCCTCCCACATTCCTCCTTGCTTTTTAATATGCATGGGGAATACGACTCTCCCCCGAACTCCAGACTCATACGTCAGCTGCGTCCTTTATGGCATTGTGGAATCCTAGCGGGCAGTGACTTACCCCCAACACCGCACCTCCCGCAATCTAACCTGAGTCCAGCAGCAGCAGCTCATGCTTCAGTTGCCCAGGCCCCAATCCCAGGAGTCCTCCCCTGTCTTCTCCACCTCTCATGCCTGCCCTCCCTGGGAGAAACCCTGTTGTCTTCACCTTCAACTCAAAATCCAGCCCTCTCTCCCCCTCTCTCCATTGGGACCTTCATCTTGGTCCCAGCCACCAATATCTCTCTCTCTGGAATTATTAAAACCACCAACATCCAGGCAGGCTACAAGTGGTCTGCGAGGCCCTACAGGATCCACCTCCCATCCTGCCCTGGCATCATCCCTCCCTCTCCTCCTCCGCTCCAGGCTTCTGCACCCCACACACACCTGCCATGGGGCCTTTGCGCTCCGAGACGCTCTTCCCCAGAATCCACATGTCTCCTTCCCTAGATTCCCTTAGGTCTCTGCACAAATGCAACCATATGAGAAAAGGCTTCCTGGCCACCATGCCCAGGTCCCTCCTGCTTCACCCCCGCCCCAGCCTCTGGGGCCTCCTTCTTTATTCCTTTCCATAGCACATCTCCCCGCTGACGTAAGATCTGGCAAGCTATTGTGTTTACTGATGGTCTTCCCCCTACCCCTTGAAATGGAAGCTCCATGAAGACAGGGGGTTGGCCCTTTTGTTCTCGACTGTATCCCAGTGTTAATGAACTCAAAGCCACACTAGTTTGTCTATCCACAAACAGATTTTGTTTTGCACATGACACCATTTCCATTCATTCACACAGCTGGCATCAGTTGGGCACCATGTGGTTACATGCCCCAGATGAGTCTCATTGGCAGGTACGTGAAGACTATGGGCACCATCAACTTCAATGTCATTTCTCTCCTTGCAGAGGCTGGAGACAATCATCTACTCAAATCTCCCCTCTGGATGAGAACCCCACCCGACTTCAGGCATCATGGACTCTTCCAACCAGCTCTAGAGAGCAGTGGTAGTGACATCCCATGGTGACAATGGCACCCACGGGAGTGATGCATCTGCAGCACTCAAGCTCTTCTGCACACACAGGTCACCCCCCTGAGCTCCAGGTTCACTCAAGCTCTTCTGCACACACACACACAGGTCACCCCCTGAGCTCCAGGTTCACTCAAGCTCTTCTGCACACACAGGTCACCCCCCTGAGCTCCACGTTCACTCAAGCTCTTCTGCACACGCAGGTCACCCCCCTGAGCTCCACGTTCACTCAAGCTCTTCTGCACACGCAGGTCACCCCCCTGAGCTCCACGTTCACTCAAGCTCTTCTGCACACGCAGGTCACCCCCCTGAGCTCCACGTTCCACATTTTTCTGAACAGCCACTGAGCTGACCTTATTTCTTGTAAACACTGCTAACTGCAAGGCCTTTGGGGACGAGTCTGTTTGTTGCTGTAGCCCAGGAAGCATCATCAAGTTACACACTTTCCAAACATTTAGAACACACTGCTGGGCTGTGACCATCCACGTCAGCATCAGGGACCCTCCTGGGGGCAACGACTCAATGCTCAATTACCTAGGACGATCCACTGTGAAGGCTCTGCAGGACTACCAGTTAAAGACTCAACTCTCAAGCCCTAATACAGGGCATTAACTACCAATGCTGCCGAAAACCCTACAGGACTGCTAGTTAAGGACTCAACTCCCAAGCCCTAATACAGGGCATTAACTACCGATGTTGCCGCCTGTGTTTAAAGTAGAGCAACCTTAGCAAACAGCCTAACTCCAGACCCAGTGGAGCCCCCGACAGTATCATATCATATGGCCCCAGAGACCAAGACTCCACAGAACTATGCTGCTTTGAGGGAAAGAGGAAGCAGCTCTTAGAGCAGAAACCAAACACAAAAGGGCAGTCCAATTTGAATCCTGCAGCAATGCAGAGGAATCCACAGCCAGGCACGGCACACACAGAGTTCCCATAGCAGCAACGAGTTGTCTGGGACCCAACCCCTCAGGTTTTTATGCTGGGTATTTTTAAAAATTTTTTAACTTTTTTTTTTTTTTTTTGAGACAGAATCTCCTTCTGTCGCCCAGGCTGGAGAGCAGTAGTGCAATCTCAACTTACTACAACTTCCGTCTCCCAAGTTCAAGCGATTCTTCTGCTTCAGCCTCCCAAGTAGCTGGGATTACAGGTGCGTGCCACCACATCTGGCTAATTTTTGTACATATATATTTTTCTTAAGTAGTGACAAGGTTTCACCATGTTAGCCAGGCTGGTGTCAAACTCTTGACCTCAAGTGATCCGTCTACCTCGACCTCCCAAAGTGATGGGATCACAGGTGTGAGCCATCATGCCCAGCCTTAACATTTTTTTATAACATTTTATAACACTGGGTTAGTGTTTATAACATTTTATAACACTGGGTTAGTTTGTTTCCTTTAGAGAAAAGTTGTGTTGAGTGATTATATTATGCAGTAAGCCTACATGTACTCGATTTCTCAATATATTTGTGTCTTTATTAATAAAAAATAGAAACAATATATTAATGTTTAAAGTAAAAACACAGTGGCTATCTTCCTTGAAGGCAATGCAACTGGTTTTGCACTGCATTTTCAAAAAATGCAGGAAATAATTCACCACCTGCTTCTCAAGAGATGAGGGGAGAACCGCCCAGAAAACATTGTTTCCTGTCATGACTGGCACACAGTGGGCTTTAAAAAAAATGGCAAACATGAAAGAAACTTCATTTTTTTGTGTCTCCACTCTTCTAAGAGTCTCTAGGTTTTTCCTCACAAGAGATACATTAGGAGCAAAAATGTCCACCATTTGCTCATTCTGAGCCCATCTACTGAATAAAAAGGTAATTCCTCTAGCCTTCCATGTTCCTTGCAACCAAAGCCTCTCCTTGTTGACTCGTTTCTACAGATGAATCCAGATTCAGATTAAGATTCAGTTTTGGCCGGGCACAGTGGCTCATGCCTGTAATCCCAGCACTTTGGGAGGCTGAGGCAGAAAGATCGCTTGAGCCCAGGAGTTCAAGATCAACCTGGGCCACATAGTGAGAATCCATCTCTACAAAAAGTTATTTAAAAAGTTAGCCGAGTATGGTGGCTGACGCCTGTAGTCCCAGCTACTTGGGAGGCTGAGGTGGAAAGATTACTTGAGCCTGGGAGGTTGGGGCTGCAGTGAGCTGTGATTGTGCCTCTGCACTCCAGCCTGGGTGACAGGGCAAGATCCTGTCTCAAAAAAAAAAAAAAAAAGATTCAGTTTTGGCAAAATGAATGAAGAGTAAACATGTCTCCTCCATTTACACTTTGCATATACAGAGGTGCTCTTCCTCAGCGGGTCAGATGAAGCAGAGGGAAAAAGAGGAGGTACCCCCAAAACAAATAGCCCCCCAACCAGATCCAGTCTCTCTCAGCCACCTGTCTTCTCACCTTCCTATCATTTTCAACAGAGCCACCTGTCACAGGCAGGAGCATCGGTCGGCCACAGCCAGGGACCGCCAGAGAACCTCAAAACGCAAAACCCCGAACCAGCTGCCTACCTTCATGCTTATAGGTCATCTCCTGGCAGCCAGAGAAGTACAGGCACACCAGGGCACAGAGACACAGGAAGAAAGAGAAGTACAGCACAAAGAGGACATATTCCATGGTGGCGTGAAGCTGCAGACACACCAGCCCCTGTGCGTGGGCTTAGGCAAAAGCCACCTCGTCGGCATCCATTTTCAGGGCTTCCTCCAGTCCAAGGAAAAAGCACCAATTCTCTCCCCACGCACTCCCCTTTCCTCTAACACACCCGCCCTAGCAACTCCACGGCTTCCTGTGGACCCGTCTGCTGCAGAGTCCCAAGAACAGGAGTGCGCCAGAAGACGCACCTTCAGTAAAAGGGAAGCCAGCTCCAGGGCAGAGCCCAGATGCTGGCCACGCCAACCGCGGGCTGAAGGGAGAGGTTTCCAGGGGCGGGATAGGGTGCCTTCGTCACAGAGGACAGCCTCCGAACCAGTTTATTCTCTGGGGACCTTCCTCCCAGATCCCGTCCTCCCTGAGCCGAGAGCCTGTTGTCAACACCATGGCACAGGCCCTGGGTCCCCAGACAATCGCAAGGCCCCCGGGGCAGCACTAGCAATGGCAACGCCACGATAGATTCTCCCTCAGGACCCAAACCGAGGAGCTGCCTCTGTCCTCATGTGTTTGGGAAATTTATCTGCTGTTCCCCGACAACCTCATAGGCACCCTAGACTTGCCAAATTCACTGGCTTCTCTACCATCAATTTGTCAGCGTTTTACCATTTTTATAGGCCAAAACAAACCATTATTTAATAGAAAAACTGATTTTTTTAACTAGATCAAAGTCTTCAGATTCACCTGCCCAGAAGGGATGTCTCTGAGAGTCTTCCATCTCTCGGAGAAGCGTCACCAGACATAATATCAAAAGCAAAAACTCTCATGCTGCAGAAAAAATGGACAGACTTTACCACAAAAAAGTAAAACGTCTGAACTTTGACAGATACCAAAGCAATATTAAAGGGCAATGGATAATTCATAAAAGAAATGTACATAGCAAAGTTCATGTATGTTTCAACTTCAACAATGCATGATGCTGTATTCCTTTGGAAGTTTCCATCAGATGAACTGTGTGACTGGATTGTGCTACTCAATTTAGTGCCGACTACCCTTTAAGCCATGTTTCCTAATGAGGCACCACCCGGCCAGGTAGTGCAGACCTGAGACAGCTGGGCCTGACCCCAGGCAGTGCAGACCTGAGACAGCTGGGCCTGGCCCCAGGCAGTGCAGACCTGAGACACCTGGGCCTGGCCCCAGGCAGTGCAGACTTGAGACAGAGGGGCCTGGAGGGGCGGGGCTGCAATCTGGAACCTTTGCCTCAAGCCCCTCCCCACGGGGCCTGAAGTCACCTCCTGAAACTAGGCAGGAGGCCGGGCACCTACAGACCCAGCCTCTGCAGCAGCTTCTCCCTGAGACCAGGACTCACCACCCTGCTCACTCCTGGCGCTGGGGTTTCCTTCCCTGTGTGAACAAATTACCTAGAACCACCATAGGTAATGGCACCTGTCCCTTCCCAAGTCTGCAAATGGGAGTTGGATGTCCCCATGGTGTTTGCTACCCTGGACAAGGTACCCAGTCGGCCTCTGTGGCCAGGTCAGGCTCCCGAGCTCTGCTCTACCCACACCAGCTGCAGCTCCTCTGGCGGTACCTCCAGGACCGGCACAGACGGTGTGTGTGCTTGTCTGCTGAGACGCCTGCATGTGGTCCAGGACACAGCCCCCGTCTCTTCATAATCACCCCAGTGTCCTATCCCCAGGACCCACATCTTCCCCGAGTCCTTTACCAAAGGGCCCCCAGCAGGTGGGACATGGAGCAATGCTCAGAGGGGCCTCCCATGCTTCTGGCACAGAGCCCGCTGTGAAAGGAAAATAAAAACTCTGAACCCCAGTTCACTCCACCAAAAAGAAAAACTTAAGCTGAAAGCTGAGTCATGCAAGAAGCTGCCTTTCCTTTTGTTCCTAAGCAGAGAGCTGCAGAGAAAAGGTTAAGCATCTCTACAGGTAGCTGCTCCATGTTCACCTTATCTTATGTAAAGTGTTGATTTACTGAGCACAAGACAATTACATAATTAGGACTATTCCCCTACCTGCTCCGTTTCTCTCACAACCTGTGGATTCAGTCATGTGACCACACACCCCCTCTTTCCCCTCCAGCCCGCTTTTCCCCTTTAAATATTGAACCCCTCAAAATCATCTTTGGAGAAAGGCTCAGATCTGTCTCCAGGGTACATTCTTAACCTTAGTAAAATAAACTTCTAAATTGATTGAGAGCTGCCTCAGAGACTTTTTGATTTACATCAGCCACTCAGCTGGCGAGGCTGGGACAAAGTCCTGCTGCCCATGCCCTCTTTACCTTTGATCAGAGCTGCATGAAATGAGTCCTGATGGCTGCTGTGGAGGAGGGACCAGGTGACAGGGACACTGCTGAGCCAGAAGGGAACAAGCCCTCGCCCCTCCCAGCAAAGGGCCCACAGTTACACACCAACCGAGGCCAGCCCTGTAAACAGACATGAAGTAGCCACTGGTTTCACGCAGTCACTACTATTAGCCTCTCTGAGTGCAGGGCACTGTGCCAGCAGCTTCGAGTAGCTGGATCCCAGGGCACCATCCAGCCCTCATGAGCTCACAGACTGGTGACAGCCGTGGGGAAGGCAGCCTAGGAATAAGATCGACTGCAAACAACCATGAAGGAAAAAATGGGTAGCTTTGGCAAAACTTGCAAATGAAAAATGCATGCACATGATGAAAAAATGTTTGACTTTGGGAGGCCGAGGCAGGCAGGTCACTTGAGGTCAGGAGTTCGAGACCAGCCTGGCCAATATGGTGAAACCCTGTCTCTACTAAAAATACAAAAAAAATTAGCCAGGCCTGGTGGCACACTCCCAGCTACTCAGGAGGCTGAGGCACGAGAATTGGTTGAACCCGGGAGGCGGAGGTTGCCGTGAGCTGAGCTCCATCACGCCACTACACTCCAACCTGGGCGACAGAGAGAAACTCTGTCTTAAAAAAAAAAAAAAAAAAAAGTGCTTGAGCTTCCTAGGCAGGCAAAGGTACTGTACAACCAGCTGCCAGTGTCTGTCCTTCCCTCCAGCAGGCAGCAGGCTTGGCCTCAGGGGTGTCCTTCCCTCCAGCAGGCAGCAGGCTTGGCCTCAGGGGCGTGGGGCTAGGAGTCAAGTTTAGATAGGTCCTGCGTGTTTTGATAGGTCCCATCAGAATGGATGCAAGAGCCACTGACAAAAATGGCCCGCCAGACCTCAGGCATCCTCCAACCCCTGGCAACAGCAGACCCAGAGTCATTTGGGGAGGAGGGGACACAGCACTGAAGCACTGGCCCAAGAAAGGGCCTCTCCTTCCAATGTGCTTTGATGGTTCCCAGCGCAGTCCCCAGCCCTCCCTTAAAGGATGATTACTGCAAAGGGCATTGAGATCCCACCTCACTATTATAAATTAGTGGGGGAGGCAGGGTGTAGGCATGGCCTGGGAATCTGCATTTCACAGGCCCTCCAAAGGAAAGTTATTGAGCTATAAGGTAAAGGAAGAAGGAGACACTCTGACTTCCTGATAACCTGCTATGCACCAAGCAAAGAACCAGAAGCTTCCTTAGATCCCATGGATATAATGTTCATTTTAAGAATCAAACTGAGGTTCTGAGCGTTTAGATGACTTGGCCAATCCCATCCAGCTAGTAGCTAGGGTCTGACTCCCATACTGCTTGGGGCTACAATTTCCCAACCTTATCCAAAATGATGGGTCCTTCTTTCAACCAAGGTGTGTGCGTAAACTGTACTGATTTTTAGCCATTATGCATATGCTTAGAACTCTGTGATGATACAGCTTCTGTGCAAGTTCCAATAGCCTGCAACACAATTTACTGCCACATGGCCAGAGGCCCAGGTCCTGAGCAAGCCCCCTACCCCAGTCCCCAGGGCACAGTCCGAGGAACCACTCAGGATCCTTCTCCTCCAACCTCTCCTTTGGGGCTAACGTGAGCCCACGCTGAACCAGCAGGCTCCCTGGGAAATGAGATAATCAGCACCAATCTTGTCCCTGGAGGAGATCCCATAAGGGGACTGTTGGATAGGCCCAGTAAGGCAGAGTCATGGCCCTCAGGGACACAAACGCTCCGGGAAGACAAAGGTGGACACCCTCTGCTTTGCCCTGACTGCATCTTCTGCAAGGCTCTGCCCTGACTGCATCTTCTGCAAGCTGGGGTGTGGGAGTGGACTGGAGGCACCCTCCTGCAGGGAGTCCAGGGAGGTTTGCTAGGGTCTTTCTGACAGAAAGTCAGGAGCTGGAGAGTAGGGATGGGGCTGTCAGATTTCTGGAAAGTTCTGGAACTTTCAATGCATTCACCACAGTACTCTGTCAAGCAAAGCCTTTGGCAAAGTGTTAAAACACTTCCATGTGTGATGGACAGAGAGTGATGGGGGCATTTCAGGGGAAAAAGAAACTAGTCTAGTCATCCTGCGGTACCCATGGGGGACTGGTTCTAGAACCTCCCACGAATACTCAAATCCATGGCTGCTCAAGCCCCTTATACAAATTGGTGTAGTGCTTGCATATAACCTACGCACATCCTCTTGTACACTTTAACTAGATTACTTATAATATCGTACCTAATACAGTGCAGATGCCCTGTAAACCCAGTTATGTGCAGCATAACAGCATCTCAGTCCTCAACAGTATACAACAACGGTCCCATAAGATCATAACACTGTATTTTTACTGTACATTGTCTATGTTTAGATACACAAATACCATTGGATTACAACTGCCTACAGTATTCAGTACAGTAGCATGCGGCACAGGCTTGCAGCCCAGAAGCCACAGGCTAGACTGAATAGCCTAGGTGTGTAGGAGGCTAGACCATCTGGGTTTGTGCAAGTATACTTCATGATGTTTGCATGACAAAGTCGCCTAATGACGCATTTCTCAGAATGTGTCCCTGTTGTTAAGGAATGCATGACTCTAGTTTTAGACTGTATTGTTTAGTGAATAATGAAAAGGAAAAAAAAGTCCGGGAGGTGGAGGTTGCAGTGAGCCAAGAGCGTGCCACTGCACTCCAGCCTGGTCAACAGAGTGAGACTCCATCTCAAAACAAAAAGAAAAGGAAAAAAAGTCTGTATATGTTCAGTAGAGATGCAACCATCCATTTTTTTTTTCCTGAAGGTTTTCAACCAGAGGTTGGTTGAATCCATGGATGTGAAACCCACAGATACAGAAAGCCAAGTGTACTGAATGCCTGTGGCCTGTGGTAGAGAAGAAAGAGAAGCTTCTTAGGCCTAAAAGGCAACCCTGGATTACAAAACCTGCTTGGGCCCCGATGGATCCAAGTATCAATTCAATCCAGCCCTGCACAATGCCAGGATTAAGTAGGAACATGGGAGAAAACTTGGTCCACACGGAAGTCTACACTGAATCTTGAGAAAAAGAAAAAATGCTGGTGGGCCCAGGAAACAGTGAATAGAAAAGACCCTAAACCCATTCAGGAAAGTTTCTACACAGATCCCCAAATTCGGCCTCCTAATGACACGGAACTATCTTCATTAAAGTGACCACACATCACCGTTCTTCTGCAACAATCCAGTGTCATACAAGTACATTTTTCCAGTAAAGGCAATTCGCTTATTTAGCCAACAACTATTTAGGGACTATTTAGTCAACACCTACTCTGTGCCAGGCAATGAACAGGCCACAGTGGGCAGGACAGACACAGCCCCTGTCCTTGCCTGTTGTACAGGCAATGTAGCAAATCACGATTCAATTCCAACCCTTTGTGAATTTCTCCTCCCATAAACACATTCAGAAATCAGGAAGAATGGCCAGTTGCAGCTGCTCATGCCTGTAATCCCAGCACTTTGGGAGGCTGAGGCAGGTGGATCACTTGAGGTCTGGAGTTTGAGATCAGCCTGGCCAACATGGTGAAACCCCGTCTCTACTAAAAATACAAAATTAGCCAGGCGTGGTGGCACATGCCTGTAATCTCGGCTACTTGGGAGGCTGAGGCAGGAGAATCGCTTGAACCTGGGAGGCAGAGGTTGCAATGAGCCGAGATTGTGCCATTGCACTCCAGCCCAGGCAACAAGAGCGAAACTCCATCTCAAAAAAAATTAGTAAATAAATAAAAAATAAAATAAACAAACAAACAAATAAATATAGACAAGTTCTACTCAAACCACTTCCTATTTCTGAGTTTCTAATGTCAATGTGCAGAAATTTGCCCCGTGTTCGACTTGGCTTGGTGGGAAAAGCTTGGGCCTTGTAGTCTCAGACTTGAGTTTGAAACTCAGCCTTGTCAATTTAATTTTTCTCTGAGTTTTTCTATATTATATATATATATGTCTTCTGTAGCTGTAAAATTGAAAAAATAATACCAACTATATGGGGTGGCTGTGAGAATTCAATGAGATTGTTTAAATACCCACTCATCTGAGAATCCAGGACCTAGCAAATCACCAATGAGCCAGGCCACTCTAAGTGGCATTACCTGAACGCTGCAGTAAAGGCCACCAGGAGGCAGCCTGGGAGCCAAATTGCACCCATAGATATATTTTATGTGGCCCACAGGTATATATTTTACAGGCTGAGTGTCCTTTATCTGAAATACTTGGAACCAGAAGGAATTTTGGATGTTTTTTCAGATTTTGGAATATTTGCATAAACAGAATAAGGTATCTTGGGGATGGGACCCAAGTCTAAACATGAAATTCATTTGTTTCATATACACTTTATATATAATACATAGCCTGAAGGGAATTGTATATAATATTTTAAATAATTTTGTGCATGAATCAAAGTTTTGATAGTGTTTTTACTGCAACCTGTCACATGAGGCCAGGTGTGAAATTTCCCTGGCCTCATGTTGGTGCTGAGAAAGTTTCAGATTTTGGAGCATTTTGGATTTCGGATTTTTGGATTTTGGATTACGGATGTTCAACCTGTATTTGGACATATAAAATTACAGACATTTAAAATCCAGCATTTAAATCCTTCAATTTCATATAAAGTAAGGTGTTATGGATTAAACTGTATCCCCCCAAAAAGATAGGTCGAGGTCCTAATCCCAGTACCTCAGAATGTGACTTATTTGGAAATAGGATCATTGCAGATGTAGTTAAATTATCATGAGGTCACGTTGGAGTAGGGTGGACTCCTAATCCAGCATGAGTGGTGGCTTTATATGTGAAGCCACAGAGACACACAGGTAGAATGTCACTGACAATGAAGGCAGAGATTGGAGTTCAAGCTGCAAACCAAGGACACCAAAGATTGCTGGGAAACCACTCTAAGCTAGGAAGAGGAAAGGAGGGGTCTGCTACGGGTTTTAGAGGGAGGGAACGTGGCTCTACCGACACCTTAATTTCAGCATTCTGGCCTCTAGAACTGTAAGATAATACATTTCCTTTCCTTTTTTTTTTTTTTTTTTTTTTGAGACAGGGTCTTGCTCTGTCACTGAGGCTGGAGCTCAGTGGCAAAATCATGACTCACTACAGCCTTGACCTCCTGGGCTCAAGCAGTCCTCCTGCTTCAGCCTCCAAAGTAGCTGGGACTTCAGGTGCCACCACATCCAGCTAATTTTTTTAATTTTTTGTAGAGACAGGGTCTTGCTATGTTGCCCAGGCTGATCTCAAACTCCTGGGCTCAAGCGATCCACCCACCCTGGCCTTTCAAAGTGCTGGAATTACAGGCATGAGCCACTGTGCCCGGTCTTTTTCGGTGGCTCTAAGCCACTGATTTTGTGGTACTTTGTTAAGGCAGCCCTAGGAAGCTAACATACAAGGATTTATATTTCCCTTGAAAAACTGGACTATCTGATGCCATCGGTCCACCTTCTTATAGCAACCAGGATTCAGGGCCCAGTTTGCCACAGTCCCCACCATTCCCTGTTGTCACCCTGACACCAAGACCACATGTCTTTGGCCATTCACTATCACATTTGCACAGCTGTTTCCCTTATAGATGAGAAATATTTCTCTATAACCACATCTCCATCAAAAGATAAACCAAACGGGGCACTTGTGTTCAATAAAAAGGAGAGAAGACCAGCCTAGCCAAAATGGTGAAACCCTGCCGCTACTAAAAATACAAAATTTAGCCGGGCGTGGTGGCATGTGCCTGTAGTCCCAGCTACTCGGGAGGCTGAGGCAGGAGAATCATTTAAACCTGGGTGGTGGAGTTTGCAGTGAGCCGAGATGGTGTCACTGCACTCCAGCCTGGACAACAGAGTGAGACTCTGTCTAAAAAAAAAAAACAAAAAAAAAATGGAGAGGAGAACTGTGTCTTTGTGGGAGCCAAAAATAGGTTTACAGGTTTAAAGGCAAACTATGCTTTTTTTTTTTTTTTTGGTATCAGCTCCAGTGCGCTCTTTACATTCCAGATTGGTCCCTGTGGGCATTTGAATTTTATAAGCCCAGCTCCTTCAGACACTGTTACTAGGAAATAGCAAAAGACCTATATTTTCCAAAAAAGACTACAGTTCTGCATGATTCCAAAAAAACACAAAGCTCCTGATTTTTTTAGAACAGGATATGCTCTCATATAAACCAACCCTGAATGTCCCTTAAATCCTTCAAAAGGTTTAAGTATTTATGTTTTTAATTTTGGGTGAATATACCCTGAAGCCTAAGTGGAGAATACATCAGGAAGTTTTCCATGAATAAATTACAATAACTGGGTCACATGACACGGCCATATTTATGTTGCTTTGAGAGACGGTGATGACAGGCTTTTCATCATCAGGCATGCAGAGATGTGTGTGTCTGCTTCAGGACCCCTCTGTAAAACCTCCCCACTCCACGACCCATCTGCCCTGCAGATCCGTGACACAGCGGCAAGGTAGGGCAGGTGCACCATCGCAGGCTCACCTTGGGCGGTTTCAGACTTTTCCCTCGATGCCTTTTGGAGCGCAACAGCCGTTCTCTCTCCTAGAAGGAAACACAACGGTTGGCATTTCCAGCCAGCCTCACATCTCACAAACCAAAGCCACTGGCTCTCAAAGGGAGCTGGGCCTGCCCATCCGCACCAGGCATGGCTAGTTGAAGTTCTAAGTGCCCAAGTGATGGCTGCTTCTCTGAACTGAGAGCTACAGGGAGAGTTTATTATCCACCTTTTGACTTTATTGTTATTTCACTGAAATATATTTTTCATCCTAAGCTGCATTGAGTCTTTTGTGTAATGAAGCAAAGATGGATGGATAGATAGATGTATGCATAGATAAGTGGATGGAAGGATGAAAGAATGGGTGAGTGGATGGATGGATGGGTGGACAGATGGGTGGGTGGATGGATGGATGGATGGATGGGTGAAAGGAAGAAAGAGAGAAGTTAAAGAGGTAGAGGGAGATGGAGGCAGGCAAAATGAACATGAAAATTATAATCAAAGCCTTTTCTAGAATTTTGATCACTAGCTTTTCTATTCTTTGAAAACCAGTGCATGGAACCATCACACACCCACTTTGGTGAGCAGAACACGTTCTACTTCTAAGATCCAACTAAAGCTCCCTGCAGGTGTTCTCTGCCTGTTGCCGAAGTTCCTTTCACAGAGAGCTGTGGAATTCTCTGGATGCAATTCTCCACCGCTTAGGACATACTCAACCCCCTTTGATAGATGCACGCCCCATATACACGTCCAAAACTCACACAGGCAGTCTTAGCAAGGTGCTGGTCTGGTTATAAGGTTCAAGTTTGTGGGCCTAAACTCACAGTCTGCAACTGCTAAGCTAAAAACCAACCAACCAACCAACCAAACAAACAAAAAGCCTTCTCTGGAACAGATCATGCCCAGTCTCTAAAGGCCAAAAGACATCCTTAAAACTGATGCTTCTCAATCACAGCAAGCTAGGGAGAAGATGTGAGAAAAGGGTAGCCATGGAAACTGTCCCCAAGTACCAGTGATCTCATTTAAGCCAAGGCTGCTTAGTGGCAGAATGAAGCGGGAATGTGCACACCAGGGTGAGCTTGGTGAGTCCCAAAGTCAGCACTGCCTGACCCTGACCCAGCTCAGCAGCATCACCCTGAGCCCCAACACCCGTTCCTGACACCCATGTCAGCTGGTGCCACCCCTGCCAGGGGCAGCCGCGCCAGCTGTGCTAGATGTACCAGTGAGAGGTCGTCAATGACGTGCTGCTGCTCCAGCACCTGCAGCCTCAGGAACTCGATCTCCTGCTCATCCCTCGTCAGGCTGAGGTCATTCAAGGAGGTATGCCGCTTCAGAGACGCCTGCGCTGACAGCTTTTCTTTCTGCAGCCACAGGGAGACAGACCACCACAGGGTTACCCGCCAACAGTGTTTGTTAGGGACAGTGCTGGAGTGGAGCTCAGGGGTGCAGGGACAGAAGGATGGATGGGAGGATGAAAGAGATGATGGCCTGATATGGTTTGGCTGTGTCCCCACCCAAATCTCATCTTGAATTGCGGCTCCCAGAACTCCCGTGTGTTGTGGGAGGGGCCAGGTGGGAGATCATTGAATCATGGTGGCGGTTTCTCTCATACTATTCTCGTGGTTGTGAATAAGTCTCTGATGTTTTTATAAGGGTTTTCCCCTTTTACTTGGCTCTCAGTCTGTCTTGTCTGCCGCCAAGTAAGATGTGCCTTTAGCTTTCTGCCATGATTGTGAGGCCTCCCCAGCCACGTGAAACTGTGAGTCCATTAAACCTCTTTTTCTTTACAAATTACCCAGTCTCAGGTATGCCTTTATCAGCAGTGTGAAAATGGACTAATACGTGGCCACCTTGTCCTGTGCTGGAAGAGGGGACAGGGCAGACCAAAGCCAAGCCCAAGGTGGGGCTGACCATGCACACTGCTGACAGGAAGGGATGCGCAGGGCCTGGGGGTGGAAGACGACATTTGAAATGAGCCTAGAAACCTGGGAGGGGAAGGCAGGGGAAGGAGAGGACTTCACACAACAGCAATTACACACACACACACACACACACACACACACCTGCATCTGCTACAGTGCAGACAGCAGAGCATGTGTGGTGACAGAGCCTCCGTCTTCCCGGCTGTGAAGTGGGGGTTGATACTACTCTGAACAATGAACCTGAAATCATTCTGTAAACTGTCAACTACAAGACGCCTGCCCTGACCACAAACACCAGGCATCCTAGCTGGAGGAGAAACCCCTCTGCAGAGCATCGCCAGCGATCATTGTAACAGCTTTCACTTGCTGGGTGTCCTCTGGGCCCGTTCCCTGTGAGGTCTTTACATGCTGTTATTTCATCCTCTTGATGATCCTCCAGTGTGGATATTTTCATTCCCATTTTATGCATGAAGAAACAGAGGCTCAGAGAGAATGGGGGATGTGTTTAAGGACACAGCTGTCTGACTCCCTCTGGGCACAAACACCCACAGCACAGTGAATGTGAGACAGGTGGAGAGAAAGGCGAGACATCTGTGACTGACACTGTGCCTGGTGCTTTGTGGGGAGGTGGGCAGCAGGTGCGCCCCAGAACATGTGAATCGGGAGGTTCAGGGCTGAAGAATCCCAGACAGAGAAGGGAGTGTCAGGGCTGTCCCCAAGGGGTCCACAGCTCACCATTTCCACGTTTTCCCGCGTGAGGTTCTTGATTTTCTCCTCCATCCTCTGGATACTCTGCAACAGATCCTCATTCTTCTTGTTCATCCGCTTGTTCTTCTCCACCAGGGGCTTCAGCTGAACCTCGGTCTCTCGTGAGCGTTTCAGCTGTGGTTGGAAACAGACACAGAGGCTCAGACAACTTGACGACGGACGGCCGAGGTCACAGCACCGAGGTGAGCAGAGACTCAACCCAGTTAGGACCCCTTCTGAGGCCAGTGTCCTGGATGACACATTTGTTTGCTAGTTGCATGACAATGGGCAAGTTCTCAGCCTCAGTTTCCTCATCTATCAAATGAGAATCACGGCAGCTCCTGTCTCCTAGGCACATGGTGAGAATTGAATGCATAGTGGTAGTCTCCCAGTGTTATTTTCATGGAAAGAATTAGAAACAACTTAAATATCTATCAATATCATGATAACCACAGGCACAGCCAACACATGTGAAGGGGCCACCTTCCCCATCCGCATTTTATAGACAAAGAACCTGAGCCCAAAGAGAGGAGGCAATGGGCCCAACTTCACAAAGAAAGTGCCAAGAATGCTTTGCACTTTTGCAAAGATTGGTGGTTTGAGTTCACCAAGATTCAAACACAAGGGACTGACTCTAGACCCCTGCGTTTACTCCCCAGGCTGTAAATGTTAAGGTAAAATATTCTGATGGTATAGGTTGAAATATAAAATGTACCATGTGACCCATGCATTCTACTTCTAGAAACCTACCGCCCCCCCAAAAAAATGCCATGTAGAAGATACATACGTGTCTTTACTGACTTGAACCTTTATGTAAAGTCAGTAAAGACCCATATGTATCTTCTTCATGGCATTTTTTTTTTTCGAGACAGAAGGTAGGTAAAATGACATGTGTCACTTTGACAAAGGGTCTCACTTCGTCACCCAGGCTTGAGTGCCGTGGCGTGATTTCAGCTCACTGCAGCCTTGACGTCCTGGCCTCAAGTGATCTCCCACCTCAGCCTCCCAAGTAGCTGGAACTACAGGTGTGCACCACTGCACCCAGCTAATTTTTTTGTATTTTTAGAGATGGGGTTTTGCCATGCTGCCCAAGCTGGGCTGGAACTCCTGAGCTCAAGGAATCTTCCCACGTTGGCTTCCCAAAGTGCTGAGATTACAGGCATGTGGCACCTCACAGAAATCCAGAAAGCGGCAACAGCCTAAAGATCCACCACTGGGAAGAGAGGTGAACAGACCATGGTATATCCACACAATGGACTACCAAGCCGCTGGTAAAAAGACAAAGACAGATCTCTAAGCACTGATGGGGAGTGATGTAATTGATCAATGAGGTGAAAAAAGCAAGTTGCAGAACAATACACAGCAGGGAAAAAAATCCCAATTCATATCCATAAAATAAAACAAAGTCTCTCGGTGAGTTTTAAGGTATTTATTTAAACATTAAGAACATTTAAGAACCACTCCAAACTAGCAGTAGTTACCTCATGATTTTAAGATTGAGGCCAGGCGCGGTGGCTCACGCCTGTAATCCCAGCACTTTGGGAAGCTGAGGCAGGCAGATCACTTGAGGTCAGGAGTTCAAGACCAGCCTGGCCAACATGGTGAAACCCCATCTCTACTAAAAATACAAAAATTAGCCGGGTGTGTTGGCGGGTGCCTGTAATCCTAGCTACTTGGGAGGCTGAGGCAGGAGAATCACTTGAACCCGGGAGGCAGAGGTTGCAGTGAGCTGAGATCACATCACCTCACTCAAACCTGGGCGACAGAGCAAGACTCCACCTCAAAAAAAAAAAAAAAAGATTGAAGCGTTGGCAAACTTATTAGTTTCTACTTTTAACTACTTCAGTCTGATCTGACATGTTTCCAGAAGCCTGTGTTTTTTCCTAATCCACTCAGTAAACTATGCAGCTCATGAGTATTTATGAGCTTATAAATATTTAAATGAAGAGTAGAGACATAATATTAGATGTACAGTCTGATTAAAGCCAAAAAAAAAAAAACATTTAAAAATACTGGAAGGAAGTAAATTTATTTTGATCCTATTAAAGTTGTGAAGAGGTGATACTTACGGACACTTTTCACCACTCATTTTTTTCAAATATTCTGTGGATATACTTCTCTTCATAATAAAAATTAGAATAAACATAAAAATTATGAGGCATCTGTCAAGAAGTTGATGTATCAACTGCCATTACATAAAAATTAGTTTTGCTGTTATCCAGAAAATGTAAACATATTCATGAAATTTCTATTTTTACTGGAGATTTCTTTTTTAACCAGAAGTCCATGTTCATTATTTTTAAAATTAATGTATAAGTTTTAGTTTACAAGTATATAAAATTTTATGCAAAAAAGTAAATACATAAGCACAAATTAAAATTACCCATAATTACACCACCTAAAAGAATAACTTCTAGCCAGATGTGGTGGCTCTTGTGTGTAATCCCAGCACTTTGGGAGGCTGAGGCGGGCAGATCACCTGAGGTCAGGAGTTCAAGACCAGCCTGGCCAACATGGAGAAACCCTGCCTCTACTAAATGTACAAAATTAGCCGGGCATGGTGGCACATGCCTGTAATCCCAGCTACTCGGGAGGCTGAGGCAGGAGAATCGCTTGAACCCGGGAGGTGAAGGTTACGGTGAGCCAAGATGGTGCCAATTGCACTCCAGCCTGGGCGACAAGAGTGAAACTTTATCTCAAAAAAAAAAAAAAAAAGAATAATTTCTAATATTCAAGATGATGACAATGTATTATTGTTCTGTAAAATGCATTTTTCATTTAATTTACTATGAACACGTTTCCATTTCAATTAAAGAGGGTCTCCATCATCAATCTTAATGACAGTCTAGAATTCATTGTATAAATATTCCATAATCACTCTGCCCTACGCTTTAGTATTGAACAATTGGGTTTTTTGGTTTTTTAATTGTTGATTTTTTTCGGTTTCGGTTGTTAACATAAACAACACTGCAATGAACATCCTCTCCATGCTTCTCATGGAAGTTCTCCAGTTGTTTGCTAAAGATAAGTTCCTACAAAAACAAATGGCAGTAAGAGATTTCTTCAATGAGCATGTGTTAGATTTTTAATCGAAAAGAAGTAAGAAGGAAAGTTCAGAGAACCAGAAGGCTTCTGCATTAACTTTCTGTGCAGGGCATGTTTCAGGGACTCAGGGCCCCTTCCTTGCACCCTATGAGGCACCGCCTGTCTCTTGGGGCTACTTACCAGTTCATTCCTCTCATCTGCCAACAGCGTATTTCTGTCTTCCAGCTTCCGTATCACTGAATTCAGTTCAGCAATTTTTAGTTGAAATCGCCTCACATCTCGCTCGTCCATATGTTGATCCTAAAAAAAAAAAAAAAAAAAAAAAAAAAGTCAAGACGTAAATGTACTTTGAAGAAGTTGTGTGGAGCCTTCTTAGAAAATTCACATGACATAATGGGTGAGATCCTTATTCAGGGGCCCACATGCCACACAGCAAGGTGGGGAACACCCAAGCCCACTGCACACCTGCGGAAGACTCCATCTAGACGGCCACTGAGACTTCAAACCCTTCCGTGGCTCCCTGGGGCCCTTGTGGTCAGGCCCCTCCCACCCCGTATCTCTTACAAAGGCCGCCACGCACCGGCACCTCACACAGCGTCCAGCACAAAGAACTTATAACATCCCCTCCAATACTGAGTGAATGAATGAATGAGTGAATACATGCCACCTCAGAGTCCTCTGTGGCTGACCAGAAAAATGCCACCTAAATGGGTGGGGGACCAGCCTGAGGCTGGCACAAGCTGCTGCCCCTCACCTGGACGCCCATGAGCTCCACCATGTCCCCGATCCCGGGCGGGAGCTCTCTCTTTGGACTACTGTGGTGCCGCTCGGCCTCCTTGACCTGAACCAGCTGCTCATCCAAAGCCTCTTTCTGCAGAAGCAGCTTCTGGGTCTGCCCAGCCTGCACGCCAAGTTCCTTCTCCAAGGCCAGAATCACACGGTCTTTCCCTTTGATCTCATCCATCTGAAAAGGAGAAAGAATAAGCAGTCAGCCCTAGGGGCTCATGACCAAGGAAATCTCTCCCCAAATTGGGGCCTTCGGCCCAGGGAAAGGTCAAAGCAGTGTCTCGGGCCTGGGTCAACTGAATTCAGTAAACTCCAGACACAGAGCAAGCACAGCCCGCAGCCCAGGGCTTGTTCCCCGTCACTCCCACAAGACAGAGGAGACAGAGCTAAGGGTTGAAGCACATACATATTCAACCTGACATGCATACTGACATCAGTGTATGCTCCTGTCTCTCTCACTTTAATGAGATACAATAAAACACTGCCGGCCCCCAGCCAGGCCTCTGCAGCTCAGCTTCTTGGCAGAGCTGGCTTCTCTCTCCGTCTCCAGGACCATGTCTCCCTCTCAGTCATTGACCCTCTCCTGCCTGGCCACAACTCCCCAACCCTCACCACCAGACAGCTCCTGCCAAGGTCACCAGTGCTCTCCTGGCCACCGAACCCACCGGACAACGTTGTCCTCCCGCCCTGACTCCGTCACCCACTCCCAGACTCACGACCTCCTGCTCCCTCTCCCCAAGGCCACTTCCCATGGTTTCTATCTTCTTTATAGACTGTCTTGCTCTGGCTCTCATTGAAGCCTGGAGTTTCCAAGGCTCGGGCCTCTTCTCACTCTATATCCTCTCCCAGGCAGCCAGGTCCTCCCCGACGGTATCAACCCCACATATGCAGCAGATCTTAAACACATGCCTCAGCCCTGGCTTCTCTCTGAGCTCCACAATCACAGAACCAGCTGGCTGCCTGACACCTCTGCTTGGATCTCGGAGGGACCACAGCCTCTCCACGTACAAACCTGAACTTAATCTTCAGTTCACCCCCAGCCCTGTCTTGTCCAGCCTTCCTATGGGGGAGTGTCAGAAAGGACACAGGCTCAACACAGTGGGCCGGGTGACAGTGAGGAACCACACCAAAAAAAGTATGCAGAGGAAGTGTCAGCCCCAGGTCATCCACTCTGGCTTTTTCTGGATGCTCCAGTGAAGGCACTGTCCTGGTTGAATAGCAGGCCCCCAAGACCCATGGCCTTCCTGGAACTTCAGAATGGGACCTTATTTGGAAAGAGGGTAACTGCAGGTGCAATTAGTTAAGATGAGGTCATCCTGGAGCAGGGTGGGCCCTTATGACTGGTGTCCTTATGAGAGGAGAAGAGAGACACAGAGGGGAAGGCCGTGTAAGGACGGAGGCAGAGGCTGGAGGGACACAGCCTCAAGCCAAGGAACTCAAGGTCAGCCAGCAACACCAGCATCAGGAAGAGGCTGGGAAAGATCCTCTTCCACAGCCTTAGGGGGAAGTGTGGGCATGCAGACACCTTGATTTCAATCTCCTGGCCTCCAGAACTGTATAGGAACACATTTCTGTCATGTTAAGCCATGAAGTTTGAGATTATTTGTTGCGGCAGCTGCAAGGAAACAGATGCAAAGGCTCCTCCTGCTCAGCTCACTCACGTAGCAAGTTACATTTCAGTGGATTACAATCCAAAGCTCTTACTTCTAAATCATAAACCTTGATTTCAGACACAGACTGCCACAGCAGAGAATTGGGGTGAAGGGCCCTCTTCTGATAGCAGAGAGAAGCAGGCTAAAATCCCGCCCACCCCCCAACCCTGACCATATGACCATGGGCAGGTTGGGCCACCTCTCTGACTCAACTTCTGTCTCTGTAAAATATGGACAATAGGAAGACTTTAGAACCAACTCTGTCTAACTGTTGAGGAGCTTTAGAGCAACCATGAGAAGAATTTGGTACAGTGCCTAGCATATCGCAAGCCTGCCATCAGTGTTCACTGCCACTGTTAATCTCTTCTAGCCCCTAGGTAACACGAGGCTATTTTATTTTAAAAGAAGACCACTAAAAACTGAAAAAAATAACATAGAGATGAGAGAAGAAAGGAAATGGTACTCCTAGATTCCAGACTGAGAGGTTTTCCAGCCACATACCACGGTGCTACAGTTCTGATGTGGAATTTCCATCACTTGCAACCAAAATAATCCTAATTGACATAGAGTTCAGGAAAGAACAAAAAACGTGCCAGAGGTATCACCTCTCTCTTATGTGCTAGTTGTGAGCTAGGTACTAATTTGTACTTAAGAGCTCTCTGAGGCACCTTTCTTTGGAAGACAAAAGGCTGTTTCCATCTGCCAGGATGATATCCTGGCCCCTGCAATGGGTGCTCCATGCAGTTTCTCCTAAGCAGCTGCTGAATGTGCCCACTGCTCCCCCTGGTGATGATCCACCAGCATCTACCTGCTTGGGCCAAATCCCAAATCCCGAGTGTTGCAATTTCCAAATGGGTAGGAGCACTGTCCCTTCCACAGGAGGAATCTTTAAACATGCTGAAAACACCACTGCCAATGTAGATGCCAACCCCAAAGCAAAAATCATTATGCAGAAGGAGTTTATTCATTTAATTCACTCAAGCACGCTTTCATTAACTCAACACATGCTGAGCTGAGCGCTATCAGTGGGTGCTGAGAAACATTAGAGAGCAAAAGAGACCAGCCGCCCTGCCCTAGGGGCTTCTATTCTGCTAGTGGGCGGAGCAGGCAATAAACATAATAAATAAGCAGACATTGTAGTGATTGAGAGTGATTTGTGCTATGAGGGGGAAAAAAAACAATAACAACATCAAAGCAAAGGAAATCGGTAGGGGCAGTGGAGGGTGTTGCAAACCAACAGTTTGTCCATCACGGGTAAGGGAGGGTTCTTGTCTGCCCCTCAGTATCAGCTTTGCAGTGAAGCCCCCGCCACTGCCTTCCACTAGCTCCCCACAAAAGACAGCACCGTCGCGAGCAAGACATCTCCAGGATCCCAAATTCTCCACCTGGAAGAGCACCAATTCCCCCTTGTCCTAGTAAGTGAGACAGAGGGCTTCTGCCCCAGTCATCACAAGAAAGTTTCCTAGAAAATATTCTCAAACAGCAGAGATGGCATCTAGAAACGGACGGAGGGCCAATGCAGAACACATTCCGGAGCCAGCATGAGAGTCCTGAGGCCCCAGAGGTTAAGACACTGGCCACGCTCACGTAGCAAGAGGCAGGCACACTCACAGTTCACTGACTTTACTCCTGGATCACAAGCTGAGCTCTTAGTGATCCTATCTCGCTGCCCTTGGGATGCTGATGAAATCTCAAGCTTCCTGGAACTGCTCACCTGACCATATGGAACATCCCTCAGCTTCCTTCCCGCATCCATTTCCCCTTCTCCCATACGCCCAGTCTCAGCATGTGCAGTAGGAAAGGGGTGGAACGAACATCACTGCAAGTTCCCAGGGCAGTCCCCAATTGGCTCATGCCACCCAAATGTCCCTGTCCCAACAGTAATTGCTTCAGGGATGGATGCACAATCCAATCAGAACCAATGGCCAGAAGTAGGCAGCACCAGGATCCTCCTGTTTTTCTTTAGGAGCTAAGAAAGGGACTCTGGGCTGTGTGGTGTGAGAATGTGGGACCTGGCACAGTGGTGGCATCCCCCCAGCACAGCATGAGAGCCCACAGCCTGGGAATGACACAGCAGGAGGCAGAGCAGAGCCCAAGAACCTGGGATCCTGGATGACATCGTTAGTGCACCTGGAGCTGCACCTACAGCAAATCCCATGACTTCAGTTGGGGGAGCCAACAGACACCCATGGCCTAAGCTGGTTTGATGGAATTTCTGTCACTTGCGACCAAAAGAATCACAATCAACAGAGTTCAGGGAAGAACGACAAACTTGATGTTGGCTATCACTCCTCTCTTAATGCTAGCGTGAGCTAGGTACTCATTTGTACTTAAGAGACACTCTCTGAGTCTTTAAAAGATCCTCAAAGTGGACATCATTTACCCCAAGTTACACACAAACTTGAGGCCCAGAAAGGGGAATGTGCTAACACTCTAGTTAGCAGCAGAACCATGACTCAAGTGCAGATTGTACTCTCCAAGCCCTCCCTGTCCCCTCTGCCCCAAAGGAACAGAGTCCGGTTGTTTCTAAGCAGTCAAGTCCACCAGGAAATGTATCTTAGTGAAAACAAGCCCACTGACCCATGACTGATTTGGTGAGCTCCACTTTATTGCAAAGTTTGGGGGAATCAAAGACTGAAGCAGAGGCCACTACCTCAACATCAATTCTCATTCTTGGTACCTGTAGTGGGATGAATAATGTCCCCCAAAATGTCACATCTACCCCGAAAATCAGAATGTCACCTTACTTCGAAATAGGGCCTTTGCAGATGAAATGAAGATGCAAATTAAGATGAGGTTATACCACGTTAGGGTGGACCCTAAACCCACTGACTGGCATCCTTAAAAGAAGAGGACACCTGTAATCCCAGCACTTTGGGAGGCCGAGGCAGGCGAATCACCTGGGGTCAGGAGTCTGAGACCAACCTGGCCAACATGGTGAAACTCTGTCTCTCCTAAAAATACAAAAATTAGCCAGGTGAGGTGGTGCATGCCTGTAATCCCAGCTATTAGGGAGGCTGAGGCAGGAGAATTGCTTGAACCTGGCAGGCAGAGGTTGCAGTGAGCCGAGGTCACGCCACTGCACTCCAGCCTGGGTGACAGAGTGAGAGTCCATTTCAAAAAAAAAAAGAAGAAAAAGAAGAGGACAAGCTGCAGACATGCAGGGGAGAAGGCCACGTGCAGGCAGAGACTGAAGTGGTGCGACTGCAAGTCAAGAAATGCCGAGGACTGCCGGCCACACCAGAAGCTGCAAGAGGCCAGAAAACACTTTCACCCTAGAGCTTTCCAAGGGAGCATGGCCCAGCTGATATCTTGATTTGGGACTTCTGGACTCCAGAACCGTAGAGAAAATAAATGTCATTGTTGTAAGCCTCCAAGTTTGTGGTAATTTGTTACAGCTGCCCCCAGGAAACTAACAGAGCACCACACCAGGGTTTCTCAGAAGCCACAGGCCACGCAGTATGGGCTCCAGGATCACTTTAAACTAGAACATCACTGTCCCATGTTGACCATGATCACCTTAAACTAGAGTGTCACCGCCTCATGTTGACCGTAACCACCTTAAACTAGAGCGTCACTGCCCCACGTTGACCATGACCGCCTTAGAATGTCAAAACGCCATGTTGACCGTGACTGCCTTAAACTAGAGCATCGCTGCCCCAGGTTGACCATAACCACCTTAAACTAGAGTGTCACTCCCCATGTTGACCATAACCACCTTAAACTAGAACATCACTGTCCCATGTTAACCATGATGCCCTTAGAGTGTCAAAACCCCACGTTGACCATGACGTCCTTAGAGTGTCAAAACCCCACGTTGACCATGACTGCCTTAAACTAGAGCATCGCCACCCCAGGTTGACCATAACCACCTTTTCTTCTTGACTTTTACTAAGATGCATCCTAATGTGTAGACACAAGTCCAAAAGCCTTCTTGCATTTCTAATCCAAGCCAGCTGACAAAGAAATGAAACCAGCAGCCCATCTTCTGAATGTGTTGCCATGGGCAACAGGTTTGCTTAAGGAGTGACATTTATCAGACAGGGTGTGGGTGAATAGGAGAAATGAACGTTTGATTTTTTCACTCCTTCTCCTAAGTGGACCATTTTGGGTGAAAACCATCCACACAATGAGATACCTGAATGGGGGGAGATTTTTGTTTGGCACTGAAATGGAAACGGAGCCTTTGTGATACTGGATCCCTGGCACATTTTAAATTAAGCTCAAACCGTCTCTTGTGCAAATACACAGAGTATTTTTTCCCCCATTTTACTTCTCTTACATATACATTTTTCCTATAACAGAAGAACACATTTTACAAGTATCCTATTACAGAAACTATAAGCTGCTACATGCTTTAGCTCACTTGCTTGTTTAATTCTAACTCTCGGCAGATATGGGAATACCCCCATTTTATAGGTGAGGTGCTAGAGGCTTGGAGACAGTAACCACCTGTCCCAGGGTCACATGGCAAACAAATGGGGAGCCCAGAATCACTCAGGGCAGCCTCTCTCCAAAGGCTTCTCTTCCCACCATGTGATGACAGCTCCCCTGAACACAAACCCATGAACATACGTGATTGAGAAAAGGGGCTGGAGACTGTTCCTGAGGACTCAGTATTGGTGTGCTTGCACTGTCTATAAATCAGAAATTTTAAACTGACACACAGCTCTTCTGCCATTCTTGGCACAGTATGGGGTTAAGGCATGAACTGGTGGTTTGTCACCAACTGTGGGACCCAGGCTATAGCTGGATGAGGACTTTAAAAGGGTGCCTTGTCACCTGCCTCCAGTCCCAAAATCTCTTCCAGCATCTCATCTCCCGCAGAGGGCCCCCAGCCCCAGTTTACACTCTCCCCATGCTGGGACACTCACTACCTCTCCAGGAGGTTCTTAGTTTCTAAGAACCTTTGGAATCTCAGAGTCTTTCCAACATTGAGGGTGCGGAATAAATGAATATATCATCAAATCATCAGGACTTTTTAAAAGGTAAGGAAAAGAAAAGAGAGAACTCCCTTCTACCCCAGCAACACCCTCAGTGCCTTTCACTGGGTGTCCCGCCCCCTCCCTCCCAGCCGTCCTCACCTGAAGAGCACACTCCAGGTGTGGTGGAATCCCGGCCAGCCCACAGCCTGCATGCAGAGGAGCCCTGTACTGTCAGTGAGAGGGGGCCAGTGTGGGTACAGGCACTTCAGCTCTCTGAAGTCATTCACTTTCCCTAGATCTCCTTCCTGTGCTACAAAATGAGACACTGGGCGAAGAACCATTTCCTGCCAATGGGCTTGTGTACCGATGCCCAGAGGAAACTGGAGCACCACCCACCTGCAGCCGCAGGCTCCCCTCCCCATGGCCACACCCCCTTCCTGCTCCTCTGGGAATGCACGGGGCTTGGCAGAGGTGGGTTTTAAGCCATTGAGAGAACATTGTTGGTTCTGCCCAGCTATGAAAGTCTATAGGAGGAAAAGATAGAATATAAGCAAAATACCCTTCGTCGTTATTCTGTCACTGAAGCTCTCAGTGCACAGCATAGTGAGGTCTGCAGGGAAGCATGGCCCCTTCTAAGAGGGTCCTTGACCCCAAGTCATTGGAAGGCAGAGAATAGAAAACCTTTTCAGTGTTCATGCAGACCCACTATATCGGTCATCATCACATGCATGGGAGATAGAAACAGAAACGCATTCCTGGAAATCATTCCCCCAGATTCAGGTGCAGGGGCCTCGATTCTACCTGTGATGCTTCATCTACTGTGTGGTGGGCACAAGGTGTTTGCTTGTGATCTCATCTATACCTTTTGCCAGAAATAGTTCACACTTTTAGAACTCCTATTAAAAGTAAGAAAATAAAGTCTCCAGTACTTGACAACAGGATTCCATTATATTTTCATTTTGTATTTTACTGGGAATCCAAGTATCACATATCATCATGGCTATTTTAGAGATATGGTTAAAATGATCACATCATGCCCCATTACTTCCAAACCTTTGCCAGTGTTTCTCCCTCTGCATAGGATCACCTAACAAACTCCTATGCATCCTTCAAAACCCAGCTCACACCTCACTTCCTCTGTGAAATGACTCCTGCATCTACCCACAGAAGTGATCACATCCTCTTCTTTGTTGCTGCCTCTTTGGCTTGCATGGTCCTATTACCAAACCGTCCTGCTCACACTAGAATAATCTGCTCACACTCCAGTTAACTGTAAGCGCTTTGCTGCCTGGAATCGTGTCTTATTTTTCTCTATAACTCAGTAAATAAATATTCAACTGAGGGGGAGCTCTCCTGCCCAGGGCTATATGTGTTCTTGGGCCATTCTGACTGACAGCAAATTTCATGGCCATGGATGACTATAAACAGTGTCCAGCTCCCATTAAACTGATTGTTTACTATTAACATGCAGCAATTAGCAGCGAGTCCAGATCATGTGCTGCTTCCAAGGCTGATAACCAACCCAACGAGATGTCCCAAAAAGACAGCTTCAGAAACAATCACTCAAATTCTTATGCAAAACAGTCACCTCATAAAGGTCAGCAGTCTCTTGAAGTTCAGGGTCCTGAACCAGACACCTCCTGTATTACAATGAATGATGTCCACCTGTACAGGGAGGTGTGGCTGCCGTGCCCTGAAAAGTATCCTGTCTCCAGAGAGGAATGATGCTTACTTGGGAAGAGGTCACTTTCCTCAAAGAAGGAGCCAGGTTTGCCCGTGGTAGGAGTCGGTGGGGAACAAGTCCTGGCCCAGTGCCTCTGCCCACCACCACTCAATGTGTCTGGTCAACCTGTGTGCAGGGCTCCAGAGTCCCACCTGCCCAGGAGGCTGCAAGTTCCCTCTTTTCTGCCACCCTGGCTCGGCTGGGCAGTCCCCAGATGTCCTGCCCTTCACCTCCCAAGCAGAGATCACATGGGAGCGGGTGTCACCTGTCACCCCAGTAGACTGCGAGCTCCCTGCAGATGGCCAGGCAGGGTTTTAGCCATGGCCCCCCAGGACTCCCCCGAGAGGCTGGCCCAGCAGGCATCTATATAGGGAACATGCATCGAACACATGCCACTGTCAGTTCATGAGTTTTAAAAACAACCATTATGGTTTTATAAAAGCATAAAATAAAATCTCAAACAATCTGTGCTAGCCCTGGGTCTAGCTCACAGCAGGTGCTCACCAAATGGAGTGCCCGGAAAATATATAGCCTCTCTTCCGTAATTTTCTGGCAAAAAAAGAAAGAAAACACTCTCCTTTATCTCCCAGCTGCCTGAAGCTTGATGCGAAAGGGCCACTGAGAAGGCCAGAAATGGGCCACTCCTACCCAACTGACAGGAGGAATCGTGCTAAGAAAACAGCCTGGCCCCAGTGAGAGGGCTTGGCAGACAGGCATGGGAGTAAACAAACCTACCAACCTCCGGGGCCCCTGGGGTCTCAGGAACTGCGGGCACCCAGCCTAGGCTGGTCCATCGGCCCCTGTTCTCCTAGTTGAGATCCTGAGGCCCAAGGCCTTAAGCTGTGCCTTGATTCCTCCTACCTTGTCAAACTAGTTCCCAACAGTGGCACTCTTTCAAAAATAAAGTTTTAACTCTTATTAGGAAAGGAATGCAGATCCATTATAGAAAATGAAAAATACAGCCAGACGCAGTGGCTCACGCCTATAATCCCAGCACTTTGGGAGGCAGAGGCAGGACATTTGCTTTAGCTCAGGAGTTCAAGACCAGCCTGGGCAACATGGAGAAACCTTGTCTCTGCAAAAAATACAAAAAAATTAGCTGGGCATAGGTGGTCCTGGCTATTCAGGAGGCTGAGGTGGGAGGATTGCTTGAGCCTGGAAGGTAGAGGCTGCAGTGAGCTGTGATTGCACCACTGCACTCCAGCCTGGGCGACAGAGCAAGACCCTGTCAAAAAAGAAAAAAGATAGAAGAAAAATAAAAAGGAAGAGGGAGGGAAGGGACAGAGGGAGGGAGGAAGGAAGGAAAGAAGGAAAGTGGAAGGAAGGGGGAGTGGGGGAGGGAGGAAGGGGAGAGAGAGGAAGGGAAAGAAAAGAAAGAGGGAAATGAAAGAAAAAGAAAGGAGCAAAGGAAGGAAGAAGGGAAGGAAAGGAAGAAGAAAGGAAGGGAGGAGGGAAATAGAAGAAAGAAGGAAAGAAAAGAAAGGAAAGGAGCGAAGGAAAAAGGGAAGGAAAGGAAGAAAGGAAGGAAGGGAGGGAGGGAGGGAGAGAGGGAAGAAAGGAAGGGGAAAGAGAGAGACAGCGAAAGAAAGAAAGGAAGGGAGGAAGAAAGGAAAGAAAGAAGAAAGGAAGGAAGGAAAATTAAAAATACAACAAAGAACAGAGAAGGAAACAGAAAGCCCCCATGATGTCAGGATCCAGAGGCAGCCCCTGCCAACCTGTCACCTGCTTCCCCTCATTCTACTTCTGCAAGACAGAGTCCTGTTTGCAGCCATACATCCTGTTTTTTAACCTTCTGTGTTCACTTTCCCAAGTCCCTATAGCTTGTCATAAATGCCTGAGTCATTGTCCTGACTCAGAAACTCGAGGCAGCAAACGCGGATGCAATAGACCACTGGCAGAACACACACGGTGCCATCTGATGTGTACGTAAGATTTGTGCATGCTTTTGCACATTTCCTTCGGTAGACTCCTGGAAGTGGAATTAGCACACTAAAGGGCAGGAGCGTGCATAAAGCTGTTGTTTGCACAGAGGCGGGGGGCGTCTGCTATGCACCACACTGCACAGGCTCTGGGCTTTCACAGTGAACAAGACAGACTCAGTCCCTGTCCTTACAGAACTTGGATCCTAGTAGGGGAAAACACACAAGAAATAATCAAAGAGAGAGAGAGAAAAATATCAGATGAGAAGTGCTGTGGCAAGGATGGGAAAAGGTGGCATATAACTGAGTGACTCGGGGCTGGCCTAGATGATGCTCAGGCAGGCCTCCCTGAACAAGGGACACTGAGGTGGGAGCTACTCAGTGAGAAAGAACCAGCGGTGCAAAGATCGGGGCTGGAGCGCTCCCGGCCAAGGACACAGGAGTGCCTGTGCAAGGGCCCTGGGGCTGAGAACAACCTGCCAAAGGCACCTGCTGTCTTCTCTTTTGACACTTAAATTACACCCTACCTTTAAAAAAAAATCCTGGCTAATTTGATTGGGTATGATAGCATCCTGCTGTTTTAATTTGCATTTCATGACCGGTGAGGTTAAACTAATTTTTATATTTAATAGGCATTGCTTTTCTTTGTGAACTGTGTGTTCCCATGCCTTGACTAATTATAAATTCCCATTGTTCCTCTTGTAAACTTGACAAACTTTTTATACACTGAGGATGTTAACCCTCTGCCACATTGTTTAAAGACTGTTTCCCAGGCTATATCTTCACTCTCCATTTTTCTAAAGGCCTGCATGCCATCTGTGCATCAAATACTCTGTTGAGGAAACTGGGGGTAAAATAATATTTGTCATTATCATTATAACAAATTCATTTTCAGATCCCATTGGACATTGCTTTTAATCCTGTATCATTCAGAATTGAGTTTTGAAAGAGGATCCATGGCCTGAGGCTGAGTATAAAATTCCCACATAACTTTTACCCTGTAAAATGGGAGTACGGGTTGAGTATCCCTTATCTGAAATGTTTGGGACCAGAAGTGTTACAGATTTGAGGGTTTTTGGATTTTGGAATATTTGCACATACATAGTGAGATATCTTGGGGATGGGACCCAAGTCTAAACATGAAATCCATTTATGTTTCACATACACTTATACATATAGCTGAAAGGTAATTTTATACAATATTTTTAATAATTTTGTACATGAAACAAAAGTCTGTGTACATTGAAACATCGGAAGGCAAAGTTCTCACTGTCTCAGCCACCCAAGTTGACAGTCTGGGGTTGTTTGGCATCACCATCATTCCTGACAATGAATGTATTTATTTATTCAAGACAGACTCTCTCTCTGTCACCCAGGCTGGAGTGCAGGGGCATGATCGTAGGTCACAGTAGCCTCAATCTGCTGGCTTCAAGCAATCCTCCCACCTGGGCCTCCTGAGTAGCTGGGACTACAGGGGTATGCCACCATGTCCGGCTAATTTTTAAATTTTTTGTAGAGGCAAGACCTCACTGCCCAGGATGGTCTCAAACTCTCAGCCTCAAGCAATCCTCCCACCTCAGCCTCCTGATGTATTGGGATTACAGTCATGAGCCATCTCGCCCCGTTCTGACTCTGAATTTATATGCTACCAATAAGTAATCACTTCTTACACTTATTCACACATACCACTGATACAGTGGAGAAGATAATGTGCTCATGGTAACATGTGAGCTTGCTTGCATGGGGAGTCTGGGTGTGTATGGAAGCTCTATCACAGCTGATGGGGGCTAGGGGGATCTTTTTTCCCCTTGGGTATGCTAAATACACTGCGTTGTACACCTGCATTTTGACTGCGATCTGTCACAGGAGGTTGGGTGTGCAATTTTCCACTTGTGACTTCATGTTGGCACTCACAGAGTTTCAGATTTTGGAGCATTTGGGACTTTGGATTAGGGATGCTCAACCTATTTCTATACCACCTTTGGAAAACTCCATAAGGATGGGGGAAGCTTTACAGATCACTTCCCCATTTTGCAACAAAAAATGCAATAAGAAGCGTTCATTCTCATCATCATTTGACAAATGGTGTGAGTCAACCATTCCATGGGAAAAGCCAGGCCCACGCTTCCTTAGGCAGCTTGGAGAAACGCAATCTGGTTCCCTTGATCAAAAGCACCCAAGACCAGGATGTCAGGTTTTTGTCTGGCTTTGAATATTTCAGAGGTAGTGAAAGCTCTCTCCGTGGAACCGGAAAGAATAATTAAAATGCAATGCCCTTTATGGCTCACTTACATTGTGGGACAGAAAAGCGGTAACTGTGACTTGAATCAGAGATAACAAAAGTGTAGTGTCGAGTTTGGAGTTCGAGAACATGGTTCTGATACGCATGAGTCTGGTTTAACAAGGTGCTGTCCAAAACCACGCCTGCCTGAGCACACTTTACACAACTACCACCCAGGTCAGAAAAGAAACATTCCTCGTCGCGTGCGGTGGCTCACGCCTGTAATCCCAGCACTTCGGGATGCCAAGACAGGTGGATCACCTGAGGTCAGGAGTTCGAGACCAGCCTGGCCAACATGGCGAAGCCCTGTCTCTACTAAAAATACAAAAGAATTAGCCAGGCGTAGTGGCAGGCGCCTGTAATCCCAGCTACCCGGGAGGCTGAGGCAGGAGAATTGCTTGAATCCAGGAGGTGGAGGTTGCAGTAAGCCGAGATCACAGCATTGCACTTCAGCCTGAGCAACAAGAGTGAAACTTCATCTGAAGGAACAAGGAAGGGAGGGAGGGAGGAAGGGCAGGAGGGAAGGAAAGAAAGAAAAGAGAAAGAAAAGAAAGGAAAGGAAGGAAGGAAGAAAGAGAGAGAGAGAGAGAAAGAAAAAGAAAGAAAGAAAGAAAGAAAGAAAGAAAGAAAGAAGGAAAGGAAGAAAGAAAGGAAGAAAAGAAAGAAAAAGAAAAAGAAAGAAAGAAAAGAAAGAAAGGAAAGGAAAGGAAGAAAGAGAGAGAAAGAAAGAAAGAAAGAAAGAAAGAAAGAAAGAAAGAAAGAAAGAAAGAAAAAGAAAGAAAGAGAAGGAAGGAAGGAAGGAAAGAAAGAGAAAGAAAAGAAAGAAAGAAAGAAAGATTGATTCCTGATGCTCGAGAAGGCTGGCTCCTGCCGCTTCCTGATCAACCCCACACCCGGAGGTCATCCACACTCTTATTCTAGCACCTTAGATTAGTTTTTACGCTTCTTAAACTTCATGTGAGTAAAATCATATAGTATGTAGCTTTTGTGCTCATCTTCTTTGGTTTGGTTCTGACACCACGGCTGGGAAATTCATTCATTTTCTTGCCTGTTTTGGAAATTCATTTTTTCCCAGTGCTGTGTAATATCCCATTGACTAAATACACCTTTATCCATCCTATTGCTACATTTATTGCTCACAGAGCATGTTTTCTATCCTTTTCCTTCAGGGAAAGTGGGTCTTTATATTTAAAGTGTGACTTTTGTATCCACTCTGACAATTTCTGCCTTTTAACTGGTTTAGTCCATTTACATTTAATGTAACTACTGATATGACTCCTTTAATTCCACCGTTTTGCTGTCTCTTCTCCATTTGTCTCGTCTGTTTTTTTCCCCTGCTTTGGTCCTTCTTTGCTACCCTCTTTTAGTGCAAACAGATTTCTTTAGTCTCTCATTTTATTTCCCCATTTGCTTTTTATCTGTGCCTCCTTGTGCTGCCTTTTTAAACCTTGATTTGTCACAGCCTCCTTGAACTCATAGCGTCACGCACCCCCTCAGACAAGACTGAAGGACTGTGCGAGAGCACAGATCCATTTTCCACCAACCACCCCCACCCCATCCTTTCTAGATTGTTTTATGCATTTTACGTCTGCATATGTCATAAACCCCACAATACAATCTGATTCTTTTGCTTTAAACAGTCACTTGTGTTTTGAATACACTGAGAAAAAGAGATCGTCTCAGACATTGACTCTCCTTTACCCACTTCTCCTGTTCTTTATTCCCTTCCAAGAGAACTAAATTCCTATCTGGCATTGTTTCTCTTCACCTGCAGAACCTCCTTTAGCATTTTTGGTGGTACAGCCTCTGGCGACAAATAATCTTAGCTTCCTTTTACCTAAAATGTCTTTATTTCACTCTTATTGTAAAATAATATTTTTTGCTTGATGAGAAATTCTGAGTTAACAGATGTCTCTGTTTCGTTTTAGGGCACTTTAGTGTATGGGATGCTACCGAGGGGCACGGCTGCTCCACGTCCTTGCCATTTCTCAGCACTGTTAGCTTTTTAATTTAGCCATCCTGGTGCCTGGGCAGTGTTGTTTCATTGTGTGCTGTTCTTCCTCTTATAAATATGCTCCTTTTAAATGCAAATACAAGATCCACCATTAAACTTTTATCAATCCTATTTAAATTTCCAATTTTTCTTGTTTTAAACATTTTAGAGTTTAATTTATAAATCATGAACTTCGCCGATTTTTAGTAAGTCTTCCAAGTTGTGGAGCCATCATTATAATCTGTTTCAGAACCTTCCTCGCCCAGTAAGGTCCCTCACACTCATTTACAGCTAATCTCCATTCCAACTAGTCCCCGTCAGCCACTATAGATTTGGATATATAGATTTGGCTATTCTGGAGATTTCATACAAATGCAAGCATACAATATGAGGTCTTTTGTGTCTAGCTTCTATCATTTAGCATAATGTTTCTGAGGTTCAGAAATGTTATAGATATTGAAGCATATATCAATATTTCATACCTTCTCATTGTTGAATCACATTGTGTTATATAGACATGCCACATTTATCCATTCACCAACTGAGGACATTTGGGCTTCTCCCATTCGTTGACTATTATAATGCTATAAGCATTCATGTACAAATCTTTATATAGATATGTGTTTTCATTTCTCTTGGGTAGATACTTAGGAGTAGAATTACAGAGTCCGTAGGTGTCCTTTTTTTAGACTTTTTAAGAAACTACAAAACCATTTATCAAGGTGGCTATACCATTTTAAAGTCCTATCAGAATGACGGTACCCATTCCTCCACATGCTAGTCAACATTTACTATTGTCTGTTTTTTTTTAATAGTCATTCTAGTGGATGAGAATTTATATCTAGTTGTAATTTTACTCTGGTTCCCTGATGATCAATGAGGTAGAACACCTTTTCACATATTTGTTAGTCATTTAATTATCCTGTTTTTGAAATATTCTTTCAAGCTTTTGCCCATTTTTGAGTTTTCATATTATTTTATAGTTTTTATAATCTGCACAAAAGTTCTTTGTGGTTATAGGTATTGAACATGTCTTCTCTCAGTCTGTAATTTGCCTTGTCTCTCTTTTATTAGTGTCTTTTGATGAACAATGATTATTTCATGTCCAATGTACAACCCTCTCTGAATAGTATATTTATGTAAATAGTGTACTGTGTCCTGCTTAAGAAATATTTACCATGTCCCAAGATCATGAAAATAGTCTGTTTTCTACTAGTAGCTATATTGTTTTACTTTTTACATGTAGGCCTATGGACCACTTTGAATTAATCTTTGTGGGTAGTATGATATAGACTTCATACTCTATATACAGAGAGTGTGTGTGGTGTGTGTGTGTGTGTATTTCCTGTTTTTTTTTCTTACAGATAGCTGACCAGTCCAATATTGTCCATTGAAAGATCATCCTCTCTATAGTGAACTGCCACGGTATCTTTGTCCACACACGTGAAGATGTACTTCTGGGCTCTTCTGTTCCATTGACGTGTCTCTCTAACCTTCAGCCTACTGTCTTGATTACTGTAGCTTTGTAGTAAACTTTGTTATAGGTTGTATGAAACCTCCAATTTTTCTCTTCTTCAAGATTGTGATTCCACATCCTTTCAATTTTTACATCAAATTTAGAATCTGCTTGCCGATGTCTGCATTTAAAAAGTCTGCTGGTGGCTGGGCGTGGTGACTCACGTCTGTAATCCTAGCACTTTGGGAGGCCAAGGCAGGTGGATCACTTGAGATCAGGAGTTCGAGACCAACCTGGCCAACATGGCAAAACCCCATCTCTACTAAAAATACAAAAAAAAAAAAAAAAAAAAAAAATTAGCCGGGCATGGTGGCAGGCATCTGTAATCCCAGCTACTCGGGAGGCTGAGGCAGGAGAATTGCTTGAACCCAGGAGGCAGAAGTTGCAGTGAGTTGAGATCATGCCACTGCACTCCAGCCTGAGCAACAGAGCAAGACTCAGTTAAAAAAAAAAAAAAAAAAGAGTCTGCTGGGATTTTGGTAAGGGATAGCACTGAATCTGTAGATCAATCATGGAAAAACTGATATCTATACTAAGTCTTCTAATCGATGAAAACGATATCCCTTTCCATTGATTTAGATCTCCTTAAGTTTTTCTCAGCAATGTTTTATAGTTTTCAGGGGAGACATCTTACACAACTTTCCTTAGATTTATTCCTAGGTATTTGAATTTTGTGGTGCTCTACTGTAAATGATATTTTTTAAGATTTCATTTTCTAATTGTTCACTGCTGATATATTGAAACAACTTATTTGTGTGTATGTACCTTGTATATGTAGACTTTGATAAACTCACTTATTAATTCTAATAGTTTGTAGGGTCTTGCCATGTTCTGAATGTGTCTCACAAAAATTCATACATTGAAACTTATCATCAGTGTGATAGTATTAGGAGATGGGGTCTTTAAGAGGTGATGAAGTCATGAGGGCAAAGCCTTTATGAAGGGAGTTAGTGACCTTATAAGAGAAATATGAGCTGCCTGCCTCTCTTTTGTCATTCCACTCCTTCTGCCATGTGAGGACATGGCATTCAAGGCACTGTCTTAGAAGCAGAAACTGGACCCTTGCCAGATAGTGCCTAGATCTTGGACTTCCCAGCCTCCAGAATGGTAAGAAAAAAATTTCTATTATATATAAGTTACCCAGTCTGTGTTATTTTGTTATAGCAACAGTAATGAACTAAAACAGGTGTCTTGGGTTTGCTACATCACAACCATAGCACCTGCAAATAATGAGTTTCCCTTTTTTCTCCCTCTCTAAAGACTTTTTTTTTTTTTTTTTTTTTTTTTTTTTGAGAGGGAGTCTCACTCTGTCGCCCAGGCTGGAGTGCAGTGGCGCGATCTCAGCTCACTGCAAGCTCCACCTCCCAGGTTCACACCATTCTCCTGCCTCAGCCTCCTGAGTAGCTGGGACTACAGGCGCCCACCACTGCACCCCGCTAATTTTTTGTATTTTTAGTAGAGATGGGGTTTCACTGTGTTAGCCAGGATGGTCTCAATCTCCTAAACTCGTGATCTGCCTGCCTCGGCCTCCCAATGAAACTTTTATTTATTTTATTTTATTTTATATTTGACATCCTGGCCAATGCAATGTTGACTAGAAGTGGTAATAGTCAACATCTTGTTTTGACCTTGAACTTGGGTGGGAAATGTTCAATATTTCATCATTATGTATGTTACTTGTAAAAGATTTTTGATAGAACCATTTATCATATTAGAGAAATTCCATTCTTTTCCTGGTTTTCGGAGAGTTTATATCATGAAGTTGAATTTTACCAACAGATTTTTCTGCATCTATTAAGATGACTGACCACGTTTTTCTTTTTTATCATATTATTATGTTGAATTATATTCAGTGATTTTAGAATATGAAGCCAATCTTTATATTTTCAGAATAAACCCAGCTGGGTTATGACTTATTAGCCTTCCTATGTATTGCTGGATTTGATATGTTAATATCTTGCTCGTACTCTTGTATCTATGTTCATAAAAGGTAATCCAAAAGTTTTCTTATCCTGTAATGTTATTGCTTTTGGAATCAGAGTTACACTGGCTTCATAAGTTAGTTAAAATGTGTTCCTAATTCTCTATTTTCTGGAAGACTTTGGCTAGAATTAGTTTTACTTCTTTCTTAAACACTTGAAAGAATTTACTTGTGAAGCCATCTAGGCCTGGGCCTTTCTTCATAGGAAAATTATTCATTACAGATTTAATTTATTTAGGAGCTTTAGGACTACTTAGATTTTCTATTTGTTTCATGTCAGTTTTGGTACATTGTGCTTATTCAAGGAATATGTTCATTTTATCGAGGTTTCAAGTTTATTGGTATATGCTGTTTGCTGTGGTTTTATTGACTGTAGGAGCTGTGGTATTTCCCCCTTTACATTTTTGATATTAGTAATTTATTGTCTCTGTTTTGCTTTATCAATATTGCTAAATGTTTGTCAATTTATCAGTTTTAATTAACTCTTGAATTTGTTGATTTTCTTTATTGATTTTATTTCACTGCTTCTTGCTCTTTAAAATTTCCTTCCTTCTACTCTCTGGAGTTTAATTTGCTGTTCTTTTTCTTTCTTCTTGAGATAGAAGTTTAGATGCTTGATTTTCAGCATTTCTTCTTTTTGTCTAAAATATGTTTTGCTCTAAGGACTAATTACAACCCACAAATTTTGAAATGCGGTCTACAATGATAAAAGTATGTCATGTCCACAGTATTCTGCAGTTGTGGAATAGAGTGCTCTGTCAGGTAAGTTCACGTTGGTTAATTGTGTTGGTGAAATCATGTCTTTATTCATTCTTTGTCTGTGTGTTCTACTGTTTGCTGAGAGAAGCGTGTTCGTCCCCAACCGTAACTGTGGATTTGTCTGCTTCTCCTTTTAGTGTTGATAATTTTTTTCTTTTATACATTTTGAGGTTTTGTTATTGAATGCATTCCCACTGAATTGACCCTTTATTATTAAGAACTGTCCTTTTGTGTCTTTAGTATTACTTCTTGCCTTAGAGCCTTTGACATTAATACAGCCAGACCAGCTTTGCTTTTAGGAAGTGCTTGCACAGTGTATCTTTCCCCATCCTCTTATGCTCCATGTCACCATGTCCTCATAATTAAGATGTCTCTCTTGTAAATATCACTGTTACTCTTTGATCCAGTCTGAAAATCTCAGCTTACTTTACTTCTTAGCCTCCTGCCCCACACAGCTTCAAAGTGTGACAAACGCCCTGAGGGGCAGACTGGTCATGTGTTTGTGGCGGGCCCCCTCCCTTTGTCTCCTACGTCCAGTGAGGGCATGGGAGCTGTCATTCTGCCTTTCCAGCTGGGCTCGCCAGCCTCCCCCTTCACTCCAGGACTCAGGAGGATCTCCTGTGCAGCAAGCTGGCCTAGGTGGGGCTCCTCTGGTTTCCATTGTTTCATGCCCACTCTGAGATGGCAGAAAAGTCCTACTCATCTCTCTGAGGACATCCAATCCTCAGCCCGCACCCAGAATCCACAAATGCCCCAAGGGAAGAAAGCAGCTGGCAATTAGGCCGCCCAGGCAGGGCTCTTTCCCCTTCCCTTTGGAATTTTAGTTCATCCACACTCCACAGCTTCCACAGATCTCCAGTATCTTTCAAAACAGGACTATTTGCAATTTATATGTTTCCCTTGCTGTTGCAGCCAGTTGGCCGGCCTGCCCTGACCTGTGGCATCTTACCTGGAGATGGAAGTCTGCTCATGGTTGTTGAAGTAAATGAATCAATAAATGCCCGACACTTAGATACGCTATCACGAGGCATTTGCAACAACCCTCGCTAGTCTCCATTAAGCTCCTTTGACAAATGGGGAACTGTTCTTTGAGCGGATTACCTGCAGCCCCAAAGCCTCCTTACCACACCTAAGACGGGAGGGAGGTTGCTGGGGCCCCAGTGCTTTGAACAATGCCTGGAGCACAGCAGGTCCTCGGAGCTCCGCATTTCCCCCATGCGTGCAGGGAGGGAAGGCCGCGTGCCCGCGGGCGGGGGAGGGGGCGGCACGTACCAGCCTGCGGATGTCGCGCTCGCACTCGCGCTTGATGCGGTGCACCTCGTCTTGGTGCGCCTGGTAGGCGGCACGCAGGTCGGCTGCCTTGGTCTTGTCAGCCTGCATGCAGTTACTGAGCGCCTCCTCTGCCTGCTTGCGCGCTGCCTTGAGCTCCAGGATCTCCTGCTGCAGCCGCAGGCGCTCTCCATCGAAGGCCCTGCGCGCCTCCTCGCGCGCCTCGGTCAGCAGCGCCGTCTTGACCTTGTCGGCCGCGCCGTCGCGCAGCACGTTCAGCGTGGCCTGCAGCCGCTGCAGCTCGCCCTCCTTGATCTTGGCGGTGCGCGCCGCCTCCTGCTCGTGCTGCCGGATGAGCCCCTCGCGCAGCGCCTGCAGCTCCTTGGTCTTCTCCTCATGCAGCTTGGCCTTGAGCTCCGAAATGTAGGCCGTGTGCCGTCGCTGCTCCTGCTCGCGCTCCAGCTTCGCCTCCTGCAGCCGCTCGCGCAGTTTGCCCACCTGCAGCCAGAGCGGCGAGAGAGCCGGTCAGGGTCAGGGTCAGGGTCAGGGTCAGGGTCAGGGTCACAGCTGGGGGAGCTGGCCACAGCCTCCCCACGCCCAAGACACCCACCTGGGCCCACGTTCCCATGGATTCCCCCTTCGGCAGTGCCCTGCAGGCCTGACCCTCCTGCCAGCCCCACTTAGAATCTCTCCTGCTAGTTCCCTGAGACTTTCCCTGGGGGTGGAAACCCCCTGAGGATGCTGGAGAGGCATTCAAGCCTTTGACATCTCTTCCAGGTTGTAAATTGAGACGACTGCTCAATCACAAAACACACCCTGCAGAAATCATCACCAAGACCCAAAAGATTGTAAACCAGAAATATATTTCCAGGGCCCCATGCGCGGACTGTGGAGTTGGAAAAGACAGACCAGGCTTCTAAGTCCTGGGGGGCAGTGAGCAGGGGGCACCATTCTTGTTGAGTGGGGTCCCTAGCTGGGCTGGGGGCTCCAATGCATCACCCACATTGCCACATGAACCCCTCACGGTCTTGGGAAGGAAGTAGCGTGCTCCCTCTCTTTCTCCCTCTCTCCTCTCTCTCTCTCTCTCTTCCTCTCTCTCTCCTCTGTTTTATCATGAGGCAGCCAAAGATCAGAGACAGTCTGGTGAGCTGCCCAGGGTGAGGGATGAGGACCCTGTGCTACCAGGCAACCCACCCCGCCTTGAGCCTATTCATTTTATCAGCAAACAATTCAAAACATTACTTATAAAACGTCCCAAGGGAGTGTGTTCTTAAAACACTTCAAAATGCTTTCTTTAACCTTTTTGTTTCAAATATCACTCAACACACATTCCACAGGAACGCCTGACAAGCCCTTATTTCCTGAATTCTGCCCGTCTCTGAAGACCTGAAATGAATTGCCTCTGGTGGACAAGCTGCTTCCAGGGAAAATGGCAATGTTTTTCCCCAGACCACACTGTTGATAGCATAGTCACATGTTAAAATTAATTTTAGGTGAGAAGTTTTACAATGGCACCTGAGTATTGATAAATCCTTACTTAAAACAGCAGGTAAAAAAGCAAATAAAACCAACCCAGGCAAACACACAAGATCAACATCTCCTTTCACCAGATACTCACAATCATAGGAATGAAGCCAGGCGACCAGTCCATGTTCTGTCCACCTTACCCTGGGGGCAGCAATCAGCATCTTTTCCTAGTGGATTTAGCAGCAGGAAGCCAGAACTTTAAGTATTTAACAGAATTGTCCCAGTTATGGACAAAATGGTTTTGACTGTTCTCCCTCCTGCGAGGCAACAGTCAAGTCCCTGGTTAATGCCGACAGCCATCTGGGGCCAGCAGGGTCAGATCCAATGAGATCCTAATCTGCTTTGATGAGCTGCGTTTCCCCAGGCAAATTTCTCTGCCTCTATGGTGGCTGATGTTGTGGGTCGACTTGGCTGGGCCACAATGCCCAGTCGTTTGGTCAAACACCAGTCCAGATGTGGCTGTGAAGGTACATTTTATAAGAGATTAACATTTACATCAGTAGACTCTGGGTGAAGCACGGTGCCTTCCACAATGTAGGTGGGCCTCATCCAATCAGTCGAAGGCTTTAAGAGAAGACCGAGGTCCCCTGCGGAAGAAGGAACTCTGCCTCCCGGCTGCACTGGGACTCGAAGCTGCAAGATCAACCCTTGCCTGAATCTCCAGCCTGCTGGTCTGCCCTACACATTTCAGATTTGCCAGCCCCACAACCGCATAAGCCGATTCCTTAAAACTAACGAATAACCTCTCACTCTGTGGGGGGTGTGTGTGTGTGTGTCACAACCTATTGGTTCTGTTTCTTTGAAGAACCCTGACTACACAACCTTCCAGAGCTCCAGTTTCCTCTACTAGGAAACAGGGATGGCAACAGCTGCCCCTCAAAGGCCCGTTGAGAGGAGGAAGATGAGGTGACTGTGGGTGGGTGAATGGAAGTCTGTTGTTATCGTGGTTCTGACTTTCTGCATCAGGGGTGGGCAGCCTCGTGTGAGAGACACAGGTAGAAAGGGGGTGAGGAACATGGAAGGGTGGGCAGAGGCCTGTGCAGGGCAGCCCGGGGCGTCTAGGGGCTGCTTCCTGGGAGGGGCAGAGGTGCTGCTGAGGCTGGTGATCCAGGTGTGTAGGGCAGGGATGGTGACAGAGAGGCAGGGGCCTGGGGACAGGGCCCTGCTGGGTCCCTCCAGCTCTGCCCAAAGCTGCTGAGAGCCAAGCCCAGGTGACATGACCTATGCCACAGAAGCAGCAGAGTGAGGCTGGGGTGACCTCTGATGGGCACAGAGCACTCCCTCCCACCACCACTCCATCCAGCTGAGCAGGCCAAAAAAAGCCGCCCAGCACTTTACCTCCAGGTGCCTCCAAGCTACCCCAAGTGTAGAGGCACCTACACCAGCCGCTCCTCAGCACTTGGACTCTAAATGCAGCCACGGCACAAAGGCCAAGAGAGGGAGCATGCCCTGGGGGTGTGGGGGCTGGCGTGGAGAAATTATCTGAACCACCAGCACCACCCTCACTTGCCACTCCCACTCAGAGAGTGAGTCAGATTCACCCCTTTCCATCCTCATCCTCATCCAATCCAGCAGCACTGGCTCTCCATGTCCAGGCCTGGCCACTTCCCCACTTCCCCCTTGCCCAAGCCACCTGCAGCAGCCCTCCCCGCCACACCCTCCATGCTCAAAGCCCTCTAAATCTCATGGGTACCAGTTCACTACTCTGAAACCATCATACATGTATAGTGTTGAACAAAGAAAGTGGATGGCAGAGGGGGAAGCCAGGTTTCCCACTTGGAGTAAGAGGTTACAGACAAGCAAGAGGAGGCTGAAGGGAGCCATGCGGCAGTGGATGCGTCTTGGGACATCTGTAAGAACTCATGTTTGACTTTGTATGGATATAGATGTCATATATGGAAATATTTACAGGTATGCGTACATACGCAGGTCAGTATACACATATATATTCCTTGTTCTGGCAGCTGAGAGGGCCTAGAAACAATGACACCGCAGCAGTGATGGGCACGCCTGGTGCCTGGATCTTTGTTTCTAATGCCATTCTCCAATAAAAGGAACCAGGACCCCTTAGAGAAACTGCTGGGTCTAGCGCTGGGGTAGGAAATATACAAGATGTGCCTGGGGCACCTTTTTTTTTTTTTTTTTTTTTTTTTTGAGTCGGAGTCTCGCTCTGTCCCCCAGGCTGGAGTGCAGTGGCACGATCTTGGCTCACTGCAGGCTCTGCCTTCCAGGTTCACGCCATTCTCCTGCCTCAGCTTCCAGAGTAGCTGGGACTACAGGCACCCGCCACTGCGCCCGGCTAATTTTTTTATATTTTTAGTAGAGACAGAGTTTCACTGTGTTAGCCAGGATGGTCTCGATCTCCTGACCTCATTATCCGCCCGCCTTGGCCTCCCAAAGTGCTGAGATTACAGGCATGAGCCACTGCGGAGCCTGGGGCATCTTATAATGCCAGAAAGTAAGGAAATGCTCCACAAAACCCCCACAAAACTGCCCCTGTGAAGCCTTGGGTTCTGCTTGTCCCTGCACTATTTTCTAAAACCTCTGATGGAATGTGCCCAGGGCTGCTGTATTGCTGGTTTCCTGTGAGGCTCTGTACCCATGCGACTTGAGGACAGGGTCTGTCTCTGAGTTACTTCCAAACACTTCTCACTCAGCCCAGGCATGGAGCATGCATGCCAGGGGTTTGCAGATGAATAGACAGACACGTTTACCACCCTCCTTCATCCTACAGTGTTCAACAGGGATGCTTTGCTAAAATGCCAGCACTTTAAATGGGACATTGACAGTGATTGTGAGATCATATCAAAGTAACACTTCAATGCAATTGTAAAGTTTGCATTTATGTTTTTTGTACCAGTCAATAAGCACATTACTGAATTCTCAGAGAATTGAAATTCTCCCAGCAGCCAGATGGGTAAAGTCAACCTGAAGCGGCCACATGGATGGCTGGATTGAGAAAATAATCAGCCAGCGTGCATCCAAGTGGAAATTGCCACACGTCCCAGAGGCAGGGAGGCAGCCTGGTAACAGGGAGGCCCAGCCTGGGGTCCGCATGGGCCTGGCTTTCAATCCTGCAATACCACCTACTGTGCTGGCCTCGTGTGTGGGGCTAAACTGTGTCCCCCTGAAAATCATATGTTGAAGTCCTAACCCCCATGACCTCAGGATGTGATTCCATTTGGAGATAGATCCTAATGAGGTCATTAGGGTGGGCCCTAATCCGATTTGCCTGGTGTCTTTGTAAGAACAGAAAATACAGACATGGACAAACACAGAGGAGAAAGCCATGTGAAGACACAGGGAGAAGGCGGCCGTCTGCAAGCCAAGGAGAGAGGCTTCAGAAGGAGCCAATCCTGACACCTGGATCTGTGGCTGCCAGCCTCCAGGACTGTGAGACAGCAATCGTCTGTTGCGTAAGCCGCCCTATCTGTGGGACTTGGTTACTGCAGCCCTGGCAAGCTAACACACCTGGGCAAGTCCCCGCCCTCTCCAGCCCTTGGCTTGCTCACCTGTAACACGGGGGAAGCCACACCTGATCTCTCAGGTCACTGCCAGGGTCATGACACCCTCTAAAGCACCTGGTGCTATCTGCACAGTAGGCATGTAAAGGTCACCCTGATGGTCATGTGAGCGTATGACAGGCAGCACCCAGGCCCTGTGTGTGACTGTCTCATTCATTCCTCAAACAACCCAGGAGGCAGACACCTTAGAGGTCCCCATCTACAGATGGGAAAACTGAGGCAGGGGGTTACACAGCTTATAAGACCTCAGGCAGGGGTGGTGGTGGAGAGGGGATTTGAGCCCAGGCAGTGTGATATGAGTGAGCAGCTTTCCCTGTCACCACAGCTGCTGTAGCTATGTCCAGATACAAGCTGCCAGCCCTTACACCCCCAGCCAGTCAGCCCCAGCCCCAGCCCCGGAGGTGACCTGGCCTGTTGACCTGGCTAAAGGGTGAACAGGTCAGCATCACCAGCATCCATGTCTAAAAGAGGCTGGATGCACTCGGCCTGGAATCTTGAACACCTAGGGATGGAGACAGGTGCATCTGTCCCCAAGTTCCAGAAGCCCAGTCCCCTGGTCCAGAACTCAGCCTCTGCTCTGTGTGGCCATCCTGAGCTGGGGTTGCAGCCAGATCCCAGGCCCCAGCCCCGTCCCCACCTGGAAGCTGGATCTGGCCCAGCACTCCATTGGCGACCTGAGTCCCAGCTCAACAAGACAGGGACGCCTGCTGCAATTCCCCAAGCAGCCTCCACCCGTCACTCCAGGTACTACAGCAGGAGCCAGAGGGCACCTTCGGGGCTTCAGATAGACCTTCAACTGCTCGAGCCACCCAGGAGCAAGCCTGCATCTCCATGCTCTTTCTGTGCTCAGCCTGGCTGGCAGCTCCTCTCTGGGCTCACAGAACCCTGGGCTTGCTCTACCCTCAAGCCCACCCAAGTCAGAAGCAGGCCACCAAATAGGACTGCAGCTGTGCCTGGGCACCAGATGTTGATGGGGCTTTTTATTGCATCCATTAATCAGATCCTCATGACCATCTTAAACCGGACAGCTATAATTACACCATAATAGCTGGTGTCAGATGAGAAGACAGAGGTTTCGGAGACTTTTAGTCACCTGGCCAAGATCATGAGACCAGTTAGCGGACAAGCTGAGGTTTGAAACCGGGTCTGCCTAGAAAGCCTGTGCTCCTCCCCTCTGTGACAGCCCGTGCTTTAATTAGACTGCCAGCACCCAACCAGGCACTGTCCTGACCAGCTCCAAAGCTCAAATCTGCCTTAGGAGAGAGGAAAGTAGCTCATATCGCAGAACCAGGCTCTGTTCCAAGCTCTTTACCTAGCAGAGCCCTGAGTCCAGACCACAGCCCCATCACATCTAAGAAAGCACATATATGGCTTACAAGACCTCATGGCAGCATAAACCAAAAATAAACTTTGAAGCCTCCTGACCATCTGAACGGATCCCTCCTCTCCACCAAGGGTCTTCCAAAGTTAACCTGAAAAGCTAGTTCAGGCCATGATGGGAAGCGGGGAAGTGGGACATACCTCACTATGCCCTACTCCCTTTTGGAATTTAGGAAAAGCTGGTACCGCCATGACCCTGCTGAATTCAGCCTGAGGATGCCTTCATGCATGAGTTCCTATATGATGAACTGCAACCTAACTTAGCAGGCAAACTAACCAAAAGCCTGACTTAGGAGCATTTTTAAACAAATAGCCGAAGCTCAGCCAATCACAGCAGCTGAGCATCAGTAAATCACAGGTGACCCATGGATCAAGGGTCAAGCTGTAACTGATCAAGTAGCCTCAGCACCTCTTCTGTTTTCTGTCCCCATAATGAATGCTGTCTGACCACATGCAGGTTTCTCTGAACCTGTTCTGTTCTGGGGACTGCCCCATCCTCGAATCGTTCTTTGCTCAGTTAATCTCTGCTAAACTGAATTTGTCAAACATTTTTCTTCTGACAACCCCCATCTTGCAGGTAAGAGAAATCAAAGAATGAGGTGTTCAGTGGCTTTTTGAAGGTCACAGCAAGCACTGGTAGGGCCCAGACTCCTGCCCAGCAGTCTCTGTACTGCAAAGGGACAGACAGCAGGGCAGAGAGGTGAAGTGCCCCCCCTCGGCCCCCCTCCTGGAACAGGCTCTTCACACACATGCCTCAGAGGCAACACTGCCCAAAGGGACATTTGCAGCCCAGCCGCTGCTGAGCTGACGCCAACCCCCACCTTGCTTTTTTCCTGCTGGAACTCGATCTGAATGCTGGTCAGCTTGGCCCGCAGCTCCTCGTTGGCCATCTGCACCGCGTCCGTCTCCATCTCGGGCTTCTCGCCCTTGCTCCGGCCTTTCTTCGACATGCTTCCCCTTGGGTCAGAGTGCTGAGATCCTGCGGTCCACACCTGTTCACGCACGCCAGCCAGCAGGCGTGGCTACCAGCTCCACCGTGCTAACCAGTCGCGCAGGACTCAGCTCGCCCTCCGAGGAAACCACCATCACTTGGGATCCTGAAGGAAGGAGGGAAACTGAGTTAGCAGAGACAGAAGGGTGGGGAGCTGGTGTCCCTGCCTCGGGCACCCTGGGCCAGGCACCTGCCTCATCTGGAGCATGACCTGCCACTCCCAGACTGACCTAGAGCCTTCCCGATGGGGGCTGCAGCAGAATCGCTTGGAGGTTGTTAAGGCGTGGAGTCCTGGGCCCACCCCTAGAGAATCTGATTTGCATTTCTAACATGCTCCTAGGTGAGGCTCCCAGGTGACCACACCTGGAATAGCTTCAGTCCATCCTGCTCCCATCAGGATGAGACCAGCCCATCTCAGCAGCCTGCAGACCATGGTCTGCCAACATCAGTGAGCCTGTGTCTCCCAAGGTGCTTCTTCCAAAAAGCAGGGCCCTGGGCCTCATCCAGAGCTTGAAGCATGAGGAGCATGGTGGTCCAGGGAATCTGCATTTCCATCCACAATCCCAGCAATTCTGGAGCAGGGCGTGAGGACCACACTTAGAGAAATGGACTTTTCGATTTCAGAGGTTAGTGGTTTCCTTCCCTACTAGGTAGGTGATATCACCCAGTGTTACAGATGAGGAAACTGAGACACACAGAGGTTGACTGCTGGTGATGTCACTCAACTACTGAGAGAGGAAATAGTATGAACCTGATCAAGGTCCACAGCTGGAAGCGGGTGAGCCAGGACTGAGCCTAATCACCGCCCCAAGCTGCCTCGGAAAGCCCGCCTCTGCTCTCCCTTCCCTTCACCACGTCTCCTTCTCGTTTTCCATCTGACAAACTGTAATTGACTTAGTTCTCATCTATGTCCCCTACACGAGGATGGGTTCCCAGTAAGCAGGGCCTGGGCCTGCTCTGCGCCTGCTGTGTCCTCCATGCCTAGAACAGAGGGCAGCACGTAAGGATGCATTCCATCAGGATCCGCCAGGTGCGTGAATGAATGAGTGAGTGAGTGACAGCAGAAGAGTCATGAGGCACCCATCATGTGCCAGGGCCTGTGACGGGAGCTGGGAATCCTGTCCTATCATCTTTGGAACACCTGGTGAGAGAGGATTTTACTAGGCCCATTTTAGAGATGAGGAAATGAAAGCACAGAGAGGTGAAGTCAGCTACCTAAATCCACACAGTCAGTGAGTCGTGGCGTTGGGATTAGATTATGTAGGGAATGAATGCAGAGCGAGGAGGGAACACTCCAGTGTCAAGGAATGCTAACTTGGGAGGTTGGGCAGATGAGACAAAATTGGCAAGGAAGGCCATGAACAGGACAGAAGGAGAGAAAGCACCAGGGAGGCTACAGAAGATGGTGTGTCTAGAAGAAGGAAGACTCCAACAGCGGGCAGCCCCAAAGAGGTCAAGGTGAGGACCTGAAGCTGGACATTGGATTTGGCCTCCTGGAGTCCATGTGACCTCAGCCTATGGACAGGAGATGCAGAAAGTACAGGACAGGGGTGCCCAGGGATGGTCTGGGGTGGGGTCTCCACAACACCAGTGCATCCAGCAAGTTGCAGATGCTCGGTGGCCATGAACTGAAGTCAGGCGGGACCTGCTAGCCCTGGGGCCCTGGGACATCCCTCCAAGCTACAAAATCTGGGAGGCAGTGATGGAGGTCAGCTGCTTTCCTCCTGAACAGGAGAGAGGGGTGTTTCTTAACACACCATGAAGGATTATTCTGGGCTAATCAACATCACCGCTGATCGATTCCAGAAAGGTACATTCTGTCTTCAGACAAGTATGAACTCCATTCGCCTTGATCTGACTTAGAGCTTGATACATAATTCATTCCTCACCTCGGCTGACCTGCCGCTTTTATAACCACAGCAGTTCTCAGAAATCAGCCTTCGAGTCTGAAGTGCACCTCCCCATGCCCTGATGGGCAGGAAGACACAGAAAATACAACACCAAAAAAGGAAGCTTGCTCCTTTTTATTCCTTTCTGTGGCCACTTCTAGGAATGTGCTTTAAGGAAATACCAGAGATACGGTCTCTGATAGAAACACTTGGATGTTCATCCCAACAACACAAGGCTCAGCCAGAAGGGATAGATTAAGTAAATGATGTCTAAGCCCCGACAGAAAAGTCCACATGGGGAAAAGGTCAGTACCACAAAGAGTGAAAAAGGTGAAATAAAAAAACAGGCTGGGTGTGGTGGCTCACACCTGTAATCCCAGCACTTTGGGAGGCCGAGGTGGGCAGACCACCTGAGATCAGGAGTTTGAGACCAGCCTGGCCAACATGATGAAACTGCCTCTCTACTTAAAATACAAAAAATTAGCAGGGCGTGGTGGTGCGCACCTGTAATTCCAGTTACTCAGGAGGCTGAGACAGGAGAATTGCTTGAACCTGGGAGGCGGAAGTTGCAGTGAGCCGAGATCGTGCCATTGCACCCCAGCCTGGGAGACTCCATCTCAAAATAAATAAATAAATACATAAAAATAAAAAACAAATACAATTTATAGTTTCAATTGTCTGCTATATATATATTTGCTCATTATTTTCACTCAGTCACAAATATGTGTTGAGCACCTGCAAGGTGCCAGCCCTGCACCCTGGGGATACGGTGGAAAGGACATAGCAGCCACGCCCCCAGGATACTGACAGGGACCACCTGGGGGATGCAATTATAGGTGATATCTATTCTCTTCTTTAGACTCTTCTAGGTAAGTACAATGTTCTACTTCAATGACTGCTTTTAAGAGGAAACAGTGCAGTTTTTTCGTTTTGTTTTGTTTTTTAAGAAAGGCAAGAAAAATATCTGCAATTAGCCAGGAAGGACACCACTAAAAAGCTGAAGAGAAAGCAAAAGGACCACATCCACAGGAGCAGCCCACCGGCCTCGCAGGCAGGATGGGGCGGCTGCAGGTCTGCCAACTCTTTGGGCTGCCGGTGGGGGAAAGGGCTGCCCTGCCCTGTATGTCAAGTGTCAGCTCCTCGGGGTCAGAACCTTAGCTCCCACCTTTGTGCACCCTACCCCGTGCCCAGCCCAAAGTCCAAGCTCGATCCGATTCCAGGGTGAATAAATCTCCATGGGCTGATACCAAGCCTGGTACTCTCAACACCCCATGCCAGACACTGCCAGGCTGGGCCACAGTGAGTGTGGAGACGAATGGAGTGCAGGAGGGGAAGATGTCCAAAGTTCTGGGCCAAGTCAATCTCGGAGCTCAGGGTGGGCCCCAGCAGCCGGCCTCTGTGCCATGGACACACTGTTGATAGTCCCGACGCTCACAGCACCACACAGCATCACTGTAATCAGCCCCTCTGGCTGCGGGCTGCCCAAAGGTCTCATCAGCAGGAGCAACAGCAGGGAACTCTCCTGCCTGAGCTTAGCTTGGTGTCTGCTGCGCCCGGGGATTTTCGTTCTGAGCCCACTGCCCACCAAGCAGGAGATGGCACAGCCCACTGTCGAGGAAGGAGCACAGCACTGGCTCAGCGCCGCAGGCTGGAGGATGACTGCTCAGGACACACAGGAGGCGGAGTCCTCAGAGAAGGCTCCTTCCTGAAGGCACGGGGACCTTGGACCTGCTGACCCTGGACCTTGTCTGGCATATAGGCCAAGGTTGGCAAATATTCATCTCCCGCAAACCAGTCCTGTTGGCCCCAGAACTGAAATATCTCTGCAGCCCACCCATCTCTGACATCACATGTCCCCTGTCCCAGCCTCCAAGTCGTTTGTCTGTGCCTTGGCAGTGCCGGTGCCCTTTAACTGCCTACAGGAAATTAATATACCGGGCATGCAGGAGGACCAGACAAGGTCCCAGCCATCACAGAACGGTCTAGTCAGGAACACCACTATGGAAATGAATACATAAAACAATGATGGCTTGTGGTAGGTGCTGGAAAGAACAAGTCTACAGGGCACTGTGATACACAGCTATCAAATATCACCTGTCACGGGCAGGCGGTGGGGAGGGCAAACTGCCAGACCACGTGGGGGTTCTACACCAAGCACAGAGTCAAGACCAGCTATGTATTTGCAGCCCAGTGCAAAATGAAAACGTGAGGCTCCTTGTTCAAAATTATTAAGACTTGCATGACGGCAACAGCAGAGCATTAAGCCAAGAGCCAGGCCCTCTGAGTGTAGGCCCTGCAGGACAGCACAGCTCGTGTGCCCGTGAAGCTGGCCCAGGACAGAGTTCAAGCCCTGCTCTGAGCATGCTGGGAAGCCATTAGCAGGGTGTGACTCGGATTTCCATTTCACTGAAGTGCAGATGGTAATTATCGGGGGACCTGCCCCGATAATCACGTAGGTTCTTTTCTATTTTTCTAAGCGTCGACTGGCTTGAGAAATAAAAGAATAGAGTACAAAAGAGAGAAATTTTAAAGCTGGGCGTCCGGGGGAGACATCACTCATTGGTAGGATCCGTGATGCCCCACAAGCCACAAAAACCAACAAGTTTTTATTAGGGAGTTTCAAAAAGGGGAGGGGGTATACGAATAGGTGTGGGTGACAGACATCAGGTACTTAACAGGGTAATAGAATATCACAAGGCAAGTGGAGACAGGGCAAGATCACAGGACCACAGGACCAGGACCGAAGTGAAATTAAAATTGCTAATGAAGTTTTGGGCACCATTGTCATTGATAACATCTTATCAGGAGACAGGGTTTTGAGATCAACCGGTCTGACCAAAGTTTATTAGGCGGGAATTTCCTCTTCCTAATAAGCCTGGGAGCGCTATGGGAGACTGGAGTTTATTTCACCTCTGCAATCTTGACCATAAGAGACAGGTACGCCCCGGGGGGCCAGTTCAGAGACCTACCCCTAGGTGCGCATTCTCTTTCTCAGGGACGTTCCATGCTGAGAAAAGGAATTCAGCGATATTTCTCCCATTTGCTTTTGAAAGAAGAGAAATACGGCTCTGTTCTGCCTGGCTCACCAGCGGTCAGAGTTTAAGGTTCTCTCTCTTATTCCCTGAACAATTGCTGTTATCCTGTTCTTTTTTCAGGGTGCCCACATTTCATATTGCTCAAACACACATGCTGTACAATTTGTGTAGTTAACGCAATTATTACAGGGTCCTGAGACGATACATATCCTTCTTGGCTGACAGGATTAAGAGATTAAAGTAAAGACAGGCATAGGAAATCACAAGGGTATTGATTGGGGAAGTGATAAGTGTCCATGAAATCTTTACAATTTATGTTTAGAGACTGCAGTAAAGACAGGCATAAGAAATTACAAAAGTATTAATTTGGGGAAGTAATAAATGTCCATAAAATCTTCACAATCCACGTTCTTCTGCCATGGCTTCAGCCGGTCCCTCCGTTTGGGGTCCCTGACTTCCCGCAACAGGTAATAGCTGTATCCCACTGGTGGTGGTGAGGGTGAAATGGGTCCCTGCCTGTCACACAGGAAGCATTGCAGAGGCTCTGTGACCATCATCCTGCTGTTTAAAAGGCACCTGGGCTGCTGAGACACAGACAAATGACATGGAGGCTGGGACAAGGGGCATGTGGTGTCAGAGATGGGTGGGCTGCAGAGATATTTCAGTTCTGGAGCCAACAGGATTGGTTCGCAGGAGGTGGATATTCGCCAACCTTGACCTATATGCCAGGCTCTTGGCCTGACCCCACAGCCTTCCACGATGCCCACCACCAATATCTGCCCATGCACTGGGTGCAAGGCCTTGTCTGGCCTTCTTAGGCCTCCTGCAAAATTTCCTCTCTTCATTAAAGCACAGCTTCGTGGTGACAACATTGTAGAGGCAAGCAGAAGGACTGGGACCCTGGACTGAGGCCACAGGAGGCAAGCGCAGAGCTCTGGTTGGCCAACATGGGCCAGCTTCTGGCCAATGAGGGCTGAGGCGGGCTGAATCGTGGCCCCCAAAGAAATACGATCACATCCTGCTCCCCAGAACCTGCAGATGTACCCTTATTAGGAAAAAGCATCTTTGAAGATGTAACGAAGTTAAAGATCTCAAGATGAAATCATCCTGCAGTAGGATGAAGTCTAAATCCATTGACAAGAGTCCTTCTAGGAGATGCACAGAGAAGACACACAGAGGAGAAGCCCAAGCGAAGTCAGGGAAGAGACCGGAGCACTGCGGCCACACCAGGGAAGCCCAGGACAGCCGACAGCCACCCAAAGCTGGAGCGGGGAAGGACTGACAGCTTTTTTTAAGGGAATGCGACCCTGCCAGCACTGTGATTTGGGACTTCTGACCTCTAGAACTGCGAGAGTAAATTTCTGTTTACCACCCAGTTTGTGGTCATGCTTTATAGAGGCCACAGGAAATTAATATACCAGGCATGCAGGGAAAAACCACTCCTGGGGCCGGGCGCGGTGGCTCACGCCTGTAATCCCAGCACTTTGGGAGGCCGAGGCAGGTGGATCACCTGAGGTTGGGAGTTCGAGACTAGCCTGACCCAACATGAAGAAACCCCCCTCTCGGCTAAATGTACAAATTAGCTGGGCGTGGTTGCGCATGGCTGTAATCCCAGCTACTTGGGAGGCTGAGCCAGGAGAATCGCTTGAACCCGGGAGGTGGAGGTTGCGGTGAGCCGAGATCACGCCATTGCACTCCAGCCTGGACAACAAGAGCAAAACTCCGTCTCAAAAACAAACAAACAACAACAACAACAAAAAAAAACCACTCCTGGGACACAGTCAGCACTTTGTTTAATGCCGGAAGGCAACCAGCTCCTCAGAACACGAGTCTGAATAAGCCTTGCCTTGCCCCTCTCCACACTGTGTGTGATCTCATCAAGAAACCACAATGCCTCCCGGCTGAACAGGGCTGCTCACATCCCTCTACAGTCACAATTCACAACCTGCAAGGTGAGATCAGAAGGGACCTTTGCCTCCAAGGTGCAGATGGAAAAAGTAAGCCTCAGAAAGCAGAAGTGAGTTGCCCAAGATTGTTGGATGACCCGGTGGCAGCCATGGGCTTTCCAACCCAGGTCTCCTGCCTCCAGCCCCACATGGCCTGATAGTTTTATAGGAGGATTCAAGTAACATAGGCACAAAAAGAAAAGTAGCTCCTTCAAGACAACTCAAGTCCAAATAATATCTGATAAGCAGAAATTCCAGCCCATCACCAAGAAGTCTTTGTAACACTTCCTGCAAACTTCACCAAAAATTACGTGGAAATCCCAGGGGTCTCCGTGGAGAAAATATGAATGGGCTAGGTTGGTAGAGTCAAATCCTTTCTGTGGACAGAAAACAGTTTATCCTAAAGAATCTAGCCACACTTTTTTTTTTTTTTTAACAAACATTCATTACTTAATGAGCCCTTAGGAAAAAAATCTCTCTCTGAGTAAGTACATGACTTTGTTTTAAATATCTAAATCCAAATTGATTGTACTGACTTAAAAAGCTACAGCCATATTCCTACCCCAGGCGCAGTAATATGCTTCCTGGAAATTTATTCTAAGGAAGCAATTCCCGAAAGGAAAGAGCAATCTGCCTAAAGATGTTGCGAGTAGCATCATTTGAATTGTTGATGGCAGTGGAAAACTGGAAATAACCTCAGGACCCAAAAGTTATTGATGGCTGAATGAGCAAAGGCACATCAGCCCACTCAGAAACAGCCCAGGCAGAGACAGGGAGGGAGGCCCACGGACAACAGTGGCATGTGAGCCCTGCCGGGCAGCACCTGGAGAGATGGGGAATGTGCTTCTCATCAGTTCACATCCCACGATTTTCAGTTTCGTTTAAAATCCAGTGATGGTGGCCATGCTGTTTATGCAATCAACAAAATAATGAAAGAGATGATACTGGGTTCTCTTTTGAGCAGAACTGAAATACCAGAGTGAAGCTCACACCCCAGGCCAGCTTCAGCTCCTTCCATGCGTCCTTTATGGCCCAAGTGGAGACTCAGAGGCTGTCCGAGTCCCCACTCCACAGAGCTGCTGGAGGCTAAGTGCCTTCAGGTTTGGGCATTTCTTGGCACACTTCCTGGCACAAAGCAAGCTCAAAAAATGGCAGCAGGCCGGGCACAGTGCTCACACCTGTAATCCCAGCACTTTGGGAGGCCGAGGCAAGCGGATCACCTGAGATCAGGAGTTCAAGACCAGCCCGGCCAACATGGTGAAATCCTGTCTCTACTAAAAATACAAAAATTAGCCAGGCAAGGTGGTGCGCACCTATAATCTCAGCTACTTGGGAGGCTGAGGCAGGAGAATCACTTGAATCTGGGAGGCAGAGGTTGCAGTGAGCCAAGATTGCACCACTGAACTCCAGCCTGGGCAACAGAGCCAGACCTTGTCTCAAAAAAAAAAAAAAAAAATGGCAGCAGCTTCATCTTCATCAGCATCATCATTCTCACTGGCATGTGCTGCCAGATTTGCCAACAATGTCCATAGCTTGACCCAGGATTTTTCCTATGACTCTATCAACAGTGGGCTGCGTAAGGAGCAAGGGCGTCAAATGGTCCTCAGTGTTCAGGCCCGGAACAACGTGACTGTTTGGAGACCAATACTCTCTTGCCTTCAACTTCCCTCTCACCTTCCGAAGAACGGTGCCAGGCATCAGGAGGGCAAAAGTTGGAAGCAACCTAAATGTCCAGCCATAGGGAATTCCTTGTACTACAAAACTGCACGACTAAATCCCGTGATGGGTATGCAGTAGAGAAGTGTACGCCATCACAACAGACGTGCAGGCTGCCCCCGGACCTAGCAGGGAGCACACAGCAAACGTGCAGGAAGTCACTGGAGTGAGCCCTCGGCACACGCCATCTACTCCAGTGATCGCAGCGCGGCTCCAGCCATGTTCAAGAGCATTAAACAGAGGAACCAGATCTGATTTTTCCGGAGAAAGCTAACATTGATTTTTATGTGAAATTTTCCAATTTGTATACATTAGAAATGAATTCACATAAATTTGTTTAAATATGTTTCAGCCCAAACAAAAGCCATCTGTGGACCAGATTTGACCTGTGGGCATCACTCTGCCAGCTCTGAGGTTTGCCACCTATTAAATGGAAAAAGCAACTTATACAATCGTACATACAGCATACTACAGTGTATATGTACATATAATGTGTATATATACTGCATATAATATACGCTGTATATATGTGCATTTGTAGGCAGGCTTATATTTAAGTGTAGGCATTTAAAATAGCATAGACAGGGCCGGATGCAGTGGCTCACGCCTGTAACCTTAGCACTTTGGGAGGCCGAGGCGGGCGGATCTCTTGATGTCAGAAGTTCAAGACCAGCCTGGTCAAGATAGTGAAACCCCGTCTCTACTAAAAGTACAAAAATTAGCCTGTAATCCCAACTGTTCAGAAGGCCGAGGCAGGAGATTCGCTTGAACCTAGGAGGCAGAGGTTGCAGTGAGCCGAGATCGAACCACTGCACTCCAGCCTGGGCGACAGAGTGAGACCCTGTCTCAAATAGTAATAATAATAAAATAGCGTAGACAAATATTTACAATCTATTGAGACAGGACATCTTTGAAAGAGGTTAGGGTACTTGGGTTTTTCCTTCTTTTAGGATTTGATTTTTGCCTGGATACATTTTCTAAAGGAACTACAAAGACGCTGCATTGCATATTTAGCATGAAATCACAAAAGATTCTTGTCTTTAAAAGATGGTGCTGAGATTCAAGGCATGGCAGAGGCCTTATGAAGAAAAATAACATAATGTGATATAAATAGAGGTTAGAGGGAGCAGCTGCTGACCTGAATTCAAGTCCCACACAAGCAAGTGCCGGCTCTAGGATGCGGGAGACGTCAGTTCATACCCCTGAACTGTTGTTTCGTCAGCTGCAAAGCTAGGAGGACAGCACCCAGCCCATGTGATATGGAGGTCAGGGAGGGGGATGTGGAGGGCGAGAGCACGGGCTCAGGAGCCAGAGTGACTGGGTGGATTCTTAGCTCTGCCACTTACTAGCTGTGTGACCTCAGACAGGAGACTTCTGTCTCCTCTCTGTGCCTCAATTTCTTGATCAGAAAATGAGGCTAGTAATAATTCCTTCCTCCTAAGGTTGTTTTGGGCATGAAATGGTTTCATACTTTTAAGGTATTCAGAACAGGGACCAGACCGTAATAAGGACTCGGTAACAGTTAACAATTATAATGACTTAATTGCAAACTACAAAACCCTTTAAACGAAAGATGTCACTTGTTAACATTCTAATAATTTAGGAAATGCAAAAGGCTCTGTTAGTTTTTCTATTTTCTGACAATGCTACTAGTTTGCAACATACCCTCGAAAATGCACACCTATCTTGAGGTTGTACAGTCCCGTGGAACAGAGCTGTTGCCACTGGCAAAGGAGGCATGGCTTCTGGGGGGCCCAAACCCCTCACCCAGAGCCAGTGCACACCACACAGTAGGCAAAGCCCCCGTCCCAGGGGCACAGCTTGATTCTCAGGATTTTCACGTAATCCTAGCAGCTGAGCTGTCTGTTCTTCCAGCCCCGGGGCCTAAGGGACACAGGGAACTGGAAGACAGCATCGTGCAAAAGGCGAAGACACAGGCAGGAAAATGAAAGGCAGCAAAGATTTTCCAGAAAGCAAAGATTTTTCCACCATGCCACCACCCCAAAAGAGAGAGAGGAGATTAAAATAAAGTCTTTTAATACTTAAAAAGAAGAAGCCTCAGGCTGGGCATGGTGGCTCAAGCCTCTAATCCCAGCACTCTGAGAGCCCAAGGCAGGAGGATGGTTGAGCCCAGGAGTTCAAGACCAGTTTGGGCAAGAGAGGAAGACCCTGTCTCTACAAAAAAATGTAAAAGTTAGCTGGATGTGGTGGTGCAAGCCTGTAGTCCTAGCTACCCAGGAGACTGAGGTGGGAGGAGCATGTGAGCCTAGGAGTTCAAAACTGCAGTGAGTTATGGTGGCGCCACTGCACTCCAGCCTGGGCGACAGAGCAGTGACACCCTGTCCCTAAAACACACAAAAAAGAAAAGGCCTGGGAAGTCTAGGAAATTAACTTTCTTAGGAGACCTCATTTTCCAATTATAGGAAATTAACAAGGTGCTTGCTGTCTCTTTTTATACTGATGCAAAATAGTTAGAGGGAGTTTTAAATGAAACTTCCATGAGGCGTATCAATAATGTCAACCAAGTTAGGTTTTCCTAACACGTACTCTGGGCTTGGAGGTGAGGTGCCATAGAGAGGACCCGGAATGAGGAGCAGGAGGCTTAGTCACTTGCCCCAGCTCTGCCACCATTCCCGCCATGGCCCTGGCCCGGCTGTGTTCTCTCCACGCAGGACTCTCCATCCATAATGGGGGTGGGCCGTGCGGACGGCACCACGTGGAACGAGGGCTGGCGACCATTGCTAATCCCAGAGAGGGCCACCTGTGGCCAGGGCTCCCAAGCCCTGTGTCCCATCACTGATGCCAAGAGGTCACAGCTGGTGGGTCTCATCAACATAGAAATGACGGCAGAGCTGCCACCTGCACCAGCACATTCAGGAGTACTTAGTGACCTGGACCCAATTCCACGCTTAAGTGTGGCGGCTTAATCCACAAATGGGCCTCAGGCTTCCCCAACCCTCAACATCCAGCCACCAAGAACTGTCCTCTATCACCAGTTCTCAGAGGTGTCCCCTACTGCCACCACCCCAGCCAGCCCTCACCCTTGCCTGTCTGCATTCGTGTGACACAGTGGCCTCCCCTGGTCTAGGCCTATATGCCAATCCATCCAGGCTCTAGGGCCATGGGGAGTGACCCTCCCCACCGTTCCCTGCTGATGCCCTGTCGGGGAAAAAGTGTCCATGGCTACAGCAGCCAGGCCTCTGCACTGCACCCTGCTCCTTGCTCCAGCCTGGGCCATGCCTGCTGTCCCCTGCAGGCCTCTGCATGTGCCCTTCTCTAGCTCACAGGCCACCTGGGATCACCTTCTAACTGTCCCCAGTACTTGGCTTGGGCCACACCTCTTTGGGGCAAACCTTTTCTGCTCTGCAAGCAAGATCGGGTGTCCCTGAGGCCCAAGCCTGACTTTAGGCCACCATCGGGTGACCATCTATCTCCAGGACTATGAGGCCAGCTGGGTTGAGATTGCCACAGGAGACAGACCCATTTTACAGATGAGAAAACTGAGGCCTAACAGGTCAGGGGCTGTAGGTCACAGAGGGAGTAGGAGAGGAGAACCTGCCTCTTCCCCACCAGTGGTCAGCCAGGCTATGGTCAAAGGCCATAGGGCTAGGAGGACAGCACCCAGCCCATGTGATGTGGAGGTCAGGGAGGGGGATGTGTGCGTTTCTGCATGGTGTGTATGGTGTGTGTGCCACCCCACATAGGCACCACAGTCCCCAGCCCCAGCTCTCTGAGGTGCCCTCAGCTTCCACTTCCCTGGGCAATTATGTCATCAGCACTGCAGCAGCGGGAGCACCCCCACCCGGGCTGGCTGACCCCTCACCTAGGACCCTCCCATCCCAAGGGCAAAGACCCTCAAGCCCCTCCCCGCAGACAGGGCCACACAGTCCCACCAAGCTGGGACACAGGCCACCCAATGCCACTCTCCCAGCTCCATCTATGGCTACAGTGGCCCACACTGTCAGGACTTCCTGTTTTGGGTCAGGTTGTTCATTCTGCACCCAACAGACACCTGAGAGTCCGTTATGTGTCCAGGAGAGGGTGATTCTGTGCATGTTACAGACACAAACATGCAGGTACCATACAGAAACACACACACACACCATACACACCATGCAGAAACACACACACACACACACCATACAGAAACACACACACACACCATACACACCATGCAGAAACACACACACACCATACACACCATGCAGAAACACACACGCACACCATACACACCATACAGAAACACACACACACACCATACCCACCATACAGAAACACACACGCACACCATACACACCATGCAGAAACACACACACACCATACAGAAACACACACACACACCATACACACCATGCAGAAACACACACACACCCCCCATACAGAAACTCGCGCCATACACTCCATACACACCATGCAGAAACACACACACACACCATACACACCATGCAGAAACACACACACACCATACACACCATGCACACGCACACCATACATACCATGCAGAAACACACACACACACCATACAGAAACACACACACACCATACACACCATGCAGAAACACACACACACAAACACGCACCGTGCAGAAACACACACACAAACACACACCATACAGAAACACACACACACAAACACACACCATGCAGAAACACACAAACACAAACACACACCATGCAGAAACACACACATGCAAACGCACACCATGCAGAAACACACATACACAAACACACACCATGCGGAAACACACACACGCAAACACACACCATGGAGAAACACACACACACACAAACACACACACCATGCAGAAACACACACACACCATACAGAAACACACACACAAACATACACCTTGCAGAAACACACACACACACACCATGCAGAAACACACACATGCACAAACACACATCATACAGAAACACACACACAAACATACACCGTACAGAAACACACACACACAAACACACACCATGCAGAAACACACATGCACATACACACACCATGTAGAAACACACAAACACGCATCATACAGAAACACACATGCACACACACCATACAGAAACACACACACACAAACACACACCATGCAGAAACACTCACACGCACACACACCATGCAGAAACACACACACCATGCAGAAACACACACACACACAAACACACACCATGCAGAAACACACCACACATGCCCCCCCCACACACACCCATACATACACCACCCACAAGCATGCCCACACCATACAGAAACAAATGCACACACACACACCAGGCAGAAACACACAACACATGCGCCCCCCCACACCCATACACCACTCACAAGCGCACGCACACACATCATACAGAAACACAACCCATGCACCACACACAGACATTACATATGCATCATACAGAAACCCATACCACATATGCCACATACACACACACACCACAGATACACACCACACACAAATATACACATCATACACAAACATACTCCCATACAACACACACACCACACCATACATAGACATCACACACATCATACAGAAACCCATACCACATATGCCACACACACACACAGAAGACACACCCCCATACCACACCCGGCCGCACAGAGTTGGTGGCTCCGAGCAGGGCAGGCTCCCCAGCAATCCCCGGCCAAGGGACGTCATTCTCTTTCTTCTGGGGGAAAATGGGCTGGGGGGCTTCAGAGCCTGGCACGTCGCCTGGCCAGCGAGCCCCGTCCACCTCACTACGTGCTGCTCACCCTGCCCACCTGACCCATCTGAGCCACAGCAAGCCCGGGGGCAGCCAGGGCATAGGCTGTTCCCCCAATTTAGAGATGAGAAAACTGAGGCTCGGAGCCACAAGCATGGCACACCCCACACACGGAAAACTCACACCGTGGAGTTTGCTGAAAACCGGCCATTCTGGAAGGAAAGATGGGAAGCAGAGGAGATGGGAGAGACTGTGCCAGGGGAAGCCTGTGCCTGAGGGAGCAAGAAGGGTCACAGGCTGGGCCCAGCAGGGGAGGATCGGTTGTCAGCCTCAGGCTCCCTGGCAAATGGCTTGGTGGGACCTCACTGGCACGTTGGTGAGGCCCAAACAGGGCAACAGCTGTGACAGGACTTGGCAGGCTGGGAGGTGGCCCCGCACCGTGTGAAGAGAAACAATGTGAAGGAACACAAGGCCAGGGCACACCTGGGAAGGCCCCACAGGCCACATCCCCCCTTCACTCCTGTGGGATTCCCTCCTTGATCCCCTTTCCCTGACACGTGGTCCCCCAGCCTCTCTCGAAAGTCCTTCCAGTGACAGGAGGCCCCACTCGGGCTCACCCTTGGCAGCTCTCACTTCAGAAAGCACTTCTCATTTCGAACCAAAAAGAAGCAAACAAAAACTGACGCCCGTCTAACCTCTGCCCTTAGCTCCTCCGGGCACTCGGAAGCCCCCAAAATGCGTCCACTCCCCTTCCCGCACACAGGAGCCCTTTAGAGATCGGGAAGTTCCCATCCCACCACCCCCATCTCTGGGTAACACCTGCTATGTATCAGGCGCCCCATCTGCCTTTCACAGGACAATCTCATTTGACCCCTACAAAGATGCCCTGTAAAGGCTGTGATGCCAGGATTACCACCACCTCCACCTGCGGGTGAAGATGCTGGGGCCCGAGACAGAAACTGGCCACAGTCATGTGGTTAGAAAAGGGCTTTAGAGCCAGACGGACATGGATTCACCTCCCAGGTGGGTCACTCGGGGTCTAGGGTCAGTTCTCTGAGTTGTCTGGGCCTCAGTTTCCCCATCTGTGAAAGGAGGATCTCTCACTGCATCCAGGCTCCTGGACTATCAGAGCCCCACAAGTGGTGTCTTTCCATGGAGTCAGGGCAAGGGAAGTGTCCCCACAGGTGTGTTCTCCAAATGGGTGGACAGAAGGCCACCTGCTTCCGTAGCTGGGGCCCAGGGGCTGCAAGCAGTGAATGAGCTCAGAAGGGACCAGGAGCGGGGAGGGAGGGAAGGGGAGTCTTTATTGGCACAAGGTCCAAGCCCGTGGGCTGGGAAATTTGTCCCCACAACAGGAGACCCAGCTGGTCTTCAATGTGCTTCTTCAAGTGGAAAAAAAATGAACGGATCCATTGTCTGCCTGACAAAGCCCCAGCCCGGATGAGCAAACACGGGAGCCACGTGCCTCCTCCGTCCATTCCCTCCGGGGCTCGCTCCCCACGTGCACTGCCCAAGTCCCATGCTCCACCTGCCAAGTCCTCTCTAGAGTCCTTCTGGTGCCCCCAGCCTTGCCACCTGCAGCTGGCTGACCTCACAGGCCTTCAGGGTCTCCCTGACCCTCCTCCTCCTAGCCACCCCTGCAGGGCCACCAGAAGGCACCACCTATAGCAAGCATCAGCCACACCTCACCCCTGCAGAGAGATAAAACAGCAGTAACAGGAACCTGCCTGTGGCGGCCCACTGCCCAGAACCCCCACACCCAGGGGGTGCCTTGCCCGGCCCCTGGCCGTCTCACCCGGGCGTCGGGTCCACTTGCAACCTTCAGAGCTCCTTCCACACCATCAGGTTTAGTTGAATCTCCAGTACCAGGCAAGGTGCCTTGCCCAGAGCAGGTGACAGTACCCCTGGGAGCCCTCTTTGGATGCCTGCTGGATGATGAAGACATCACACACCCCACTTTCACTCCGCACTGTGGGGTGTCTTCACATCTACAGAGTTCAGGCAGGAGGACACACGCCATCCAGCCATCAAGGGACACAGGTTTCCTGATTCCTTGATAAAAATAGTCCCCCCTTCTGCAGAATCAAGTACAACTGGACAAGAGCTGGCACATGTGTGGTCAGATGCTGGGCGTGGCCCCACCCCATGCCAGCCAGGAACCATTGATATTTAAATGTGGCCTTTGGCTAAATGGTAAGGTACTGACCATTAAGGGTCCTTGGCCTTGCTCTTGGATAAACAAAGCCATGAGTGTTTGATCTCTATGATCTACAAGGTTTGAGATCACATTGAAGTCGACTGGTTAAACACATCACCCCATTATCTGTTCAGCACAAGTTTGTGCCATGTCTCCTGAAAGCCAGGTGCCATGCTGGTACAGGGACCAGGATACCAAGCAGGACCCACCGTGCCCTGCCCTCATGATGCTGATGGCCATTCCTGCTGAAAGTTCCTTTGTCCAGACCCCCACTCAGCTGCCGTTCTCAATATTTCCCTACACAGATCAGGAGGAAGCCATCCCTCTGCATTGTAAATATGACCAAAGAGGTTATGATGAGATTTCTCCATGAAGCACAACTCCCGCCCCTAGAAAAGTATTCTGAGGTCAAAACACCCTTCCTGTTTCTGGCAGCCTCAATTGCCACCATCACCTGTCACTGTCCCCCAGTCAAAGAATCATCACGTTCACCTCTGCTGTGGAGGACTGCAGGAGACACTGCAACAGCTGACCACCACAACGACCCTGCCCTCAACAGCCTCCTTCTCCTGGTCCTAACAAGTCCATCTTGATATGTCCCAGTGAAGCCAAGTTCAGGAGAAGAGGCCTCTCTAAATTTGGAAGACTCTGGGACACCTCTGGCCTCATGGTCAGAGACCCACAGAGCCCAGGTCCAGCTCATCATGCCAACCCCAGAAAGATCAGAGAAACTTCCAGTTAGGGCAATACTCTGCACTTACCTGCCCCAGGCCACTTTGGCAAAGTCCTGCCCAATGAAGTGGGGGACTCTATATAAGAGGAAGGGAGGCAGGGGAAGAAGGAGGGAGCGGGGACGCAATGAGAATTGAATCAAACTTTTAGTTTCTGGTCTGTCACATAAGGAGCTTAGAAGCATGACTCCCGTCTAAATAAGGCAAGTTAAACAGAATGCAAATCAAGAACTTTTCTTGGATCCATCAGACAACTGAGGTCATAGGACAAACTACTGCTCCAACATTTGGAAAGGCAGACAGGCAGATACACAGAATCACAACATACCACAGCAAAAACCTCCACAGGAACCAGTTTAGGTCCCTTTTACCAAATGCATCATGTCTGGCTCTCAACAAAAAACATTCCAAAGCATACTAAAAGGCAAAAAAGAGAGCCCAAACATTGGAAGCAGACATGGTAGAGAAGCTGGAATGATCAGACTGGAACTTTAAGAGAACTACGATTAATATGCCAAGGATTCTAATGGAAAAAGCAGACAACATGCAAAACCAGATGGGCAATGTAAGCAGAGATGAAAATTCTAAAAAAAGGATAAAAAGGAAAAGCTAGAAATAAAAAGAACTTTAACAGAAATGAAGAATGCCTTTCATGGGCTCATTAGTAGACCGAACACAGCTGAAGGAAGAAGCAGTGGGCTTCAACATACGTCAATAGAATATTTCCTAACTGGAAAGCAATGAAAAAAAAGACTAAAAATAAATAAATAAAAAAAACGAATATCCCAGGACAGTCAGGCGCGATGGTTCAAACCTATAACCCCAGCACTTTGGGAGGCTGAGGAAGGCAAATTGCTTGACCCCAGGAGTTCAAGACCAGCATGGGCAACATGATGAAACCCTGTCTCTACAAAAAACACAAAACTTAGTTATGTGTGGGGATATACACCTCCCACCTCAGCTGAAGTGGGAGGATCACCCGGGCTCAGGAGGTTGAGGCTGCAGTAAGCCATGATTGCACCACTGCACTCCAGCCTGGATGACAGAGTAAGACCTTGCCTCCAAAAAAAAAAAAATATCCCAGGACTATAAGACAACTACAAAAGGTATAAACACATATATAAAAAAAAGAATAACAGGATGAGAAAGAGAAGAAGAAATTGAAGAAATATTTGAAGCAATAGTATCTGAGAATTTCACAAAATTAATGTCAGACACCAAACCACAGATCCAGGAAGCTCAGAAAATAGCAAGAAGGATAACTGCCAAAAAAAAAAAAAAACAAAACCCTACACTTAGCATATCATATGCAAACTGCAGAAAAGTAGAGATAAAGAAAAGATACTGGGGCCTGGCATGGTGGCTCATGCCTGTAATCCCAATGCTTTGGGAGGCTGAGGTGGGTGGATCACTTGAGGCCAGGAGTTCGAGATCAGCCTAGGCAACATGGCAAAACCCCATCTCTACAAAAACTACAAAAATTAGCCAGGCATGGTGGTGCGTGCCTGTAATTCCAGCTACTCAGGAGGCTGAGGCATGAGAATGGCTTGAACCCAGGGGACAGGGGTTACAGTGAGCCCAGATGGTGCCACTGCACTCCAGCCTGGGCGACAGAGTGAGATTCTGTCTAAACCAAAAATTATTAATACATCCGACTTCCCTGCAGAAACCATGCAAGCAAGAAAGAGGAGAGGGAAATACTTAAAGTGATGAGAAGAGGAAAAAACTCACCAGTGTAGAATTCTGTAGCCTATGAAATTATCCTTCAAAAATGAAGGAGAAAGTCTTTCTCCAGACAAACACAAATTTAAAGAATTTGCTATGGACACCTGCCTTGGAAAAAGGAAGATTAAAAGCAGCTCTTCAGAGTTGAGGGAAAATGACAAAGGTCAGAAACTCAGACTCACATAAAGAAAGGAAGAATTTTAGAGAAGGAATATGTGAAGATAAAATAAAATCATTTTTTATTCTTAATTGACTGACTAGAACAGTTTGTTTGAAATAATAACAGCAACAGTGTAATTGATGGGTACAGCTTATGGATAAGAGCAATGAATGGGAGAGACGAAACGGGACTCATGAGTTATGAGATGCTTCCACTACACAGGAAGCAGTGTGTTGTTATTTGAAAGTGGACTTGGATTAGTTGTGAATGTATATTGCAAACTCTAGGGTGACTACTAAAAAAAGTTTTTTAAAAAGTACACTTGATATGTTCAGAAGGACAGAGCATGGAAATGTTATTAAAACCACAGAAGGCAGCTGGGCACGGTGGCTCACACCTGTAATCCTAGCACTTTGGGAGGCCGAGGCGGGCAGATCACTTGAGGTCAGGAGTTCAAGACCAGCCTGGCCAACATGGTGAAACCCCGTCTCTACTAAAAATACAAAAATTAGCCAGGAGTGGTGGTGCACACCGGTAGTCGCAGCTACTTGGGAGGCTGAGGCAGGAGGATCGCTTGAATCTGGGATGTGGAGGTTGCAGTGAGCTGAGATCTCACCACTGCACTCCAGCCTGTGTGACAGAGCCAGACATTGCCTCAAAAATAAAAAAAAAAAAAAAGAAAGCAGAAAAGGAGTAGAAGACAAAAATAGAAACAAAGATTAAGGGTCACAAACAGAAAATAGTAACAAATACTATAGATATTAATCCACCTCTATCAATAATCACTTTAAATGTCAACGGTCTAAATACACCAATAAAAGAGACTGTTGGGGTGGATCAAAAAACAAGGCACAACTTGTGTTATTTGTTTCTGTGCTACAAGAAAGCACTGCATTTCAAGACTCGCATGCACAAAGCCAGCCAACTTCTACACATTCATAGTCAATTAAGGGAAATGCAAGCAGCAATTAATTCCCAGCCACTGTTCATCTCTTGGTGTTGACACAATCTCTAAACTACAACCAAAAAAGCAAGCCTTATTTTTTTTAATTAAAAAAAGATCTTTGTAATAAATTCAATCAGATAAAAATGTCATTATAAAAATGATACTCAAGGAGCTCATAATGAAATAATATGGCCCAACAGAACACCAAAAAAACCTCATAATGACAAATCTGAATGAAAATCACAAAGACAATGCCCATGCCAGCCAGAATTTTAAAGTTAGCTAAGCTCCTGAATATTCTATAGGCAGACCTCCGCTCCTGCTCAGTGCCAAGGTACCTCCATTGATAATGGGGATGGTGACTTCGAGCACAAGCTCTTTGAAAGCCTTAGAAGACGTACAACCATAAACATTTTGTTTCCATATGAAAAAGGTTAGAACAAGTACTCCGTATTATTTATACTTTCAGAGGGAGGGAAGGAGAGCAATAGAGAGACAGAGCCCATGTTAAACTCAATTCCTTAAAAAGCAAATGAACAAGAGTTCTCAAAGAAATTAATCCTTCCCAGCCTGACGCAAGCAGATTCATTCATCTCCCCTCTGCAACTCTGTTCCTTCTGTGGGTCTAGTTTCTAGCCATGATGTTAATGCCTGATAGTGGGTGGTGGGCAGGGGGCGCATGGAGGGAGAATCATTGTTTTACCAAGTTTCTTGCAAAGCTAATTTTGCCCTGGGACCATGCTTCCCAACAACAATGTGTCCTCCTGGCCTTGGCACCCCAGCAAGTGTGTTCCCCACGGTGTCCTTGGCAAATCTGCCACACAGTTCCTGACATTTCCCAGATTCCCTTGCAGGAGGTAGGGGTCATATGACTAGACCTGACCTGTGTCACTTCTGGGCTAAAGCTCTTAAAAGCTCACATCACTCTTCTCTCTCTTCTTGGCTGCAGGGACCTTTGAAGCCATGCATTGAGATGGTTGGATGACCAGACGGAGGGGGCTGGATCCCTGAATCACCCACTGGAGTGGGCCTGCACTAGAGCATGTGTGAATTAGAATGGACTGATATGGTTAGGCTTTGTGTGCCCACCCAAATCTCATCTTAAATTGTAATCCCCCTGATCCCCAGGTCGAGGGAGATGCCTGGAGGAAGGTGACTGGATCACAGGGGCAGTTCCCCCATGCTGTTCTCATGATAGTGAATGAGTTCTCACAAGATCTGATGGTTTTATAAGTGTTTGACAGTTCCTCCTTCACATACTCGCTGTCTCCCGCCTGCCGCCATGTAAGACATGCCCTTTCCCCTTCCACCATGATTGTAAGTTTCCTGAGGCCTCCCCAGCCATGTGGAACTGTGAGTCATTAAACCGCTTTTCTTTATAAATGACCCAGTCTCAGGTAGTATCTTTATAGCAATGTGAGAACAGACTAATATACAGACCTTTTGGGGTTTCTTTGTTACTGCAGCCTTGCCTCATCAAACCTGACTGATGCTCTCTTCTTGAAATGCCCCTCCCCGTCTTTTCCACCTGTTCATCTTCTTTAAAATTCAGCTTGGGCATCACCTCCTCTGGGATGCTTTAGCTGGCACCACTTCCCACCCCTAGGCTGGGTCAAGGGCTTCCTCTGCATACCAATAGTTCCTCAAGCTTCCCTGTCTCACAGCTCTGATCACGCTGTGCTGGTGTTGCCCATCCCCGCCACCAGACTCGGTGCCCATGACAGCCAGGCCTGTTGCCTCAACCTCCCAAGAGCCTGGCTCGGTGTCTGCCAGAATCAAAGCAGCTCTTGAGTGCCTGTGAAATGGACTCAATCTGTCCACACGATGGTGCCACAATGCCCTCTTTCACACATGCAAATACTGCACCAGGCCTGGGGAGGCAGAGATGAGCCACATCCTCTCTCCCCCACCAGAGCCTCAAGCCTAGCATGGGAGGGTGGCGCATGCATAAATAAAGACAGCCCAAAACACGCAGTGTAGATGCAGATAAACCACGGTGGATGCCCAGAGGCAAGAGAAGTGTCTTCTAGCTGGGGACTCCACACACAAGACAGCGTCTGGGCTCCCTGGCAGGCCCTGGACATGTAGAGATGGCAGGTGTAGGGCTCGTGTATCTCTGGTCTGGTATCGTTGGGGCAGAGCTGCTCAGTCTCCATGGGGGCCACTCCTCCCCATCCTCTCCCATTCTCAAGCCATGGTATATGGGCTGACTCGTGTCCCTCCAAAATTCTTATGTTGAATCCCCAACCCCCAGCACCTCAGGACTTCATGTTTGGAGACAAGGTCTTTATGGAGGTAAGTTAGGTAAAATGGGGCTGTGGATTAGGGTGGGACCTAATCCAAGATGACGGATGTCCTAACAATACGAGGAAAATAGGACACAGACACATAGAAGGAAGACCATGTGAGGACATGGGGAGAAGACGGCCGTCTACAAGCCAAGGAGAGAGGCTTCGGAAGAAACCAACCCTGGTGGCAGCTTGATCTCGGACTTCCAGTCTCCAGAATTGGGAGCAAATGTCTGTGGTGTGAGCCGCCCAGTCTGTGGAGTCCATCATGGCAGCCCCTGAAGACTGATACAGAGATGCTCCTTGAGCTGCCCGACCCCACTCCACGGACGGGGATTTCCCAGGTCCAGCCTGGCCTAGCCTTGATAAAAAAGCCATCGCATACACAGCATTTTGCAGATTAAAATAATCTAGTTCCCTGCATACCACTGCATCAACCATACCACCCCCGCTGAGAAGTTGCTTCTTGCCCCATGTTACCTATGACAAACCAGAGGCTCTGAGAGCCACAGCCAGCCTGGACTTGAACCCAAGCCTTCTAAGGCCCATCCCACTGGTTCTTCCCCTAAACCACACTGCCCAGCACAATGCTGGCTCACACAGAACTTCTTACTAACAGTTTCAGATAGCCACCTAACACCTTGGCAGAGGCTGGTGTCAGAGGACTTAAGAAATGGTGGGGGGAGAGGTGGGGGGGGACAGCAAAAATAAGGAGTGAATGAAGTGTCCCTTCAACATGGACCGAGGCTGGGCACAGTGGCTCACACCTGTAATCCCAGCACTTTGAGAGGCCAAGGTGGGTGGATCACTTGAGGTCAGGAGTTCAAGATCAGCCTGGCGAACAGGGTGAAACCCCATCTCTACTAAAGATACAAAAATTGGCCGGGCATGGTGGTGGGTTCCTGTATTCCCAGCTGCTGGGGAGGCTGAGGCAGGAGAATCACTTGAACCCAGGAAATGGAGGTTGCAGTGAGCCGAGATCACACCACTGCACTCCAGCCTGGCCAACAGAGTGAGACTCAAAGTAAATAAATAAATACATAAATAACATGTACCAAAGTGCTTGACGTCTAAATGCAGGCATCTGTGAATCCATATTTCAGTCTGCTTGAACCCAAAAGACCATGGGAATATTTAAGTACTTCTGACAAATCAGTACCCTAGTGATAATATCTCCCACTGGGAGCAGGAATGAAGGAAGCAAAGCCACGACGTTGAGGGACCTGCTGGAAGGAACTCGGTATCAGTCCAGAGTGATCTATTTAATCTCTCAAGGTCCCAAGAGGGAGGCCTCGCTTCCCATATTTTGTATCTGAGACAATTTGGGCACTGAGCGACTAAGTTCCTGTCCACGGTCACACAACCAAGGATGGCTCGTGTCACCTGCACCTTGCTCGACTATCCTTTTCTTGCCTACTTTTCTGATTTTTCATGGTGATTAGCACCCAGTCAGGAGCCACACTAAAGAATCTGGAATTCCAAGAAATGGCCTGCCCAGGAAAAATAAATAAATAACAAGAACTTCCTCCCTGTCCAGTCCAGCCAGCTGACCACAACCCACATCGTGGGGGTCCTGACTACACAGAAAGCCCTCGAGAACCACTGGCAGAAAGCAAAAAGCTAGTTACCAGCAGCGGCACTACCCATCACATAACAGGCATTTAGACACAGTTGCGTTGAAGTTTGGCAAGCGCATGGGATTCCACTGACCATGCCATTGTACAGATGAGGAAACTGAGGCTCAGGGAGGTGGCATGGGGAGCCAGGATTCCACCAGGCCCCTGGGACTCTGCAGCCTATTCCCTCCAGTCCTCCTCTGCACCAGTAATCAAACTCCTACACGGTGTCCCCTCCGATGTGCCCCCACCGAGGGAATAATCACTCTTCCTCCTCAACACCCCCTCCCTATTTTCATGGTAAGGTGCTGCATGCTCCCTTGCCTTGCAGAGCCTCCCCCATAGGGCTTGGAATCGAGCCACATGCAGCTCTGCCTCCTCCACCTGACAGGACATGTGCTATGCCAGGTCCTGGCTTCCCCGTGCCAGCAGCCGGGCTCACCAGGGCCCACTGAGCCACAGCAGCCACAGTGGCTGCAAGACGGCACGCGCTGGCATTTTCCTAACAGACGGATCAGCTTTAGACGGCACTGTTCCCGTACCTTCGCTGGGAGTCAGGAAATTCACGGCTCTGGCCCATGGAACCTTAATCACGTCACACCTGATACAGTTCCTGAAAAGTCGTCTCACACCCTGGGTGACAGCAGACGTGCTAAGTAGGAACCCCCTTCAAGTCCTTTGCTCAGGGAAATCAGGAGCTGTGATTTGGTTGAACGTTCCAGATGGCCTCACTCGAGAGACGCTCTTTTTCAGCCAATCCACACTCTCTCCGCACCTGGAGGCAATGACCCCCACAGGGGACCAAATGAGCTATCCTGAAATGCGGAGGCTAAAGAGCCACAAACCATATCTCTGAGACTCCCTTGGAGCTAGGGCTCTGCACATCACTTAGGTTCCATCATTCATTCAATTCATCAGTCCTTCAATCACACAGGCCTGACCTGAACACAAGTGAGAGCCAGGTGGGGATAGGACAAGGTGCCCACTGGCTGGCATGGGCCTGGCAGACAAGGTGTGCTCTGGCGTTGGGGGTCCAACCATGGCCTTCTCCTTCCTGGCATGGGCCTGGCAGACAAGGTGTGCTCTGGCGTTGGGGGTCCCACCATGGCCTTCTCCTTCCTGGCTTGCAGCTGAGGCTGTAACCAGCTCTGGGACAGTGGCTCCCAATGCCCCAGCTCCCAGAGGTGGCAGAGGTGGCAGCTCCCGAGAGGCCAGCTCTGGGGTGACACTCTGGGGGTCAAGCCTAAGCCCAGACAAGACTCTGCTCCCTGACCTTCCACTACTGGCACCTACTTCCCTGTGCTCCGTCCCTCTACTTAAAGTAGCTGGACAGAGTGGCTTCTGTTATCTGCACCTGAACACAGATGAAAGCTGGGGTACCCCAGAACCCAAGTTAATTTAATTTTTATTTATTTTTATTTTTATTTTTTTGAGACAGAGTCTCACTCTGTCACCCAGGCTGGAGTGCAGTGGTGCAATATTGGCTCACTGCAACCTCTGCCTCCTGGGTTCAAGCGATTCTCCTGCCTCAGCTTTCCAAGTAGCTGGGATTACACCACACCTGGCTCATTTTTGTATTTTTAGTAGAGATGGGGTTTCGCCATGTTGACCAGGCTGGTCTCAAACTCCTGACCTCACGTGATCCACCTGCCTCGGCCTCCCAAAATGCTGGGATTACAGGCGTGAGCCACTGCACCTGGCCTAGAATCCAAGTTAAAATTAAAGAGGGACACACAAAACCATTTTAAACACAGAAGCAGAAAACCAAATATTTTGACGATGTTAACTACAGACAGACCCTCCACACACCTACATCCACTGGCAGAACTTCACGTTCTAGAACCACGGAATGGCCGTGCAGTGGCGTGTTCTCAACGGCCAGCTCTGTCTCAGAATGGGTACGAATCTTGACTCTACCACTTGTTAGCTGTTTGTCCTGGGGCAGGTGCCTTGTCCTCCCTGAGCTTCAGTTTCCCCTAACCTGGAAAAATGAGGAAAATCATAGTACCTGCCCCGGCAAAAGCGAATGCGCACAGAGCACTTTCAACAGAGCAAGGCCAGTTGGGCGCTAAGCAACTACTGCTTACTGCCTTGATTCCTGGGCTTACTGAACTCTCACGAGCCTTCATCTGGCTGGAATATGTCTCCCCACCCCACCCTGTCTGTTCATCCTCCATGGCCTTAGTCAAGCTGTTATTGTTTGCATGTGACATCATTAGAAACACACACACACACACACACACACACACATATACACACACACACACACACCAGCAGGTCAGCCCTGCTCTCCTCTGGACTCCTCTTATGCCTGAGCCCCACTTTCCCCCTGAATTTTAACCTGCTTTGGGAGGGTTCCCATGGGCTCCAGAAACTTTCACTATTTAAAAGGGTTCTGCCCCAGTTAAAAAGCATTTGAGAACCATAGCATCAGAAGAGCATTTCAAGGACATTGAAAAGTATTCTTGATTTATGTGAAAGGGTTTAAATTGTGTCACTCCCAAATTCATACGCTGAGGTCCTAACCCCCAGTACCCTCAGAGGTGGTCTTATGGGAAACAGGGTCTTTACTGAGGTCATCTAATTGAGATGAAGTCAGGAGGGTGGGCCTTAACCAATATGATGGGTGTTCCTACAAAAAGAAGAAATGGGGCTGGTCGTGGTGGCTCACGCCTGTAACCCCAGCACTTTGGGAGGCTGAGGCAGGCGGATCACAAAGTCAGGAGTTCGAGACCAACCTGGCCAACATAGTGAAACCCCATCTCTACTAAAAATACAAAAATTAGCCAGGTGTGGTGGCACACACCTGTAGTCCCAGCTACTTGGGAGGCTGAGGCAGGAGAATCGCCTGAACCCAGGAGGCGGAGGTTGCAGTGAGCCAAGACCATGCCACTGTGCTCCAGCCTGGGTGACAGAGTGAGACTCCATCTCAAAATATAAAATAAAATAAAATAAAATAAAATAAAATAAGGAAATGGGAGCACAGAGACACAGAGACAAAGGAGAACACCATGTGACGACGAAGGAGGAGGTCACGGGGCAGATTCCACGAGCCAAGGAATACCAAGGACTGCCACCAAAGCACAGGAAGCCAGGGGAGAGGCCTGGGGCAGAGTCCCCTCGCAGCCTCAGATGGGGTCAACCCTGCCCACGCCTGGATCTCAGACTTCCAGCCTCCAGAACTAAGAGACCATCCGTTTGTCTTGTGTATTCCATGGTACAGCGGCCCTAGGAAACGAATATATTTATTAGATGGATTGAGATGTACTGAGAATAGCTATGAACTATTGTCCCAGTTTTTTGGAGACCAATTTCATACACACAGGGGAGAAAGGCTGACAGCGGCAGAAACAATCAATGTTCACGTGGCTCTCCACCCGGACATTTGGGCTGCTCCCTATTTTTCTTTTTTCCTCTTTTTTTTTTTTTTTTCTGTGGGGAGGGACTTTCACCAACATTTGTGTGATACACATCTTCCCACATAAATCATAATGCACACCTGATGATGGGCCGACCATAAATCCCCCCACGTGGCGAGGCTGGCTCAGCAGGAGCACTGTCCCTGTTCCCCCAAAAGGCCCACCACAGACCCACCCCAGGAGTGTGTGCTCAGGTCCTGCTTCATCAACACTGGGGGTCAGTGATTCGTGGTCCCCCCGATCAGCTTAAGGCCCCTTCCAATAATGTGGCTCGGGTCTTTCTGCAGGGTCAGAGGGAAGTCGGCCCGCTAGGTGACAGTGGTTCACAGCGTAAGGACCTCTGTCCCCACTGCTCCTGGAGGGGTGGAGAAATACATGATTTTGTTTATCTCCTTTTGATCTGTCTTCTCCAAGACATTTTCCACAATGAAAATGTAATGCTTTTACCTGGAAAAGGGATGACAAAGTATCCCAGATAACTTGGTAGAATAATATTTCTCTCGTCTGGTGTCATCCTTTGGGCAATAAGAAAGATGCAATTAAGTAGGCAATTGTAATAAAGAAAATTACTGACCTCAGGTCAGCCACAGGCACTGGTTGGAGCTCATCTGTCCTCAGCACAGTGCCTGGTGTATGGTAGACACTGGAGAATGGTGGGATCCCTCTCTTTACAAAATCAGAAGCTGAGGTCCAAAGAGGGAAAATCACTTGCCTAAGACCCCAGAGCTGGGTGACGGCAGAGCCAGCCCTGTGGGCCAGGCATCTGGGACCTGTAACCTCAGCAGCCAGCATGGGCCCCCTGCCCAGCATTCACAGCGAAGAAGCCTCAGTCAGTCACTACCATCCTAATTGTATCGCGTAGAATGAGAAGCAGCTACCAACATTTAAAGTGGTAGACGAGGCCGGGCGCAGTGGCTCATGCCTGTAATCCCAACACTTTGGGATGCTGAGGCAGGCAGATCACTTGAGCCCAGGAATTCGAGACCAGCCTGGCCAACATGGCGAAACCCCGTCTCTATTAAAAATACAAAAATTAGCCAGGGGTGGTGGCGCGCATCTGTAATCCCAGCTACTTGACAGGCTGAGGCAGGAGAATTGCTTGAACCCGGCAGGCAGAAGTTGCAGTGAGCCGAGATCCTGCTACTGCACCCCAGCCTGGGCGACAGAGTGAAACCCTGTCTCAAAATAAATAAATAAATAAATACCAAAAAACAAACAAACAAACACAAAAAACAAAGTGGTAGATGAAACCCTTCCTGGGTTGCTGCTTTACAAAACAAATATTGACTACAGTCCTTAGGACCCCCATAAATAATTTTATGGGCAACAGCACCTATGCCCCAGGGCCTGGCCTGTGAATGCCCTTTCTCCTCCACTCCCAAATCCACATGATTCTCCATCTTAACTTGCCGGTAGCTGGCCCAGCCCTGGTCCACAGAAGCCAGGTGGAGAAATGCAAGAGCTATTTCTGCACCAAATGGAAAGTGGCCCCAGGACACTGATGCCGAGGATGCTGACTGTCCACTCTTCGGCAACCTCCCTGGCCACTGAGCAGCCCGGTGGGAGCGGAAGTTGATGTGGAAACCACTCATTTCTGCTGTCAGGCTCTGGCATGGAGAGGCGCTTACGCTTCCTAAGGGCGTTAACCGTCTCTCTCTCATTTTAAAAATCAAGTTTACTCCAATAAAGAAACTTGGGAGAACACAGAAAAGGAAAAGGAAGAGAAAAAGAAACTTCTCTTCCATCCCCCACCCCCACCCACTGTGAACACTCTACTGACTTCCTTCTGGGCTGCTTTTCCAGGGGCAGTTTTTACTTAAACTCATGTCTATCAGTCATTTTCTAGCTTGTCTTTTCCTCTTCATATCATGAAATAAGAATTTTCCAAGACGCTCTGAAGAGTGGTGGAGGCCTTCCTACCTCATTCCATCCTGGATTTAGGGACACTTTGGTTATTTCTGAGGATTTTGTACAGATTTAGAATTTTTTTCCATGGAGAGATTCCCTTTCCAATTCACTGGCCAAACGCTGCAAAGTTTCGAAGAGGCTCGTACCCATGTATGCCCGCACAGGCAGGGGAAAGGGAGCCCCCGGGAGCTCTGTGCTTTAAAAGGGCAGTTTCTCGTGTTCTGTCCTTCCCGAGTCCAGTGTTTTTTAAACGACTGGTTTTTGCACCTCCAGCCAAAGTCTTACATGAACTTGTCACATGAGAGAAGTCCTACGTACACTCAGCAATATGTAACAGTTAAGGGATTTTGCTTTTATTTAATATTACTGGCACTTTTTTTAAGCTACCATATCACAATAATCAGAATTCCAACCCTAAATCCTTAAAATATAGCTGGAGTCTCTGCTCTCGGACTTAAGAGGCAGCTGGCATTGGGATCAAATGTGCGGCCTCTGGACAGGCACAGCTCTGCTTCCCAGCCGCCACCCTGAGGTTTCCAGGAGATGGCAATGGATGGGGTGCTCTGGCCCCGGGGCCTGGCCGCAGGCAGAGATCAGTTCATGAAGGCAGAGCTGGTTATGTGGCAGATCCTCCCAGGGGTACAAATGGCATCACAGGATTTTCAACAACTTCATTGCTTACAGGTGAGGAAACGGAGGATGGAAAGGTTTAAGGGACATGGCCGGCAATGACAAAGCCCAGCCTGGAGTCCTGAGGCCCCTCAGTCCAGCACTGTGTGTGTGTGTGTTTGTGGCCTCTCATCTCTGACTATACTATCAATATGAAAAGAAAAACTGCCTCGATGCCTTCTGGGGGCAGCCTGGTGGACTCTGGAAGGCTGAAGTTCAACACAGACTCTGGCTCTGCCTCACTGTGTGACTTTGAGCAAGTTTCTCAGCCTCTCTGAGCCTCTGCCACCCACCTATTAAGCAGAAAGCAGCACAGCTCTCCCCTGTGAGTACGAGCTAAGTTAACCCACGCACAGCACCTTGCACAGTGCCTGGTGCGTGGTAGAGTTTGCAGAAAGCACTATCTTAATTTTTGTTTTTATTTTCCTTTGGATACATTCTAAAAGCTTTATGAACAGACTTGGGGGCTTCCTGACTTCCTGTCTGAATCTCAGCCAATTCTGGGATCTGGGTGTGGGAAGCCTCCTTTGCCATCAGCAAGGCCTCGAAACTCAGCTGCCACCAACTCCTCTCTGGCGCCATGTCTGAACCCAGGCTGGTAAGAGTCAACGGGTCCCCTCTGGAGCCAGCATGTGCCACCTCACACTCCACAATGGGACAAGAGGCAGGCCTGCTGGATCCGGCCTGGGTCCCACCTGGCCTCTTTCAGTTATGCCTCCAGCCCCTGGATAATATTTTTAAACTTTTCAGTTAATTTTGGCACCTCCCCTAGAACAGCAGTTCTCTGAGTGAGATCCTTAGACCAGCAGCATCTGCATCAGCTGGGAGCTTGTTAGGAGTTAAAATTCTTTGGCCTCAACAGTAACCTACTGAACAGAACGTGGGGGTGGACTCAGCAGTGTGGGTTTTAACAAGTCCTCTGAGTGATTCTAACACACGCTGCTCTAGAACAGTTTTTTATTTAAATAGAGAAGAAAAAAGAACAATTTCTGGTCATCAGGGAATAACAGAAGGCTTGTAGGACCCAGGCCAGGCAAGCCCCATCCCTTCCATTGATTGGCTGATGGCTCTGGGTGAGTGCCTTCCTTCCTTCTCAGTCTCCAGGGCTGGAGCAGGGACCACAGCATCTGCCTCACAGGCATGCCAGGGGGTCAAAGCAGAGAGGCTCACTCGGGCCCAGCTTAGAGCCTGGCATGGGGAGGAGGCTCAGGAAGGAGGAGCTGCATCATGACACAGAGGTCTGCTTTGGACAAACCATAGGCCTTTCTGGCCCCCACATCCTGTATGTTAAAAAAAAAGTGCAAATCTGATGCAAATTGGTCCTTTAAAAGCCCTGGCCTTGTCAGCCATTCCCTTCCCATTCAGGTAAAACTGTAATGCCACAACAAAAAGTTGAACACAGTAGTATACTAAACATACTTAACACCTAGATACGTAGAAAAGCACAGGCCTAGATGGCTGCAGGGGTGAATTCTATCAAATGTTTGAAGAAGAATGAATATCTAACTCTTTCAAAAAGTAAAAGTGCAAAGAACACTTCTCAACTCATTCTGTGAAGCCAGTATTACCCTGACACTGAAACCAGACAAAGATATCATATGAAAACTACAGACTAACATCCCCTACAAATATAGATGCAAAAATTCACAACACAATACTAGAAAACCAAATCCTGCAATATATAAAAGAACTATATGCCATGAGCAAGTGAGATATATCCCAGGAATGCAAAGTTGGTTTAATATCCCAAAATCAATCCATGTATTATACCATATTGATGGAATAAAGGATAAAAACCACATGACCAGTAAATAGGTACAAAAAAGACATGTTACAAAATCCACCAGCCTTTCATGATAAAAACACTCAGTCAGCTAAGAATGAACAGAAGGGACTTTCACAACCCAATAAAGAGCATCTACCAAAACCCCACAGCTAACATCACTCTCAATGGTGAAACATTAACGCTTTCCCTTAAGATCTGGAACAAGACAAAGATGTCTGTTCTTGTCAATTCTATTCAACATTGGACTTGAGGTTTTAGTCAGGGCAACTAGGCAAGAAAAAGAAATAAAAGGCACCCAGATCAGAAAAGAATAAGTAAAATTATCTATTTCCCAATGACATGATCTTGTATATAGAAAATGCTAAGGAATCTACTAAAAAAACTATTAGAACTAATAAACAATTTCAGCAATGTGGCAGGATACAAGCTTAGTATACAAAAATTAACTGTATTCCTATACGCTGGCAATGAACAACGTGAAAATGAAATAAGAAAACAACCGGATATAGTCTAGAGGATGCAAGTACCTTTTTGCACCACCACTGGATCAGCATGATCATTAATAATGAATCGTAGAAACAGCCAGTATGCACAGGCACCAGCCCCATGCAAGGCACTGAACCAGGCCCTTTCCATGCAGCATCTCCTTCAATATTCACAAGAAATGGAGTTCTCCCCATCTGACATATACAGAACCTCTGGGGTGAAGAGGTAAAGTAACCTGCCCAAGTCACAGAGCTGATTAGTGGAGGCACCAAAATTTGAACCCAGACAGTTTGACTCCAATATTCATGCCTTGTCCCTGCACTGAGCTCACACAGCCTTCACAGTCCCAGTGGTTCTTGGCCTGGGGTGCTCTCAAAAATATCCATACCTAAAAAAAAAAATTACCATATGGTCCCAGAATTCCACTTCTGGGTATATATTCAAAAGAATAAGAGCTGGGTCTTGAAGAGATATTTGTGCACCATGTTCACTGCAGCATTATTCACAATAGCCAAGAGGTGGAAACAACCTATATTTGTGTGCTAGGCTGCTACAACAAACCACTACACACTGAGTGGCTTAAATATCAGAATTTTTTTCCTTGCAGTTCTGGAGGCTGGGCATCTAAGGTCATGGTATTGGCAGGGTTGGTTTTAATATAAGATCCTCCTTGGCTTGTAGACCCTGCCTTCTTCCTGTGTCTTCACATGGTCATCCCTCTGTGTATGTCCATGTCCTAATATCTCCTCATAATCACACCAGTCATATTGAATTAGGGACCATCCTAATGACCTCAGTTTAATGTAACCACCTCTTTACAGGCCGTATCTCCAAATACTGTCACATTCTGAGGTACTGAGGATGAAGGCTTCGACATAGGAACTTTGGGGGGACACATTTCAGCCCATAGCACGTTGCAAGTGTCTCTCAATAGATGAATAGACAAATAAACTGTGGTCTATACATTCAGTGGAATATTCAGCTTTAAAAAGGAAGGAAATCCTGACACACGGTATAAGATGCATGAACCTTGAGGACATTACACTCAGTGAAATAAGCCAGTCACAAAAATAACGGAGAAGTCAAACTCATAGAGACAGAAAGTCGAATGATAGCTGCCAGGGGCTGGGGGGAGGTTGCGGGGGGATGAGGAATTGTTGTTTAACAGCATAGTTTCAGTTTTGCTTAATGAAAAAGTTATTTATTTTGAGACAGGGTCTCACTCTGTTGCCCAGGCTAGAGAGCAGTGGCACAATCATGGCTGACTGCAGCCTTGACCTCTCGGGCTCATGTGATCCTCCCACCTCAGACCCCAAGTAGTAGTTGGGACTACAGGCATGTGTCAACACTCCCAGCTAATTTTTTATTTTTTGTAGAGACAGGTTTTCACCCTGTTGCCCAGGCTGATCTTGAACCTCTAGGCTCAAGCGATCCTCCCGCCTCAGCCTCCCAAAGTGTGGGGACTACAGGCATGAGCCACTGTGCCCAGCTGAAGAAGTCCTGATAATAGACTGTGGTGATGGTTGCATGACAATGTGAATGTACTTAACACTACTGGACTGTACACTGAAAAGTGGTTAAGATGGTCAATGTTATGTTACATGTAGAGGATCTGAGGTAGGTGATCTGGCCTGCGGTGGGGCACAGATGTTGGTATTTTTCTAAAGCAGCCAAGGTGATTCCAGTGGTGGAACAGGATTTGAACTTGGGTCTGAACTCCAAAGTCCTCCCTCTCCCTACCGTACACTTGAGGTGACATGAGGAGATGGCATGAGAAACTTCTCTACCTCATTAAAGGATGAGAATTTCTAAAAGACCAGCTATTGAAATACAATCACTTATGAGCCTAATTCAGTTTTTTTTTGTTTTTGGGGGGATGGAGTTTTGCTCTTGTTGCCCAGGCTGGAGTGCAATGGCATGATCTCGGCTCACTGCAACCTCTGCCTCCTGGGTTCAAGTGATTTCTCCTGCCTCAGCCTCCCGAGTAACTGGGATTACAGGAGCCAACCACTATGCCTGGCTAATTTTTCTGTATTTTTAGTAGAGACAGGGTTTCACCATGTTGGCCAGGCTGGTCTCAAACTCTTAACCTCAAGTGATCCACCTGCCTCAGCCTCCCAAAGTGCTGGGAACAGAGGTGTGAGCCACCGCACCAAGCCTTAACTCAGTTGTGTTTTTTGTTTTTTTGTTTTGTTTTGTTTTGGTTTGGTTCGGTTTTTTATTTTAAAGGCACACATCAGTAAGTAACAAGGAAATAGTAACTGGCTGTCCATGCAGAACACATCTGTGCCAGTCACGGAAACATGGGAGAATGTCTGGGCAATGGCCTGGTGAATTAATAGCTGAGGCCAGGCTGGGCTCTGACTGACAGCCTCGTCTGTCTCCCAGGCTCTGCTGGCCCAAATGTCTTCCATGTGGTCCTCAAGAGCCTCCCATTGTGTCACTCCTATGACTAGATGGCTCCAAACGGTCCCCCAGGCTCAGGATCCAGCTCAAGCCTGCTGGCCAGGCAAACAAAGCCCTAACCATCTGCATCCACGGCCTCTGAACACTCACTCTCCCCCACCGGGTCCACACCAACTCTCAGGCCACCTAGGTGTGGGTTCTGTCTCCGCACCTGCCTCTGCCCAGAGGGCCCGGCCTGGGTCTGCACACTCTCTCCTCAGCTCACAAGTCTCTCCCATCACCTGCTGCAGGGCACCCAAGCTCTTGTGCTTCCCTCTGACATGGCCACCCTGGCCTCACAGGGCTGGCATCAGACTTGTTCCCATCCAATTGTTCATTCATTCAACAAATATTCATTGAGCCTCCCCTCTGTATGGAGGATGCTGTTCTCAGCACTGGGAACACAAAACAGACAGAAATCCCTATCAGCCTTGAGCTCACATTCTCTGAATTTTCATTCCTTAGGAGCAAGGACCGTGTCTTAGTCATCTTTGTGCTCCTAGGACCAACCACAGGTACTAAGCAGGTGCTCAGAGAATAGCGAGTGCAGAAGTGAAAATTAGGCCTGATCTCCACTGCTAAGCAGCTTTCTGAAGATGTCCTGGGTTGGGTAACACATACCTGCTAACTGGACTCTCGTGTACCCCCAAGTTGAATAGCAGCTGGAGTGGACTGATATGATGGCTGTGGTGCGTCTGTTTCAGACCAAGAGCAGGGCAACTGCATTTCCTGGTGAGATGCCCCAGGAGGCAATTTACCTACAGTCTTGAAGGCTGGCTCATGCCCAGAACATTTTCCTAGCGCAGAAGAGTCACCATTTTGCATTCCTTTCTTCCTAAGCAAATGAGGACTTCAAGCCTCAGCCTCAGGGCTCCAGGAAACACATATACTCATTACTGTTCCCCACAGTCCTTCGAGATACACAGGACACCACTTGGAATCGGAATGCTTTGTGTGGGCACGGACTCTGCGCCGGGCGCATCCTCCTTTTCAAGGTGGCAGGAGCCAATTTCTTTCACTTTTTCACCCAGTTCCATTCACCAGCATTTCCTGGTGCGCTCCCCTTGTGGGAAACAGGAGCAGAGGAAGAAGGGAGGATGCAGGCTGAGCCTGCAGGAGCCCCAATAAACGGCAGCCCTGCGTTCTTGTTTATTGTTACTTGTTTATCACTGTGCCTCCAACTCCCACCCGCACACCCATCACACCCGAGGCTGCAAGGCCCAGGCAGCCAGGACCTCGTCTGCCAGCATGACCACAGCATCCTCAGGCCTGGCCTAGAAGAAGCCCCCGTTTTATTTATAAATGGACAGATGGACATCCACGCACAGGCATGTAGAAAAAAGGAGGAGTATTTTCTAGCCAGGGCATGGGGACTGGGTGTGGTGAGACGGGGAGGAGTCAAGAAAGACATCTGAGTTTCTGGCCCAGGTGCCAAGGTGGTGCCACGGATGCTTTAGGTTTGCAGGGGGGTGGCGGGAGTTGAATTCCAAGAGGCCGTGTAACCCGCAAGAACACACCCCCAGGAAACAGTGGCCGGGTTTGCACTGACTTCGGCCACAGCCTTAGAGAAGGGCCACTGGGGCTGGACAGCTGGGCAGGACTGAGCTGAATGCTTTGTCGGGTCTTTTTAAAATAAGTAAGCTTTTTAACTACATACAATTAAATTAAAATGAGTGATTTTAATAAAAGTAAAATCACGCTAATCAAATAAAAAATGTGAGAGTTTCAGAAGAGAAGACACAATAAGTGTTTACTCTCCCCACAGGCCAACACTAAGGGCTTTCTCCCAGGAGGAAGAGACAAGCGGAGAAGAACTGCTTGGCCCAGGCCCACCCAGGCCACCCACAGCTGACCCTCGCCATCTGTCGTAGGAGAAACCTCACCAGATCCAGGTGAGAAAGTGGAGTCCCAGTGAAATCTAGGGATGTGGTCCGAGACCAGCGAGTAAGAAATACTGAATTTGGGACCTGAAACCAACTCGCACTCGAAATCCCAGTTTGCTACACACGTGGTCAAGATAGAAAGGATGTCCATTTCATCTCTCTTCTGAAGATTAAAGAAATAGGGCAAAAAGTTCCTAATTTAACATTCAATATTTATATTGGCTCATAAAGTCCAAAGTATATCAAGTTCCCTTTCTCCCTGCAGGGTTTTTTTCTTCTGATCTGGCCAGGGCCCTGCACCTCTTGACCCCCCACCAGCACAGAGCAGCCCTCCTTTGCTACCGGGCTGGGGAAGATGAGGCCTAACGCTTCTCGCCCAGGCTCGAAAGCATCTCAGCAACTGCATCAGGCTGATGGTCAAGATCCTAGAAGGCTGCCCCAGTGACCTCTCCCTTCCAACTCCCAGCTCTCCCCACCCATGGCCCACCCTCCAGCTGGGCTTCTCCTCCTGCCTCTGCTCTGCACCTTCCACTGCCCCTGCTTACCAGGAACGTCACCCGCCAATTCCAAATCTCCCCTTGCCTAAATCTCACATCCTCCAAGGTCAATTACACACTCATTCTTCCAAGAAACACGCCTACAAGTTTGTGGAGCGCCTGCCATATGCCAAGCTCTGGGGAAGAAAGTGAATGATACAGGTAGTGCCCCCTTCGGCTACTTCCCCACAGCACAGAACATTCTCCTCCATCAGAGAGAGAGAGAGAGAGAAGAAAGTGCTGGCACAGGCCCCATGCTTTGGGCTTATGTATATTAGCTCAGTAATCTTCATAATTCTTTGAAGGAGGTGCCAGCTTCCCTCCCACCCAACCTCCCAGTACAGAGAAGGAGAAACACCTCAGAGAAAGCAAGCAGACTGCGGAGACCAGGGGCTGAGGTTGGCCCCCGGTGTCAGCTTCTAACTAAAAGCCTTACTGTGCAGCGGGCTTCTCAAGGACAGTGTCCACGGTTCATCCACCTCTACGTCCCCAGGGCCCTGTCCGGGGCCTGACACAGCAGGTACACAGCCCTGTTTGCTGAACTGAGTGGTTTCCGCATCCAGGAATAGACACCCGCTTCTTAATCCCTGCCTCGGAGGCAGCTCCCACGGCGCTCAACGGACTCCTGACCTTCATGAACAGACCACGGGGCCGGCAGCACCTGCATCAGCGTCTGTCTGGCTTCCTCTTCAAAACCCAACAGACTCCATCTGGGCCCCAGAAAACTGCCCTGATGCTACAGGTAGGAAGAAAAATCTTTTAAAAGCACGTTAAAAGGCAGGCCTCTAAAATCAGCTTCCTAGACCATGGCGGGAAGAAGAAAACAGGCAAGAAATTTCCGCATCCCAGCTTCAAGCTCCTCCACTTGAGCAAGACAGTAATAATGTCTGCCACCGGAAGACACCCAGTGCAACACCTGAAGCAGTCAGCGTTGAGTGTGCCCAGGTGACACACATTTACAACCCCACCAGTGGGTCCCTGTCATCCACCAAAAGCAAAACACCTGGTGAAGGCTGCTGGGGATGGCAGCTCTTTCTCCCCAAGCTTTGGCTTCTATGTGACCTTGTGCAGCGCCCCCGCCATACCTTCCCCAGTCTCCCACTGTCTCCAGGCTGTGGCCCAAGTACTCTGGTCTGGCATTCAAGCTCCTGAGCTTGTCTCCTGCTGCCCTCCCAACTGTGACACGGCCATAGCACCCTACATGCCAAAAATGAAAACAATGGCCACCATGTCTATGTTCCATACAGGACCTCATTTAATCCTCTCCACAACCCTATGAAGTTACTTCTGTAATTATTCCCACTTTCCCTACGGAAAAACTAAGGCTTAAGAAGTGTCTGCAACTTTCTCAAGATCTCAAGCCCAGCAATAGCAGGGCCAAGATGAAAGATGAGATCAGACTCCCATGTTCTTCCTCACTGCACCACAAAATACTGCCTCCAAATCCCCAAATGCTCAGCGCCCTCTCTGAGGTGCCTCCATGCCTCTGCCCAAGCTGTTCTCTCTGCCCAGAAGGCCCTCTGCTTGCTTACCCACCATTCTCACCACCCCAGACCTGGCCAACTCTAGCCTCAATGTCACCTCCCCTAAGTCTTCCTAGAGCTTCCCATGCCCCACCTAGTTGCACTCACAGCACTGTGACCTTCACAGCCGCATTTAAGCTCAGAGTCCTCCAGTCCTCCTGGCTGGAACCACCTGTTCTCCTGTCTGCTGTTCAAGTTCTTTGAAACTTAGAGTTGAAGGTGGATCTCAATAGCCATTGAAGCTGGACGGCAAAGTGGCTAAGGGTATGGAGTGAGACCTTAGGCCAGTGAGTCCTTCCACTTGTCTAGATCTGTTTCTTTACCTGTAAAATGAGATTATCCAATAACCATACCAAACTCATAGTGTTGTTATGAGAATTAAACAAGACAATATAAGTAAAAGCAGTGAGCACAGTGCCAGGTACATGACATTGACCTTCCCTGAACATTAGCTGCTGTTGTTATGATGACTTTTACTTGGTAACCACTACGGGGCTCGCCACTATGCCTGATACACTGTTACCACTTAATAAAGGTCTCAGGGTTGGAAAGGAGAAAGGAAGCAGGCGAAGGAGGAAGGAAGGGAGGGAAGAAGAAAGAGACAGGGGAAGGAAGAAGGGAGAGAGGAAGGAAGAGAGGGAGGGTGGGAAAAGAGGAGACAGAGAGAGAGTGAGAGAGAGCAGGGAGGGAGGAAGTCAAATCAACTCGGAATAAAACTATCTAACCAGCAAACGCTGCTCTAAATGGGAGTAAAAAGGTGAAATTTCTTCCACTTGAGGCCATGACCTCCCACTGGGACTCTGATCAAGAGTCCTCACTCACTCATCCAAGCCTTCCTTTCTTCCTCTTTGGTGGAGGCTGCATTACCTAAGCCTGTAGCCCCAGCTCCTAGAACCGCCCTCACCCAGCCCCACCACCAACTGGCTGGGGAGCTGCCTGCTGCTCTGCATCCTATGATCAGAGATAAGGCCTGGCATTGGAAGAGTTTGTGTCCGCACGAATAAAAGGCAGGCAGTCTCTAAGAGAAAACCCGACCTCTGATCCTGATGCCGGGGAATATTTATGTGACCCTTTAACCCCTATATTTAAACACTAGTTCTTTGATCCCAATACTCAACACTTCACTCTTGCAGCAGATCTTTGCAATATTCTCACAGAAGTGGGCATCCTGGCCGAGTGTGGTGCCTCATGCCTGTAATCCCAGCACTTTGGGAGGCTGAGGTGGTTGGATCACCTGAGGTCAGGAGTTCGAGACCAGCCTGGCCAACATGGCGAAACTCTGTCTCTACTAAAAATACAAATATATATATATATATATATACATATATATATATAGCTGGGCATGGTGGTGGGCTCCTATAGTGCCAGGTACTCAGGAGGCTGAGGCAGGAGAATCACTTGAACCCAGGAGGCGGAGGTTGCAGTGAGCCAAGATCACGCCATTGCACTTCACCCTGGGCAACAAGAGTGAGACTCCGTCTCAAAAAAACAAAAAGAAGTGGGCATCCCTTAGCCCCAATTCTAGGAAACCCACATCACCTTCCTGTTAACCTGAGCTCAGTCTGTTTTTCTGTGACCAGCCCCACCCATGCACATCCCCCTCCCCTACCTGCCTGAAGACTACACAGGCAGATTCACACTTGCCAGCCAAGGCTTCAAAATCAAGCTCTACCAGACTCTCCTGGCATCCAGCTCACCAGAGGCCAACACCTGCTCACCATTCGACAGCACCCTGATTCCTACTCAGAGGCCCCAACGTCCCTGCCTCTCAGCCTCAGCTCCAGGGGTCTTCCCCGAGCCTGGCCTCCTTCACACAGGCCTTGGTCACAGGCAGATCTGGGTGAGAAGAGGAGCCACGCTGAGCATCAGGAGCCCTGGGATTTGAAGCCCCTTCTTCTCTCCACAGCCTTGTGACCCTGGCCCTCTCTAGGCTTCAATTTCATGTTTTGAAAAATGAGCACTGGAGCCAACGGTGTTTCCCAAACCTCAGTCATCAGTTGCCGCCGCTGTGACTTCTGCATAAAATGCATGGTTCTTCTTTTCTTAAAATTAGCTTTCCGGAGGTGTAATTTGCGCTGTAAGAGGGTGCACCTCAGACAGCCCTGACAATCTGGAGAGAGAACGTTTTGTGGAAGGCCATCATGTTCCCGTGTGCCCCTCGGCACCTTACCTTTATGTGCTTAGTACTTTTCTTTAACACTACTGACTTTTGAAAAACCTGTACACTACTTCAGCCTTATTCTAAGCAAAAATATCCCCCAAATCATAGGCTTCAGGTGCTATATTTTATAACTATAAGATACAGTTATATTTTCCCTAATGCACACTAAAGTATTATTAAAATAAATTATGTTTGGCTACTGTCACCTAAAATCTCACATCGCAACACTGGTGAGCACTCTCACTGAGAAATGCGGAACCAGCTACCCGCTCCCTGAGGCCCCTTTTGGCTGGGAAAGTCTGGATCCTGCCTCTTACTTGTCACAGAGTCTGCCCAGGTCTTGTATGCGGCAGATGTTTACTAAATACTGGCTGCTGAACCAGAGTGAGAGTTCAAGGCCATCTCTGCAGCCCCCAGACCATGCCTGGCTGACTGCATCCTGCTGCCTATGGTGAGAAGGCACAGGCTTGTGTCCTGCAGAGCTGATAAACCCTGCACTCAGGGAGACACTGACCCTCGCAGGAGGGAAGACAGAGCGGAGCTGGACACAGGCGGAGGCTGAAGAAACAAGCAAATCACTGGACGTGCAGAGAGGCTGCACTGGGGAGAGTTGCTCCTATTTTAGGCCATTGAACTACTTTAATAATTCGGTCATTTTCACATCAAAACCATTGCAAGGAAAACCCCCTAGGATGTTAAATCTGCATGCCCAGAAAGGATTTACCACAAAGAGCGTGAAGAGAGTGGTCCCCTTCCAAGTCCCCATTTCACAACAAGCTAAAAACCGAACAGAAGCCTTTAGTTCCCTGAGTGATTGGACAAGGAATTTGTCAGATGTCTATAGTCCTTTAAAAAAAAAAAAAAGCAGGGGGGATATAAAAGGAAGAGGATGCATTTCAGCCTTGAAAAAGGCAATACCGAAAAGGCAGACACCAAGAAACTTAGCAAGGCTTCCAAGAGCCCAACACGCACAGCCCACTGCACGCAGGGACTGTGCCCAACTCTGCAGCCCTGGCAAATGGAATTCTTTTCAATCCGGCCCGCTGAACCCCTCTTTCAGTTTACTTACTACCCAGCCCACTCCTAACTCCCCACCCCCAGCCATCATGAACTACAGACAGCACCCTAAACATCCTGTTCTGCCTTTGTATCCAGTGGACAGTCCTTCCTTCCTCCTCCACTTGGGAAGCTCCTATTCATTCCTCGAAGGCCTATTCATCCATCGCCTCCCACAGGAAGCCCCCTGAGACCCTCTCACTCCACAAACCAACACAGAGCACGCAGGGAAAGGTGCGGGGTAGGGTGGGGGGTCTTAGCTGGGGTGGAGCCTGAGCCTCAGAGGCTTCCTTCCTTGTCCTGTGGATAAAGGAATTTAAAGCTCATTCCCGAGCAGTGGGAAGACAGTCGGGAGATGCCAGCCCAGCCTGCTGGGAAGATACTTCTGGTGACAGTGTTGGGGTGTGCTGAAATTGGATCTGTGACAATGCAGTTGACTCTCCGCTATCAAAAGGCCTACACATGAATGCCTGGCTGGAGCTTCCCTCCGCAGTGACCCTGGTGTGCCCACGAGGAGGACGAATGCTCCTCCTAAGGAGGAAACAACATTCCCTCCTCTGCGCTCAACGCCTTTTAATACCAGCAACCACCACTCAACCACCACCACCGCGAATGTTTACCCAGCCCTTATCCTGCGTCAGCTCTGCTCCAAGCACTTTATATTTAACCCTCAAGAGAACCCTAAAACATAGGTATTCTAGAGATTTAAAAAGTATGGAAAGGCTAAAACACTTGTCCAAAAGTGCACAGCTACTAAGCGGGACTCAAATCCAGACAGTTTGGTTCCAGGGTGGGTTATGGTGGTTGGAAAAATGACAGCAAACTCCTAACTGGCTCTGAAAACTTCTAAACGCCCAGCGCTGCTACCTGATTTCCCCTAAAGAACTCACGGAGGATTTACGCGCATATTCAGCTGCAGGGACATGCACGGATGTGCTGTTTACAACAAGGAAAATAAGCAGCCAACTAAATATTTGCTAAATATTCACCAACAACTGTATGTCCCATGGCACATTTATAGAACGGGATATTATAGTGTCCTTTAAGCTGAAGCTCTATCATCTCAAATTTTGCTCTGAAGGCCTGTGTATCCTGATTCCCAAGTGTGCTTGCTAACATGCAGCCTTCCTGGGTCCTGCCCTAGACCTCATGAATGGCACTCTCTAGAGGTGGGGCCTGGCAATCTTAAGTTTGCACATACATTTTTCTGTGCGGTAATGTGTGAGAACCGCTGCTGGGGATGAATATCTACTGCCACGGAAAGGGTCAGCTCTGTGACTTCTGTCCGTGGTGGGTTCCTCAGTGCGTAGAACAGTGCCCAGCACAATAATGGATCTTCAAGAAATATTTGGTGATCCAGAAAACCCATCCATCAACAAACTATTCTGAAATAATCTGTTGGCATTTCTAAATACCTGACCCATCTGTGTGTTTCTTGGGAGCAGAGACCGGGAACATCTTCTCACCGTACCACGCCCGGCACAGAGCCAGCCAGCCACGCGCAAAGCCAGCCCTCGGAAGTGGCCCGCCAACACAGGAACAAGCGAATGCCACTGTATCACACTGATCCTAAGTTAACGTTTCTGAAATCAAGATTCATCTCACATTCAATGCCCCATCATCATTTAATGAATAGCACTTTTTCCCATTTCTTTAGTGGTACAAAAATAATGATGCATGTCCCAATTGACAGCAGCTTAGATTTAATAAAATACGGTACCTAACAGAGTCCAGAATTCTGATTTAAAAGTTTAAATTAGCTGCCAACACAGCTAACAGATTGTTGTGCATTTCCTTTCTTATAATTTGCAGAAATAAATCCAGAGCCATCTGTTCTGAGCGTTCGGCTTCAGCCCCCAGTCATCCTGGTGACCCAGGGCTTAGCTACTGAGATGCAACTCAAAGATCTGATGCATGTGGAAGGCTTTCATCTGTCTTCACCCAGGAAATGTCTGACAGCATCCGCTGAGATGTGGGAGCTAAAATATCTCCTTCATTGAAGGCTGTAGGATGTACAAGAAAGGTCAGTTCTGGGCTAGACCTTGGTTACATCCCAGCTCCACTGTCCCCAGATGTCTGGTCTTGGGAATCTCATGGCCACACCTGGCACATGGACATGGTCTGCCCATGATAGGTGTTGGTCACGTTACAATTGTTCAGTAGACCCACACCCCATTGGCCAACAGCCACAGCCCTGAATTTTCTATAACAAGTTCCATGGCTAGTGGTTTGAATGCGTCCCTCAAAGTTCACTGTTAATCCCCAATGCACCAGTGTAAAGAGGGGGGACCTTTAAGGGGTGATTGGGTCATGAGGGCTCTAACCTCATGAATGGATTAATGCCATTATTGCCGGAGTGGATTCCTGATAAAAAGCTGAGTTCAGCCCCCTTCTCAGCTCTCTCTCTGGAACTCTCTTGCCCTGCTGCCTTCTGCCATGAGATGTGGCAAGAAGGCCCTTGCCAGATGCAGGTCCCTCCACCATGGACTTCCCAGCCTCCAGAACTGTAAGAAACGCATTTATTTTCTTTATAAACTACCCAGGTGGTGATATTGTGTTATAGCAACACAAAATGGACTAAGACGAGTGCACCTGGGCAGGTTACTCCCTCTGCAAAAAGGCGCACGGGATGGGAAGCTGGCGCACAACACAGGGTTGTCCCAAGAACCAAATGAGATTAAATTGAAAGCTCTCTGAAAAGCAGCAATTTCTATGGTAATTCAGGTAATTTGTGATATTTAGGAAGCTACAAATTATAGATATAAGAATCTTCAAATTTTCAAATCAAACTTCAGCGTACACTTTCCGTAACACCTTTTTTGACTAAGAATCCATCATTTTCCTAACTTTTTCATAAGCCACTGGCACAGACCATCACAACTCAGAACCGGGATCTCCGAGCTACAATCCCACCAGAATCCCAGCTCAGCCATCTTCCCCAGCGTAGCCCTGGACATGCTACCTAACCCCTGCTTTCTCCTGTTTAAACTGGTGCCAGTTGTCTGTGGTTTCACATTCACTGAGCAGGTTAGATATGCCTCTCCGTAAACACCAGCCATGAAGCAGCACACCCAGTAGGGTGTGAGTGAGGGACCGTAGAGTCGAGAATTCTGATGAAAAAACTTAAATTAGATGCCAACACAGCTAACAGATTGTTGTCTATTTCCTTTCCTTGGGCTCTGTTAGAACCAAGGGTGTCTTGCTTTGCATCAGCAGCACTAACTCCTGATGCAACAGCTTTCTTTCTATGGATCACTTCATTCTCCCAAAGAACACAGCTTCTACAACTTCAGAAGAGTTATCTGGGCCACATTTCCAGGGCTATGTGCTATGAGGTAGGGCTCAAGCTGTCGGCCAGCGCCGTCCCTCTCCCTGTGTGAGACGCTGGTCAAGTTACTCCTGCTCTCTCTACCTCCTCTCCTGACCTGGAACGCAAGGATGGGGAGAACGGATCGCCTCACAGTGTGGAGGGCAGACCATGCTGTAGGTCATGCAGTGCACGCTCCATACATCCCAACTTTGCCCTGCGGATACTACATGCTTCTCACCAGGGGTCACAAGCTCAGCTATGAAGCACTTGAAAGCCCAGAACCTAACATCATAGGGATGGTAGTGGGATGGGGTGGTGTCTGCCTCCCAGTCTGTATCCATGTAGGAATCTCAGTGATGGCCACAGGTGAACGTGGCTCCAGGAAGGCTTCCAGAGGCAGGACCCCTGCGATGTTCACCTGGCCACCCACAGCACAGGCCTGGCTGGATGAGATGGAGAGCAAATTTTGGAGTAAAATAAAGGGCTGGGGCTTGGGTTTGAAGTCACAGGTGGAACATGATTCACTGGAAAGAAAGGATGAGGTATTCCAGAGGGCCTGCGGGAGTGGTCAACTCCATCCCATAGGGCCATTTCTCCACCCCCCACCCCCACCAGCCCCAGCTAGTAGTCATCATTTCCACAAAGGAAGTCCATCTTTTTAGGTTAGGAAAGAAAATTTGGTTTGAAAATTTATTGGATAAAAATAGGGCAATTCGATTGATCAATGAGGCAGAAGAGAAAGCCCAAAAACAGATCCAAGGATGTACACAGGAATTTAAAACACATACTGGGCCGGGCGTGGTGACTCACACCTGTAATCTCATCACTTTGGGAGTTTGAAGCAGGAGGATCGCTTGACCTCAGGAGTTCGAGACCAGCCTGACCAACATGGTGAAACCCCATCTCTACAAAAAATACAAAAATTAGCGGGGCATAGTGGCATGCACCTATAGTCCCAGCTATTCAAGAGGCTGAGGTAGGAAGATAGCTTGAGCCCTGGAGGTCTAGGCTGCATTCAGCCATGATGGTGCCACTGCACTCAAGCTTGGGTGACAGAGCAAGATCCTGTCTCAAAAAAAAAAAAAATTAATAAAAAACCACACATAATGGTGAAAAAATAACAGCTGACCAATAAACACTGGATTAACTCTGGACAAAAGACTAGCTATTTAGGAACGAATAAAACTGGATAGCCACCTACAGCCTCACAGCAAAACAACTTTCTCATGTGGATTACAAATTTAAATACAAACAGAGAAACCACAAATCTGCTAAAAAAAAAATACTTAAAGACTCTGGAGGAGGAGAGAAAAGGTGTAAGCATCTACAAAAGGCAAAAATTTTAAATCTCTGTACAGCAAAAGCATCATCATAGAGCAAAAACATCAAACCACAAGTTGGAAGAAAAAAATCTGTGACACATAACAAATCCCAGGTTAATATTCTTAATAGATTAAGAGGTTTCAGAAGTCAAAATTGCTTTAAGCAGCATGCAAGTGGAAAAAAAAAATAGTGTAAATAATGGAGAAACAATTCTCAAAAGAAGAAACGCAAATGGCCAATACACAGACAAGATGTTCAGCCTGCCTGGTAACTAAAGAAACAAGAACCAGGATACAAATTTTCACTCATCACATTGGCAAAAATGTTAAAGATTTGCTGTTGGCAAGGTTCTGGGAAAGTGCTATTCTCATTCACTCTTGGGTACAAACTGGCACATGTTTTCTAGGGTGCCGCTGGGCAATTTCTATTCAATGTGGACTGCTTTCGCTAATAGCTTCACTCTGAAAATCTATCCTAAGGAAATAATCCACAAAGATGGGCCTGGCAAGAGACTGGTTAAATAAATCATAGTATATCCAAACCATGGGGGCCTCAGAGATGTTCATCATACCTGCTGTAGGGAAAGTGGGTCACAAACAACATGATCCCATTTTTCATGGAGAAAAGCCCACATCAGACACTCACGGACGTCACAACCCTAATGATCAGGATTAAAGCAAGAAGGTGATTTCCTTTTGGGAGTAAGGGAATCAGGCTGTTTGAAGAAAAGAGAGTTCTTAGAAAGAGAAGGTGGAATGCTCCTAACGAGGACAGGGAAAGTAAAAAAGAACTGAGGAAACAGGAGAGGGTAAGTTCAGGCCAAGAAAACAGAGAAGAAATTAGGTCAGAGAGAAAAACATCAAGGGCACCCAGCAGGTGAAAGTCAAAATGTCAGGTATGAGATGTAACTGATGGGATTTTTAGAGTCCTCCCAAATTGCTGGGTGAAGGAAAGTGCCAAAAAGCATAATGTTCTTTCCTCTATACCAGCAACAACCAATTAGTGGATAAAACTGGAAGACGATCCCATTTATAACCAAATTAAAAGGAGCTAGCAATAAATTACACAGAATGTTCAGGAAAGAGAAGAAAATGTGATTTCTTTATTAAGGACACAGAAGAAAACTGAAGTGCAAGGCAGACGGGATCACCCTCGAGCCCTCGCTTCCCTCCCGCATGCTGCATGCCCTGCTCCCTGGCCCTAGACCCCTTCCCATTCCCACCTTTTCCCAAACCCTCCTTTATCCTGGCTCCTGAAGCATCCCTCCCTCCAGGACCCCTCATCATCAGACTCTCAACACGCTTGCTCATCCCCATTCAAACAAAACATCTCTTCCTGTGTCCCCAACAGGCCAGCCTCCACGCCTCCCTGCCCCTCTACAGTCCTTCCAGATGGTCTCCACCCGTCGTCTGAAGTCTGCACTGCCTCTTCGCTTTCCTGCGCGGGGGCTTCAGCTCCCGCACCTCCACTCACCTCCACTGACTCACTGACCTCCACTCACCTCCCCTGACCAACTGACCTCCACTGACCTCCCCGACCTCCACTCGCCTACCCTGACCTCCACTAACCTCCCCGATCTCCACTCACCTCCCCGATCTCCACTTATCTCCCCTGACCTCCACTCACCTCCCTGACCTCCACTCACCTCCCTGACCTCCATTCATCTGCCCTCACCTCCACTCACCTCCCTGACCTCCACTCACCTCCCCAACCTCCACTCACCTCCTCTGATCTCCACTCACCTCCTCCGAGCTCCACTCACCTCCTCTGATCTCCACTCATCTCCCCTGATCTCCACTCACCTCCCCTGATCTCCACTCACCTCCCCTGATCTCCACTCACCTCCCCTGATCTCCACTCATCTCCCCGATCTCCACTCATCTCCCTGACCTCCACTCACCTCCCCTGACCTCCACTCACCTCCACTCACTTCCCCTGACCTCCACTCAGCTCCCTGACCTCCACTGACTTCTATGGCCTCCACTCACCTCCCCTAGCCTCCACATTGCAAGACTGAGCCCACTTTTTGTGGTCCGACCTATCTGGCTGCCCCGTGGGCTTTGGCATAGCTGGCAGGTGTGCTAAAGGAAAGGAAGCTGGCCCAATGGGAAGGTGGGAGAGCCACACCCGCCTGAACGGGGAGGTCCCCAAAGACTCTGACCAAGAAGTTATGCTGAGCTGAGCTCCAAAGAAGAAAGAAGGCAAACTCAGTGGAAAAAAAAAAAATAGAACATTCCAGATGGAGAGAGCTGGTGTACAAGCAAGGAGAAGGAAGGCAAGGAACCCACAGAGGGTCTGGGTCTCCGAGCCTTGGACTCAGGAAGTCCACCTTGCTGTCCAAGGGTGACCAGAGCCACCGGGTGCTCTGAGCAGGACTGTGTCCTCATTGGTCCTGGGGTTTGAAAAGGTCCACTCTGGATGCTGGATGCTGTGTGGAGGAGGAACTGGAGGGCCGGATTAGATGAGGTAGAACCCAGGAGGTTGTCACTGTGTCCCAGAGATAAATGGTGCAAGTTTGGGCTGGGCTTATGGTGCAGAGGTGATGAAAAACAAGATATGTTTGAAAGCTTTCTTGCTGGGACACCTGGGAGGACGTGGTGATGTACTGAACATGGGTTCAAGGAATAGGTGGGATCAAAGTTCCCCACGGTGTCTGCCTCACACCACGGGTACATGGTGCCTCCTTGATGGAGCCGAGCAGGAAGGAAAGGGGTGGATTGCACAGGCCAGCCATGAGCTCAGGCTCAGCCATGTCTGGGACGGGGTAGATTATGGGCCAGACGGGGGGCCAAGAGGTCAGCAGGGCCTCAGGGAAGGTCACCAAGGGGCTGTGAGCTTGGACCTCGTCCCACTAGAGGGCAGTGGGAGCGACTGCAGACCACTGGTCTTATGAGGAATGGGACCTCTCAGCTGCTGGAAGGCCTACCTAGGTGGTGACAGGGCCAGCAGAGGAGAGACTCACCAGGACACTGCACTGCAGCCGAGCTTGCATCTGTGCAGCTAAGGCAGCCAGAGCCTGGGAAACTCTCGGCACCCATTTTAGCCCAACCCTGGTCTTTGCTGGTGAGGGTCCTGGGGAAGTCACCTCCAGAGGCCACATGAGCCAAGTGACAGGGGCAGATGGAGCCAGGGCCCTTGGTCCCTTCTACACAATCCAGATGAGGTTACACATGTTTCATTCCAAAAAGAGAATGCAGTATTAGTGTTCTGATTAGCAGGTTAACTTGCACAAGGCAGTCATGTCAACAGGGCAAAGGCACCATCTCGTTCAACCTGCCAAGCTCAGTGTGGCACTGCCCATCTGTTAGCTCCTTAACTGTCACGACAACCTGTTAAGGGCACAGCATTACCATCATTATCATCGTTCCCACTTTACAGGTAATAAAACTGGCTCAGAAAGGTTAAGTGACTTGCCCAAGGTCACCCAGCCAGGAGCCAGGTGTGGGACCCAAGTGTTCCCCATTCCAAAGCCTGGGTCCCTAACCATCAAGGACTCTCTTGAATCCAAAGCCACTCACTGCCACTCCCTCCCATCACCAAAGAAAGCACATCTGTACTAGCCTGCGAGCAGCAAGGCTTCCAGGCAAAGCCTCATCATGACCATGTGAGGCCACAGCATCAGACACGGGAAGATGCTGGGAACATCTGGTTCTGTTGTCTGCTAATCAAATCCAGCTTCAGGGTTTGACATGACTCTCAACAGAAGAAAACAGCTGTACCCATGAGAGCTGCCAGCCCAGGGTTCTGCAGAGTTCAGACCCTGAGGCTCCCATGATGGAGGCTGTGTTAGTTTCCTGTGGCTGCTGTGATAAGTCACAGACATACCTTGTTTTATTGCACTCAACTTTATCGTGCTTCGCAGATATTACGTTTTTGACAAATTGAAGGGTTGTGGCAACCCTGTGATGAGCAAGTCTATCCGTGTCATTTTTCCAACAGCCCACCTCGTGTCTCTGTGCCACATTTTGGTAATTCTTGCAATATTTCAAACATTTCCATTTTCCATCATGGTGATCTGTGACCAGTGATCTTTAATATTACTATTGTAACTAGGGACATCATGAACCATGCCTATATAATACAGAGAAGTTAATGGATAAATCCTGGGTATATGCTGACCACTCCACTGACCAGCCATTCTCCCATCACTCCCCATGGCCTCAGGCCTCCCCATTCCCTGAGACACAACAATGCTGAAATTAGGCCAATTAATAACCCTACAATAGCCTCTAAGTGTTCAAGTATGAGTTGCATGTCTCTCACTTTAAATCAAAAGCTAGACACAATGAAGCTTCATGAGGAAGGCAGGTGGAAAGCTGAGATAAGGTGAAAGCTAGGCCTCTTGCACCAGTTAGCCAAGTTGTGAATGCACAGGGAAAGTTCTTGAAGGAAATTCAAAGTGCTACTCTGGTGAACACACAAATAATAAGAAAGTGAAATAGCCCTATTGCTGATATGGAGAAAATTGGAGTGGTCAGGGTAGAAGATCAAACCAGTTACAACACTCCCTTAAGCCAAAGCCTAATTCAGAGCAAGGCCCTAACTCTCCTGAAGGCTAAGAGATGTGGAGAAGCTGCAGAATAAAAGTCTGAAACTAGCAGAGGTTGGCTCAGGAGGTTTAAGGAAAGAAGCCATCTCCATAACATAAAAGTGCAAAGTGAAGCATCAAGTGCTGATGGAGAAGCTGCGGCAAGTTACCCAGAAGATCCAGCTAACATCATTCATGAAGGTGGCTACACTGAACAACAGATTTTCCATGCAGATGAAACAACCTTATATTGGAAGAAGATGCCATCTAGGACTTTCTGAGTTAAAAAGGAGAAGTCGATGCCTAGCTTCAAAGCTTCAGAGGACAGGCTGACTCTCTTGCTAGGGGCTAATAGAGCTGATGACGTGCCAAAGTTGAAGCCAATGCTCATTTCCCATTAGGAGATCCTAGGGCCCTGTGCTCTAAAAATGCAACAGCAAAGTTGGGATGACAGCACATCTGTCTGTAGCATGGTTCACTGAATATTTTAAACCCACTGTTGAGACCTACTGCTCGGAAAAAAAAGATTACTTTTACAATGTTATGGCTCATTGACAAGAGCTCTGATGGAGATGTAGAGGAGATTGATGTTGTTGTCATGCCTGCTAACACACCATCCATTCTGCAGCCCATGGATCAAGAAATAATTTTGATGTTTAAGTAGTATTATTTAAGAAATATATTTTGTGAGCCTATGGCTGCTGTAGATAGTGATTCCTCTGATGTATCTGAGCAAAGTACATTGAAAACCTCCTGGAAAAGATTCATCATTCTAGATGCATTAAGAACATTCATGATTCATGAGAAGAGGTCAAAATATTAACACTAACAAGAGTTTGGAAGAAGTTGATTCTAACCCCTATGGATGACTTCGAGGTCAGAACTTCAGTGGAAGTAATCGCATAAGTGGTGAGAAAAGCAAGAGAATTAGAATGAGAAGTGGATTCCGAAGATGTGAGTGAACTGCTGCAATCTCATGATCAAACTTGAACCGATGAGGAGTTGCTTCTTACGGAGTACATGAAGTGCTTTCTTGAAATGGAATCTACTCCTGGTAAAGATGCTGTGAACACTGTTAAAATGACAGCAAAGAATTTAAAGTATGATCTAAACTTAGCTGATAAGGCAGTGGCAAGGCCTGAGAGGATTGACTCCAATTTTGAAAGAAGTTCTACTGTGGGCAAAATGCTGCCAAGTATTGTGTGCTACAGAGAAATCTTTGGTGAAAGAGTCCATCGACAGGACAAACTTCATTGTCTTATTTTGAGAAATAGCCACAGCCACCCCAACCTTCAGCAACCACCACTCTGATCAGTCAACAGCCATTAACATCAAGGCAAGACCCTCCACCAGCAAAAAGATTATGTTGAAAGCTCAGATAGTCATCAGCATTATTTAGCTAAATAGCTAAAGTTGTTTTGTTTTATTTTGTTTTGTTTTGAGACAGAGGCTCTGTAGCCCAGGCTGGAGTGCAGTGGCACAATCTCAGCTCACTGCAGCCTCCACCTCCCGGGTTCAAGCAATTCTGCCTCAGCCTCCCAAGTAGCTGGGACTACCAGCTAGCTGCTACCAAGCGGTAGGTGCACACCACCACACCTGGCTAATTTTTGTATTTTTAGTAGAGACAGGGTTTCACTATGTTGGTCAAGCTCTTGAACTCCTGACCTCAAGTGACTTGCCACTTCAGCCTCCCAAAGTGCTGGGATTACAGGCATGAGCCATCGCGCCCAGCCCTAAAGTATTTTTAAATTAAGGTATGTACATTGTTGTTTTAGACATAATGCTATTGTACACTTAAGAGACTACAACAGAGTGTAAACATAACTTTTACAGGCACTGGGAAATCAAAAAATTCATGTGACTCGCTTTATTGCAATATTTGCTTTATTGAGTGGTCTGGAACAGAACTTACAATATCTCTAAGGTCAGCCTGTACCACAAACTTGGTGGCTTAAAACAACAGATTTGTATTCTCTCGCAGTTCTGGAGGCCAGAAGTCAAAATTCCTTATCACTGGGCCAAAATGAAAGGGTCAGCACCTCCTCACTCCACCCCAAGGCTCTAGCAGAGTCCACTCTCACCTCCCCCAGCTCCTGAGGGCTGCCGGCATTTCTGGGTTCGCGGACGCATCACTCTGCCCTCCACTCCACTTTCACGTCACCTCCTGGGTACCTGTCCAGTCTCCCTGTGCCTCACTCTTAGAAGGATCCTGGTCCCACTCAGAAAACTCAGGATGAGCTCCTCCTCTGAAAGTTCTCTATCACATCTTCTGCCACATAAGGTATATTCACAGGTTCCAAGAAGCATGTGGGCTTAGCTTCTGGGGGTCTCCAGCCCATGACAGATACGACATGTAAAAGCCAACCTATCTGAACCCTGGGTTCTAAATCCAGTATCATGTCCAGCTTCCTGAAAGCCTCAGCCACCTTAGATAAACCCGGCCAGGAGCCTGCCTGAAGGGCCCCTGGGCTCCCCTCCCCAGGCAAGACTGGCCCAGGTCGGGAGTGGCCCAGGCCACTTCCTGGAAAGGCAATGGCCGGAGGAGGAAGGTCAATAAGCTACCTGAAGTGAAGATGCCCCTTCCCTGTCCCACCCAAGCAATAACTGTGGCCAGGGACACAGGAGCCAGGATGTGTGCAGGCCCAGGCGGCCAGGGCTCTCTACCTGAGGCCATAGGGGTAGGAGGACCTCCTGCAGCCGCGCTGAAATCTCCATGCATAACTCTGAATAATAATGAGAACAACAGGTGTGTCATTCATTATCTACTATGTCAGGCAGCATATGCGGCATTTTATGTGAATCTTCTCTATCATGGTGTAGCCAAAGGTAGAACGAGCAGCACCATCTACAGATGGGAAAACGACAGGTGAGGTCTGTGGCAGCTGCAGGGGTGCTGCGCACTTTCGCTCAAATGGCCACAGGGCCTAAAGGCTAAAGCACAGGTTCCAGGCTCACCTCACCAGCTCTGTGGTCTTGGGCAAGTTTCTTACCCTCTCTGTGCCTCTGTGATATTCCATATAGCCACCTCCCCACTCACCTCTTCACCCCCAACTTCCCCTCCTCCACCCTGGGACAGCCACCCTTCCACAAAGCAAACCTGCCTCTGATCGTCATTCAGAATAGGGGTTATAATGACCCCTACCTCCTAGGGTCTCTCAAATACTGTATGTGCTACCCCACATCAAGTACTTGGAACAGTGCCTGGTGCGTAGGGGGTACTCAGGGTGGGCTGCTGGTATTATTAAAATTCTTGAAATCCATCGTCTTCCCCTAGACCTGCTCCTCCTTCCAGGGCCCTGCCTCCGCAAAGAGCACGATGTTCTGGCCACTCATCCAGACCCAGGGCCTGTGAGTCCACTTGGAGCACTCCCTCCCTCCCTCTTGCATCCAAGCAGTCCCCATGTCCCATCAGAGCTGGGACTTCATCTTTCATGTGGCTCCTCCTCCCCCTGACAGTGGCCCTTGTCTCCCTCCAGCCTCCTCTGCTCTGGCCTGGACCACTCCAGCCACCTCCTCACTCACCACCCTACCCTCAACTTCTCCTCCTCCACCCTGGGACAGCCACCTTCCCACAAGGCAAATCTGCCTCTAATAGTGGTTAAGGACACAGAGAGGGATGGTGTCACAGCTGTGCAACCTGGGCCACTGCAAAGGGCCCTGAGCTTTGAAGGGCCCATGCTTAGTGCTCTTCTGATGCCATCTTGAAATTCTTAACCATTTTTTAACAAGGAGCCCCAAAAACTACATAGCCGTTTCTGACAACCACCAGCCCTAACCACAGACTTCCATGGGCCGGGCACTGAGCTTAGAGTGACACGTGTCAGCTCCCTCCACCCCACCATGAATGTACTGCTATCCTCACTTTACAGATGTGAACTGCCCAAGGGCACGCGGCTTTTCCACGGCTCTATGGCTGTCTTAAATTTCACTTGTGAGCATCTCAACTTGAAAATTAAAAGACATCTGAGTGCACTGAATGCTTCGGTTTAGAGCATGCCAGAAATCAGAGCTGGCTAGGACCAGTCAGGCTGACTGCGCCAGATCGCTGCACCAGTGAGACTTTGTCTCCCAGAGCTGACAGCATGCAGACAATGAGGAGTCCGCCCATCCTCCACATCACCCGGTGTTCAACAGGGAAGACACACAAATGGCCAAGGAGCACCTGAAGAGACGCTCAACGTCATCAGCCCTCAGGGTAATACCAATCAAAACCGCAGTGAGACGGCACCACACACCACCCAGGACGGCTGCAATCAAAAAAGCGCACAACAACAAGTGTGGGTGAGCATGTGGGGAACTGGACCCTTTATGCATTGCTGGTGGGGTCATGAAATGATGCAGCCACTTTGGAAAACAGTCTGGTGGTTCCTTAAAATGTGAAACGCAGAATCACCCTGTGACCTCGCAGTTCTACTCCTAAATATGTAACTGAAAGATGGGAAAACATATGTGCACACAAAAACATGTACACAAACATTCATGGCAGCACGATTCCTAACACCCAACATGTGAACACAACCCAAATGTGCATCAGTTACAGATGGATAAACAAAATGTGGTCTATGATATTCCATAGAGCAGAATAGTATTTGGCCATCAGAAGGAATGAAGTCTCAACACCTGCTACGACATGAATGAACCTGGAAAACATTCCACTAAATGAAGAAAGCCAGTCACAAAATACCACAGATTGAATATTCCATTTAGATTAAATGTCTAGAATAGGGAAATCCATAGGGATGGCCAGGCACGGTGGCTCACACCTGTAATCCCAGCACTTTGGGAGGGCGAGGCGGGCAGATTTTTTGAGTCCAAGAGTCCAAGACCAGCTTGGACAGGATGGCAAATCCATGTCTCTACAAAAAAAAAACAAAACACAAAAATTAGCCAGGCCTGGTGGCATGCCCCTGTGGTCCCAGCTACTTGGGAGGCTGATGTGGGAGAATCACTTGAGCCTGGGGAGGCTGAGGTTGCAGTGAGCTGTAATCACACCACTGCACTCCAGCCTAGGTGACAGAGTGAGAGCCTGTCTCAAAAAATAAAAACAAAAAAAAAAATCATAGGGACAAGAAGTAGATGTAGTGGTTGTCAGGGGTCACGTGAAAGGAAGAGTTGGTGGTGGGGACTGTTAATAGGCATTGGATTTCTTTCTGGGGAGATTTTAATGCTCTGCAATTAGATAGTGATGATGGTTGCATAACACTGTGAATATATTAAGAATAGCTTAATTGTACACTTTAAAAGGCCAGATTTTATAGTACATGAATTATATCTCAGTAACGCTATTGTTTTAAAAATGTTCATGTATTGGGTTGAATAGTGCTTCCCCCAATCTCATGCATGTCCTTCCCACAATCTCAGCTTGTGGCCATATTTGTAAGTAGGGTTCCTGCAGGTGTCATGAGTTAGGAGGAGGCCATGATGGACTAGGGTGGGCCCTTTATTCAGTACAGCTGGGGTCCTTATAAAAGATACTCAGACAGACGCAGCAGGAGGAGTCCACATGACGATGGAGGCAGAGCCTGGAGTGACACAGCCACAAACCAAGGAGCCAAGGACAGCCGCCACCACTAGGGGTTGGGAGAAGTGAAGAACGATCCTCCACTAGAGCTTTCAGAGAGAGCATGGCCCTGCCCACACCTTCATCTCAGACTTCTGGCCTCTAGAACTGTGAGAGAATGCATTTGTTTTATGCCACCCAGATTGTGGAAATTTGTTACACCAGCCCTAGGAAATTGTGTGTGTGTGTGTGTGTGTGTGTGTGTGTGTGTGTGAATTATTTTCAGATGACGAAACTGCTGATCTAAGAATCACACCTAGGGTAACCCCAGCTTAGTGCAGGTCCTGAAGCCAGTCTACCAGGGTTTGAATCCCAACTCTAGTATGTACTAACCATGTGGCCTTGTGCCTCAGATGCCCCACCTGGAACATGGGGCTAGTGGTGGTACCTACCTCATAGGTACAACAACCCCATGTTGTTATGAGTAGACATCAGATTAATATAGGTAAAGTGCTCACAAGAGTGCCTACAATGCACTCTGTAATCTTTAAGTTTTTCTACCACCACCGATACTACCACTACCATCACTCTCATCACCACCACCACCACCACTACCACCACCACCACCACCACCACCACCACCCTCACCACCACCACATTCCCATCACCACCACCACCACCATCACCACTCTCATCACCATCATTACCACTCCACCACCACCGCCACGATCCCCATCATTACCAACATCATCACCATCACCACCACCACCACTTCCATCACCAACACCACCACCACCACCCTTCTCACCACCTCCATCACCATCACTACCACCATCATTGTCAAGACCATCATAATGCTCTCCACCATCACCACCACTCCCCCCACCCTTCTCACCACCACCACCACCATCACCACCACCATCACTGTCAACACCATCATAACCCTCTCCACCATCACCACCACTCTCCCCACCCTTCTCACCACCACCACCACCACCTCTATCACCACCATCACCACCACCACTACCTCTATCACTACCGCCACCACCACGACCATCACCATAGTCACCACCACCTCCATCACCATCACCACCACCACCATTACCACCCTCACAACCACCCCCAGCACCCTTCTATCACCACCACCATCACCACCATTATCACCACCACCACCACCTCCATCACCATCACCACCACCACCATTGCCACCATTACACCCACCATTGTCCTCAACAGTGTCATCACCACCACCGTTAACATCAACACCATCACCTCTACCATTACCACCACCAATCCCACCACCCTTCTCACCTCCACTGTCACCCTCCTTAACACCATCACCACCACCATCCCCATCCCCATCACCACCCTTGCCACCACAATCACCACCACATCCCCATCACCATCCCACCCTCACCACCACCACTACACTTCCATCACTATCACCACCATCCCAGAACCACCACACCACCACCACCATCCCCATCACCATGACCACCATCACAATCACCTCCATCACCTCCACCACCACCATCACCATCACCGCCACCACCTTTCTTACCATCACCACCACCACCAGCATCCCCATCACCATAACCCACCATCACTGACACCACCACCATTGCCACCCTTACCACCACTGCCATCACCATAATCACCACCATCACCACCCTCACCACCATCACCATGCTGACCACCATCACCACCACCCCCATTACCCTTCTCACTACTACCACCATCATCACCACCACATCATCATCTCCATCACCAGCACCACCATCATCACCACCACCATCTCCATCACCATTACCACCACCATCACCATCATCACCACCATCACCATCATCACCACCACCACCATTCCCACTGCCATACCACCATCACCATCACACCTACCACTGTCCTCATCAATGTCATCACCACCACCATTAACATCAACACCATCAACATCTCCATCACCACCACCAGCCCCAGCACCCTCCTCACCTCCACTACCACCCTCCTTACCACCATCACCACCATCACCATTATCACCAACCACCACCATCATCACCACTACCACCACTCTCACCACCATCACCATCACCACCACCATTATCACTATCACCACCAGCAGGCATTGCCAATGTGTGTCCAGCCATCAAAGAACATCAGCCTAGTGGAAAGGTAGATGAGAAACAGAGGGAAGGATCCAGAGCCCACTGTGATGTAAACCGTCTCGATCCCCCCCCAAGTATGTGTCTAGTAGGGAATGCCAAGAGCATGAGTGCACAACAGTGATAGGTGTGGGAAGACAGAGTCTTCACATGTCTTGAAGGTTGGCGGTTCACCCTCAAAAGCTACTGAACCCAGGAGTACCGTGCAGGTAGGACTGTGCTTCTCTCATCTCAAATGCCAACTCCCTGCCTGGCACGGAATCGAGGCTCGTTCGTTGGCTGAATGTGTTGACAATCCCTGACTGCACAAAAATTACTTCACAACCCAGTTTATGCCTCCATTAAGTGGGGACAATGCCTGTTTCAAACCTGGTGATGTGTATATTCTTGCAAAGCCATGCAGACATTTAACAGCCAAGCATTACTGATATTTTTTATTAATAAGCAACAACTAACAGAAAGCAGAATTCCTTCCATCTTCCCACAAGCTCCCCCACGTGATACCTGATTGTTGTTCCCTGGACACATCCCACACCAGGCCACGCAGGAATTCTCAGTCCCACTCTTTTCTCTTAAGGTAAATCCTTCTGAAACACTGGTCCAATGCTTCTAATGTCTAGGATCCTGTGATCAGGCCAGCACAGATTTCTCTGGTCTGACTTGGCAGGAAAGCTGCTCAGGGCAAAGGATGCTTTCCTCCATGCTGCCCGAGCACTGGCCGAGAAGCCAGCCCTCAGCTTTACATCCTGTTCAACTTTCAACTTCCTTCAGCTGGCAGTGACCTGGTCCCCTGGCACTCACCAGACGATCTGCAGATAACATTAATAAATCCCAGCTGCAGAAAACAGTGCCTGTAATGAGGAAGGACTGGGAATACTGGAAAGACAAGAGACCCAGGCCAGCCCATGTCTAAGTCCCATGCTGCTCCAGCTCTGGCCTGGGTTTCTTCCAGTTACCCCCGAGAACCCCAGCCTGTTCTGACCCCTGGGGAGGAGAGAGGACACGGCCCTGGCCCCAACTTTAGGTAGCTCACGGCCATCTCATCTGCCCCACCCACACAGGACATTGTGCAGGGACTGAATCAGCCAGGGGATGGGAGCCCCTAATGGCAGTGACCAAGGTCCCCAAAGTGACCTTCTGTCCCCAGGTGCTCAGGGCCCTAGGACTCTGTTCCCAGAAACTGGAAGGGATGTTTGATTGAGAAAACTTATCTCACCTGCAAGCTCAGCTCATGTGGCATCCTTGCCCAAGATGCCCCACCCTGCCCAAGATGCCCCACCCTGCCCCCGTGATCACACCACAAACACTGACTGTGCATCTCTTGGCTCCCAGATCGAGTGCAGAGGGTGAAACAGGAACAGCTGCCGCTCTCACACTACCCAAGATCAGTCAAAGGAGGAATCTCGTAATCAGATGATTGCACTGGGGTGAGGTTGGAGCTGAGAGCCTGGGGGCTTCCTGGAGGAGGTGATGCCCCAGCTGAAACTTCAATGTTAGCAGGAGGCTAACCCGATTAACAAAGGATAAACAATGAAAAGAAGAAACCAAGCCCTACAAGATGTTCACGCCTATCTGTGTGGGTTCCTGCAAGCACAGGAAAAAGTTCAGGAGATTTCACCTCCCACTGGTTACCATACAGGGGGTAGAATCTGGAGGGATGGAGAGAAAGAAGGTCTGTTAATGTCCTTAGTCTTTTCTCTAATTGAATAGTTACAACTACAAACACTATTTCAGTGATCTTACAAGGCAATCAAACTCTAATAAAAATGTAGGGGAAGGAAAGAAATGAAAATTTGAAGGAAAATTGGTCTGCAAGCAAAGATTCTAAAAATATAATGATTTCTCTATGGGGAGAGAAACAAACTTCGTCAAAAGCCTCTGGCTTTATGTCAAAACTGCTCCCCAAGAGGATGCCAAATATGAACTATGGAGCAAGCATTCCACTCTGCCTCAGGTGACCAAGACCACAGGACTGACAGATGGATACAGCCTGGCCACTAGGAACACCTTTTTAAAAATGTCTTATTGCAAAATTCCAAAGCCTACAGAAAAGTTCCAAAGACATCAAACAATGAATCCCTTTACACCTTCATCTTGATTCACCAACTGTTTAATTTTTCCTTATCCCATTTTTCTATCTATAAGGATAGATGTGTGTATTTCTATCCTTGTGGGCCATTTGACAGTAAGCTGCAGACACCACGACATCTCACCCTAAATGTTGTGACTTTTATCTCTGAAGAAAAGGACGTTTATAAAATCATAACACCAGCTGGGCATGGTGGCTCACGCCTGTAATCCCAGCACTTCGGGAGGCCAAGGCGGGCGGATCGCTCGAGGCCAAGAGTTTGAGACCAGCCTGGCGAACATGGTGAAACCTCATCTCTACTAAAAATACAAAAAAAAAATTTAGCCAGGAATTGTGATCCCAGCTACTTGGGAGGCTGAGACAGGACAATCGCTTGAACCTGGAAGGTGGAGGTTGCAGTGAGCCAAGGTGGCAACACAGAGCAAGACTCCATCTGAAAATATATACATACATACGTACATACATACATACATAAAATCACAACATAATGATCAAAATCAGAAATTTTATCACTGATTCATTTCCTACTCGAACATCACCAATCGTTGCAATAATACCCTATATAGCAAAATGATGATGTGAGGCCTTGATCCAGGCCTCAGAACACTTATTAATATGAAAGAGCAGTTGTAAACAGGATGCAGCCAGGTCTCCGTCAGAGGTATTGTGAACCACAGACTCCAAAAGTAAGTGGAAAAGTAAAATTTAATGACAATCAGGAATAATCGCCATCACCAGGGCAAGAGTCAGGTGTGACATATGATAAGGGAGGGCTGCTGGGAGGGTCCAGGCACAGCGAGAAAGGACCGTGAATCCTTGGCTGATGCCAGACCTGGTCTTCGGCTCCGTGTTTAAGAAATCAGAGGTCACGGGCCCTCAGGCCCGATGGTTCCCTCTTGTCCTTGGGAGCTGGCCACATGCACCAGAGCGAACCAGGGTGCAGAAGAACAGGCCTGGGCTCGCAGCTCTCAACCTGCTGGGTCCTGTGGAGAGGTCGCAACACTGCTGCAGCCCTCAGTTTCCCCATCTCTAGAGCCTTAAGTCTTCCCCGAAACCCCCCGGAGCAGCTAAAACACGCTCCGTTACCCCAGGCTCTCCTGAAAGGACTCCTGGGAGTGTAAAGCCCCACCCCCTCCCTGCTCATACCTCAGCACCCCAAACTACACCACGACACCCAGCTCCCAGGTGACCCCGTCGTGTCAAGGACTGGTTCCTTCTGTCGCCCCAACTGTTTTGCACCCTGGCCCCTTCCTCACCCTCTGCCCACCCATGTGGCCCCATCTGCCCCTGGACTGTGGCCACCCTCAACCATGTGGAGTTCTGACCCGTGTCTCTTGATCTTGGTGATGGCCACTGCTTTTCTGAGAAACAAAAAACAGTAAAACGTATCCACAGGCTATCCTCGGTTTCCCCACTGCCCTGCAGGTAAAAACCAAACTCCTTAGCCTGGACAAGGCCCTTCCTCATCTAAGACCCCACCTCACCTTCCCACAAGTCCCCCCAAACTCCCCTCACCTGCCAAACTGACCAACATCAGGGGGCAGCAACACAGCACTGACACGCAGGCAAGTGACACTCTCTGGGCCCGCTGAGGCCCTGAAGGCTCAGAAAGGTTAAGGAACCTCCCCAAAGTCACAGAACTCCCATGTGATAGAACCGGGACACAAGTAAGTGAGCTCCAAATGGGGTCCCTTCATTCCGCAATAAAAAGTAAAATGTTTCATCTCTACCAACGGTCTCTACATTCACGCTGCCTCTGGACAAAGCCTGAAAGAACAGCAACACAGCAGTTCAGCGCTGGGAGTACAGGTGAATGCCATTTTTTCTTTTTGCAACACTTTCAAGAATTTTGTAGACAATTTTCAAAGTTCCCAGTAGCAATACTGACGAGAAGTCAGCAGACACTGAGGGATAAGGAGTCCCCAAGCATCTCGCTCATGACTCATCACTGATCTTCTCTGCACAGGAGATAAAAATGGTAGCCTGCTTTCAGCTGAGGACTCACTCCAGCATGGCTGGCACCAGGCAGGATTTCCCACCTACCCAGCTCCACCCAGGCAGATGGATGCTGCCTTAGAACACCAGCACCCTGCTCGTGCCTGGGGCATGCCTGCCAATCCGTGGCTCTCTCGGCACCTGGAAAAGACAGGATTCAAAACTCAGACATTGTTTTCCAATTAAAGTAGCAGATGCCTTGGAACTCTCTTTAAAGAGATTAAATGGCTAAATGTAAATTTACTCAACAATCATCTTGACCCATCAAGGCCCTTGTCCTCTCTGAACCAGTTTCCTGGGGTTCCATCTAGCAGAGATAACGGTGCTACCACTGTCCACAGGGCTGTAAATTGAGAATCTTTACAGCAGATGAGGTCCCTTGCTCATTATAAACACAATGGTAGTCAGCATCATTATTGTTTACTGAAAAACCTACTAAGTGCCAGATACTTCCCAGGCATTAAAGATACAGAGATGAACATGGTGTAATGCTCCCCTGGAGTAGTCAGAGATCTAGTGAGAAGAAGGGACTACAAATCTCTAACAGGCTTGAGTTTGACTTTGAGCACAGTGGGGAGCCACGGAGAGGGTTACACCTGGGTGGAAAAGGACAGATCACCCCCTCATACGTTTCAGACCAGCTGCTCCAGAGTCAACATGGAGGACTGCCTGGCAGCAGGTTCCACGGGGCCCCTGAAGGCAGAGACAGTGTTTAGGCTGTGTCCTGGTCTGGTGGGGTATGAAGATCCCTGAGGTGAACCATGAATACAAACATTTTAGGAGGCAAAACCAGATAGGACCTCCAGCCTAGCTGAACGGGACCAAGGAAGGATTTCCGATGTTCAGCTGTATTGTACATTTTAATCTATTTACCAAGCTCCTCAGTACTCCTACCACAGGACGGTTGTTCTGTAGAAACAAGACGCAGCACTGTACCACATCACCCGGACACACTCAGAATGGGGCAATGGGGTCAGGGAATTAAGGGCTGGGAGATAACTCCATGTTTACAAATGGGGAAACTGAGGCTTGCAGTGGTAGAATGACTCACCCAAGGTTCCACTGAACATGCAAAAGGACCCAGGATTTGCCAGCCTGTGTGGCCAGCAAGAAATTGGAGCCTATATCAAAGTGGTGGGAAAAGCTGGGCGCCATGGCTCACACCTGTAATCCTAGCACTTTTTGGGGGCCGAGGCAGGCGGATCACTTGAGCCCAGAAGTTAGAAACCAGCCTGGGCAACATGGCGAAACCCTGCCTCTACAAAAAATACAAAAATTAGCCAGGCATGGTGGCATGTGCCTGTAGTCTCAGCTACTGGGGAGGCTGAGGTGGGAGGATCGCTTGCATCGGGGAGGTTGAGGCTGCAGTGAGCCATGATTTGTGCCACTGCACTCCAGCCTGGGTGACAGAGTAAGACCCTGTCTCAAAAAAATTTTTTTTAAATGATCGGAAAGGTACAAACCTTGTTGTCATGAGCAGTGACCATGTGACCATGCCTAGACACCCACTGGCATCCTGAAACCAAAAGGGAGCTTCGGGTAGGAGGGTGTTGGTAGACAAACGTCAATCTTCCCAAAGGGAAAAAACACTTAGCAAATATTGATGTAGAGAAGAAGTGAGCTCCAAAGTTGGAGAGGACTTTAAGAAAGGCCATCTGATCCGACCTCCCCATTGCACAGATGGGATGTGGAGTCCAGGGAGGGTGGGGCTAATCCAAATGTACATAGAAAGACAGGATTTGAACCCAGCCCCTTTACTCCCAGTCCTGAGCTCTAATTACTCTGGGCCTCAAACTTAGCCTAGTAAAGGTTTATAAGCCACATCATCACCTACTCCAACAAGCCCTCCATGTTTGCCACGGCTTCTGCCTCTGAAAATTTGGGCCTCCTGGGAAGGGTGTAAGAGAAAGAGCCTGGGCTTCCCTGTCAGTTGGACCTAGAGTCAAATCCTAGATCCAACCCTTCTGCTGTGTGACCTGCATCATCACACCTCACTTCTCTGTCCTGAGGCTGTTGTGTGGATTAAACAAATTAAGGCACCCACTGCAGGGTCTGAAGCAGAGCAGCCCCTCCCACAGACGGAGGCAGATCATAGCCATACTAATAATGGCTGCATCCCCCAAACATCAGTGCAACCTCCTCCACTCCACCCCCAATGCCACTACCCACATCAGAGCCACCATCTTCACAGTGACCTGGGTGGCCCCTGCCTCTGCATTGTCTCTGAGCCTCTGCACACGCTGCAGGCTGTCCCTCTGCCCACAACTCCTCTTCCCCAGCCCCAGCCAAGATGCCTCAACTCAAAGTTAATTTTGCACAGAAGAGGTGAGATTAACCCTAACCACTCAATCTCACGCTTCCACCTCCAAGTGCATCCGGCTTCACTTCCGGCTGCAGGCTTTTAAAGTCAAACATGACTCCTCCCTTTCCACTTCCTGTCCAGCCCCTAACCCCGCCTCGTTGGCCACGCCCACTTCATGCTTCCTGTCCCCGACCCTCCTCCCTGGAGGGGAGGGATAGGAAAGAAGGAAACAGAAGCCCAAGGCTTTGATATATTTAGCTTTGTCCCCCATGGGTATAAAAAAATGACCCTTTAATGTTTTGTATCTCATTTTTGAATTGAGAGACGTGGCTACCTTTCAGGTAAGCAGCTTTTCCTTTGTTACCCTACGATATGGTTTGGCTGTGTCCCCACCCAAATCTCCTCTTGAATTGTAGTTCCCATAATCCCCATGTGTGGTGGGAGGGACCTCTCGGGAGGTAATTGAATCATGGGGGCAGTTTACCCCATACTATTCTCATGATAGTGAGTAAGCTCTATTTGATCAGAACTTTAAGTGGGTTCTGAATATGTTACGAGTAGCAATTTTATCAGAAATTATTTGTGTCTGTGGGTGTGTTTGGTGGGGAATTGAAGTAGGTGGTTTTCTGATGATATTGGAAGCATTTCATGAACCGGGATATTTCGAAACTGCATCTCCTTGATACCGCCAGGTGAAGAAGGACGTGTTTGCTTCCCCTAATGCCATGATTGTAAGTTTTTTAAGGCTTCCCCAGCCATGCAAAACTGTGAGTCAATTAAACCTCTTTTCTTTATAAATTCCCGTCACAGGTATGTCTTTATTAGCAATGTGAGGACAGACTAATATACCCTACCAAATTCTCTAGGTCATGTCTCCAGAGAGGCTTCCACTGACCTCATCCCCACACAAACCTCCCCCATCTCCCAACCTCAGAGCACCTCGTACTTGATTAAGGTCCCTCCCTCTTCACATGGGATTGTTCACCAGCTGTCTCCCTGCCCCGGCACAGTGCCTGGCTCGGAGAGCACACTCGGTCATTCATTTATGAATTGTTTCTCTGGAATGTCTTCAGAATGGATTGCCACATCCAAAAAGATCAGGTTACAAAGCTGGTATAGCATATTCCCAGGAAAAAATAAAACTGGGCTATATGTCCAGAGAGTGGTTGGGGAAAGACTAGAATGTGCTTTTCAAACCTTTGTTGCTCTTTTTCATGAAATGGTCTTAGAAGGACCCACAGGCACACCTAGGTCTCCCATGCCACCTTTGCTGAAACCACCTGGGCAGCCCTATGTGGCTGGAGAGAGGGTGAGATTCTCATCTCAAAGCCCCAGATTCACTAACTCTAACCCCTAAATGACTGCTTAACCTCGTGGGGTCTTGGTTTCCTCCTACCATCTTGCATGGTGGTTGAGAGGCTTAAAGAGGAACCTAAAGCACCTGCTCAGGTGAGTACTCAGTAAATGCAACAGCCAAGAGGCAGACTGGATGGAACAGGACAGGAAGGCTGAGCCCCACACAGGGAGACCCTGCCCCATCCACCACCACCTCCTTCCTCTACCTTCCTGACACCCCCTACAGGCACCGTCAAGGGACAACCCTACAAAGCCACAAACCCACAGGAAACCAAGCCCATTGCCCTGACACAAACCTACCTCCTCTGCAAAAGGTGACCCTGCTCATTGCACCAGGCAGAGAACAAGGGAAGGGAAGTGGCCCAGCAGTGGCCCTGAGTCAGGCTGCATGGGTCTCTTGGGGTATCACTCCTGCCCCCAGACCAAAAGCAACAGCTAAACCAAGAGCTGCCACTCAAAAGAAGAGACTATTCTATGCCAGGTAGTATGCTGGGTACACCTCATCTCAATCCATCCTCAAAGCCTCCTTGTAAAACAGGTAGCAATATTATCCCCATATGACAGATAAGGAAACTGAGGCTCAAAGAGGTGAAGTCACTTTCTTAAAATCCATAGCTTGTAAATGACAGAGTCAGGACTTGAACCCAGGTCTCTCTGAATCTAAGACCAGTTCCCAGCTGCCCAAAGAACTGTGTCTGTTTTGTTTTCTATCCCTAGGACCAGCAGCATGCCTGACATCCTCTTAGAAGCCATGCAAGAACATTTGCAGGGATAAACAGCAGGCTCCTTCCTGCACAACAAGCCATGACCCTCTTAGAACAAAGCATATTGACAGAAAATTAAGTGCCACTGAATTAGCCCCAACACTTTCATAAACAGCAGTTTTGAAATACCCCAGTTCATGAAATGCTTCCAATATCAGAAAACCACCAACTTCAATTCCCCACCAAACATACCCACAAACAGAAATAATTTCTGATAAAATTGCTACTCGTAACATTCAGAACCCACAAAAAATTCTCATCAAATAGAAATGAGAGTTGTTTATCAACATTCAAGAGAACATAATGAAGCTTCCTTTAGAACATTCTGTGCACGTGAAGTCTTCTTTCTTATTGAGATTTTCACTATAAAATCTTATCAGCTGCTGAACAGGAGAGAAACTTGGAGGTGAGGATAGGCAATGGGGACCGATACCTGTGCTACAAGAAGAATTAAGCACCATAACAACACAGACACCCCTCTCCCATCAGATAATTTACTACAATTCAACAAACATGCACCAAGTAATAAGTCACCATTTATATAGCTCTCACTGTGTAGCAGGAACTGTTTCAAACTGTCCAAATTACCTAGTATTCTGCAGCCCTGTGACAAGGGTATTCTTAGTACCCCCATTTTAATGGACCAGCAGGAAGGGGTGAAGTACTTTGACCAACATGACCCAATTAGCAAGTGGGGGTGGAGGTTGTAGCAAGTGGATGTTGCAGCTAATTCAGTGACATTTAATTTTCTGTCAACGTGCTTTGTTCTCAGAGGGCCATGGCACATTGAGCAGGGAGGAGTCTAGCTGCTCAAGTCCCAAGCTTAGTATAAAAACTTTTTCTTTTTCAACTGCTACTTGCTGGCTCTTGGCCAACTCATTGCATCATTTTGGAATCTCCCCTTTATTAACGTGCAAAGACCCCTTAAGAAGTCCCAGAAAAGGCCCCAGCCATCAGGTCGTTTCTGTCTCACCTCTGCTGAAATGAGTCAAGAGACTAGCAAGTAACCACACCACCAAGAACAAGAAGGGGTAGTCAGTGACTTCCAAGCAAAGGGCAACTTCTTTTTGTGGTTTCTACATCCTTTCTATACTCACCACCCCGTGTGGGCTTGATATGACTAGATGCTGAACAGGGCGCTCCTTGACAGACACCTACCAAACACCTCCTGTGTGCACAAGGCTTTGTGAGATGTGCTGGTGGACGCAGTTCACATTTCTTAGGCTTCCTCTCAAGAAAGCAGTTCCAGAAAGGGTGGAGGGGAGGGTCATGCTGAGAGAGGAAGAGACCAGGGGCTCGAAGAGTAACACTAATTACAGGCCTGGAGTACATAAACCAAGATGAGCTTACTGCCAGGTTACTACCAGGTCACTATCAGGTTACCACCAGCTCAGTACAGAAGGAAGTCCTTCTCAGGTGCAGACATTTGCAGAGTCCCTCAATGTCTCAGTGGCTCCCCCATCCCTTGAGGAGCTCCTAGCCAAGCAAAGGAGACACTGTAACAAGCCCAGGTGATAACTGGGAGACCAGGGCCTATGGGTGCCAGCGTGGTGAGGGAAGGGACATCCAAAGTGGGCTGTGGAAGGGGTGAAATCAGGATATGCAGATGGAGGAGCAGGGGTCAAAGAAAAGTCAATTGGCATCAGAGAGGGAGAGCAGCAGCAACGCAAGCTCCATTCATTCATTCATTCATTCAACAGCATCCTAGTGCCTGTTCCATGCCAGACCCTGTGCTGAGCCTCAAACATGAATCTCACACAGCCCCTTCCCTCACAGAGCTCTAGCCAGCGGGGAAGAAGACTGTGAATGGCATCAGTCACACACTGTGACCATGGCTGTGACAGACAGATGTACAGGGAGGGACCCGCCCTGGCCTTGGGAGGATGGGTGATGCCCAAGGAGATGAGCCTGTGCAGACAGGAGGAGGAGGGGTCTGGGCAAGTTCAGGGAAAGCAGACGATTCAATAAGGTAAGGGACAGTGTTATGGAGTGAATGTTTATGTCCCCCCAAATTGATACATTGAAACCCTATGGTGGGTAATTAGGTCATCAGGGTGAAGCCCTCATGATGAGATTAGTGACCTTATAAGAAGGGACAGGAAACCAGGCTCGGTGGCTCACACCTGTAATCCCAGCTCTTTGGGAGGCCGGGGAAGGTGGATTGCTTGAGCTCAGTTCAAGACCAGCTTGGGCAACATAATGAGACCTCATCTCTACAAAATTAAAAAAATTAGTCAGGTGTGGTGGTGCATATTTGTAGTCCCAGCTACTTGGGAGGCTGAGGTGGGAGGATCACTTGAGCCCGGGAGCTCAAAGCTGCAATGAACAGTGATTACACCACTGCACTCCAGCCTGGGTAACAGAGCGAGACCCTGTCTCAGAAAAAAAAAAAAAAAAGAAAGAAAGAAAGAAAGAAAAGAAAAGAAAAAAAGGAGGGGGACACAAGAGAGCTTATTTCCTTTCTCTCTCCACCATGCGAGGGCACAGTAAGAAGGCAGCCTCCTGCGAACCAGGAAGAGGGGCCTCACCATGAACCAAGTTGTCTGGCACCATGATCTCAGACTTCCAGCCTCCAGAACGGTGAGAAATAAGCTTCTGTTGTTTCAGCCCCTCTGTCTATGGTATTTCTGCTATGGCAGCCAAATGGTCTGAGACAGTAGGTAACAGCAGGAGCATCAGGAGATAAGGCCACATGTGTGATGACAAGGAGTCTGTGCTTTATCCTGGGCCAGCGGGGAGCCCCTGGAGCAGTGGAGTGACAGTGTGAGTTTCGGAAACATATCACCGTTTCTAGATACAACTGCTCCTTTCCCCAAACACTTCCTATAACTCCACAGCCATCCCGAGGAAGAAGGGAGCAGATATGACCTGGAGATGCCTAGGAAGGCACAGGTCCCTCAAGGTCTGCTCACAGAGACTTGGAGGTCAGGCCAGTGCCAGCTCCCAAGGCAGCCCTTCCTCCCGCTCAGCTCAGCTCAGCTCAGCCAGTGATGGTCCTGGAGGCTCCAGGTTCCCAGGTCCCATCTTAGTAATACAAGGACTCTTGAAGGTTGAGACAGAACAAAGAGCTAAACATGATACAGGCAGATAACAATACCACAGATATCTAGACACACAGATACAGGTGCCCTGCGAAGGGGTGCTGGCTGATGTCTAAAATGGAACAGGGCCAGGTGCAGTGGCTCACGCCTGTAATTCCAGCACTTTGGGAGGCTGAGGCAGGCGCATCACCTGAGGTCAGGAGTTTGAGACCAGTCTGGCCAACATGGTGAAACTCCGTCTGTACTAAAAATACAAAAATTAGCCGGGCTTGGTGGCGGGTGCCTGTAATACCAACTACTTGGGAGGCCGAGGCAGGAGAGTCGCTTGAACCTGGGAGGCAGAGGTTACAGTGAGCCAAGATCATGCCATTGCACTCCAGCCTGGGTGACAGAGCAAGACTCTGTCTCAATAAATAAATAAATAAATAAATAAATAAATTTAAAAAAGAAAGTAAAATGGAACAGAAACTTCAGTACTCAGGGTGCTGGGACTTGGTTTTCAAACCACCTTCCATGGAGTCCTGGTGCTCCTTGAAGATGTTTGGGAGGGCCAGGAGTCAAAGGTCTGGAGCAACAGATGCTTGACTTCTTTTTTCTAGGTGTAATAATTTTAAACTGTGAAAACATCACACCAACTCAAATGGGCTGCAAACCCAATATTAACCCTGGTAGACCCCACTGCAGGGACCTGGGCTGCCAGGTGAACACTCAGCTTTGTGCAGGGCTTGGGGGACAGCCTCTCCTGTCATCTCCAGTGAAATGCACTCTGAGAATGCAAGACAAGTCACTCCCAAAAACGGAATCACAAATGCGGTATGCAAATCGTCACAACAGAATATTTTCACAACCACAACAAAGTCCATTAATACTCAAGATGCCACAGCTGTTCAGATTGCAACTGTCACCCTATACTTTTCGTTTTGAAAGTTGAATTCATCAGAGCAACCTCACTGTCCTCACTGACTGACCTTATAACTGGTAAATGTTGTCAGTTTAAAGTCATAAGATAAATGTGAGAATAAACCATCACTTCTCTGTTTTGTATATTGGAGCAGGGTGGTTTAGCTATGTAAAAATTTTATTTTTGAAAAGACTTCATTTTGCAGATGGGAAAACAAACCCAAAGAGAGGTGAGTGTATCACACTGTCCTGTGAGTATCATCCCTTCTCAATAGGCAGAAACCAGGTGCCCAGCACATAGCAGACACTCCACAAATGCCCTAGGGAAGGAAGAACCGCTCCCAGGCACCACAGCCAGGAAGGGGGCATGCCTCGAACACACGCCTCCCTACTCCCAGCCCACTGCTGGTTTTCAGACTCTGCCGCCTTCCCTCCTTTCCTAGAAATGACAATACAGCCCACACTCAGCATCACAAGGAGGGAGAGAGGGCAAGGCAAGTGCAGTATAAGAGCCAGGGTGCCTTCCCTCTTCCTCAAGAAAATACTAGAAGCCAAGCACACCCTCCACCCTGAGCGCCAGTGTGGGATGGGTGCTATATGGACGGGAAGAGCTGCTGTCTGCACTCTAGGAAACAAGGGTCCCCCGCGCTCACCTGTAGATTCAGCAAGAGAGCAGGGGTGATTGTGCCTATCGAAGGGAAGCAACCAATTGTCAACTATTTTAGAAACAGCCAAACAGAATGCATAACTACAGGATAAGTGGAGTGATGGTTAATATTGAGTGTCAACTCGATTGGACAGAAGGATAGAAAGTATTGTTCCTGAGTGTGTCTGTGAGGATCTTACCAAAGGAGATTCACATTTCAGTCAGTGGACTGGGAGAGGCAGACCTGCCCTCGGTGTGGGTGGGCACCATCTCATCAGCTGCCAGCACAGCTAGAATAAAGAAGGCAGAATTTGGAAAGAGCAGACTTGCTGAGTCTTCCGGCCTCCATCTTTCTCCCGTGCTGGATGCTTCCTCCCCTCGAACATCAGACTCCAAGTTCTTCAGCGTTTGGCCTCTTGGACTTCCACCAGTGGTTTGCCAGGGCTCTCAGGCCTTGGGCCACTGACTGAAGGCTGCACTGTCAGCTTCCTTACTTTTGAGGTTTTGGGACTCGAACTGGCTTCCTTGCTCCTCAGCTTGCAGATGGCCTAATGTGGGGCTTCACCTTGTGATCTTGTGAGTCAATTATCCCAATAAACTTCCTTTCATATATACATCTATCCTATCAGTTCTGTCCCTCTCGAGAACCCTGACTAATACAAGTGGGAACCAGCCCTGTCTGCCCTAGTTCTTAAACTGGAGAGTGTATTGGAATTGCTCCGAGGGCTCATTAAAAGCCAGACCCCAGGGGCCGGGCACGGTGGCTCACGCCTGTAATCCCAGCACTTTGGGAGGCCGAGGTGGGCGGATCATGAGGTCAGGAGATCGAGACCATCCTGGCTAACACAGTGAAACCCCATCTCTACTAAAAAATACAAAAAATTAGCCGGGCGTGGTGGCAGACGCCTGTAGTCCCAGCTACTTGGGAGGCTGAGGCAGGAGAATGGCGTGAACCTGGGAGGCGGAGCTTGCAGTGAGCTGAGATCACGCCACTGCACTCCAGCCTGAGCGACAGAGGAAGACTCCGTCTCAAAAAAACAAAAGCCAGACCCCAGCTGCAGAGTCCCTGATCCAGGAGATCAGGGTGGGGCCAGAGGACCTGTGGTTCTGAGCTGCTCCCAGGTGAGGCTGCTGCTGGCCCAGGACCTCATTTTGAGAACCACTTCTCAGATCTGTTCACTACAAACCCTCCTGATTAAGGCTCATTAAGGCAGGTGTTCTAGACAATACCTTTAACAGCCCACAGCCAAGTTTTCTATCTAAACTATTAAAACTACATTGAGAAAATATTTATAGACTACAATTAAATATGACACTAGTTCAGACTGGACTTTTTTTTAATTACCTCAGTGTGGAGGTCATTTCCAATTGTGCTGGACAATAAGAGGGAGAAGAGGGGCACTCCATTCAGTAATGGAGATGAAAGTGGACACAGCCAGCCACTCAACACAGTGTCTGGCTAGGGGCTACAGGAAGGAGAACGAACAAGTTGTGGTGAGAATTACACAACTCCTAAGCAGGGAAAGCTCCCAGCTGAAGTGAGGGGAATGCAGGAACAGCCGACGAGGCTTCCCTGGAGCTTGCCAGGGGCAGGTCAGGCGGATGGGCAGGATGCAGACTGAGGAGGCACAGCAGGGTGGGGAAGTCCAAGGAATGGGCATTCCAGGAAAGTGGGATGGTGAGCAAAAGCATGGAAGTTGGAAAAGGAGGTGGTTAGAGTCAGGGAAGTAGTCAAGTAGTCAGTTTGCAAAGGCAAGTGAAGGGGCAAGCAGGAGTGATGGAGGATGAGACAGGAAGGGAAAAGTGGGGGCCTCTGGTGTCTGGCTGGCAAGAACTGAACATCAGCTACAGGCCAGGCATGGCTTGATGCTACTGACTTCTAACTTCATTGCATTGTAGTCACAGAACGTGCTTTGCTTTTTTGTTTGCTTGTTTTCTCTCCTTTTAATTTTATTGAGGTTGTATTAGGGCCTAGCATATGGTCTATCCTGGAAAATGATTCATGGGCACTAGAGAAGAATATTTATTCTGATGTCCTTGGTCTAGTGTTCTATAGGTTTCCACTAGGTCTAATTGGTGTGCAGTGTTGTTCAAGTTCCCTGCTTCCTTGTTGACCTCCTGTAGAGTTGTTCTATCTGTTATTGAAAGTGGGTGTTGACATATTCAACTATTGTTGTTGAATTATCTATTTCTCCCTTCACTTCTGTCAGGTTTTTTGTTTGTTTGTTTGAGACAGTCTCTCACTCTGTCACCCAAGCTGGAGTGCAGTGGTGCAATCACGGCTCACTGCAGCCTCAACCTCCCCAGGCTCAGGTGATCCTCTCACCTCAGCCTCCTAAGTAGCTGGGACTACAGACACACAACACCATGCCTGGCTAATTTTGTATTTTTTTTGTAGAGACAGAGTTTCATCATGTTATCCAGGCTGGTCTCAAACTCCTGGGCTCAAGCAATCTGCCCACCTCAGCCTCTCAAAATGCTAGGATTTCAGGCATGAGCCACCATGCCCAGCCCACTTCTGTCAGTTTTTGCTTCATATATTTTGGTGCTCTGTTGTTAGGTGCAAATATGTTTATAATTGTTATATATTTCTGATGTATTGAACTTCTTGTCATTATAAAATGTTACTTTTTATCTCTAGTAACTTTTTTTGTTTTAAACTCATTTTGTCTAATATCAGTACAGCCCCTTAGCTTTCTTATGGTTGCTATTTACCTGATATATTTTTTCTCATCCTTTCACTTTCAATCTATTTGTATCCTTGAATCTAAAGTGTGTCTCCTATAGACAGTGCTATGATCTGAATGTTTATGTACCCCCAGAATTCATATGTTTCTAGTCACCAGTATGATAGCATTAGAAGGTGAGGCGTTTGGCAAGTGATTAGGTCACGAGGGCGAGCCCTCATAAATGAGATTAGTGCCTTTGTAAAAGAAACCCTAGGGAGCTAGCTCACCCCTTCCACCATGTGAAAACACAGCAAGAAGACTGCTGTCAATGGGGAGGCAGGGCCTCACCAGACACTGAATCTGCCGGTACCTTGATCTTGGACTTCCCAGCCTCTAGAACTGTGAGAAATAAATTTCTATTGTTTATAAGCTATCCAGTCTAAGGTGTTTTGTTATAGCAGCCTGAAAGGACCAAGATAGCATATACTTGGATCATATATTTTATCCCTGACAACATCTACCTTTTGACTGGCTTATTTAACCTATTCATCTTTAATAGTATTGATATAGTTGGACTTATGTCTTCCATTTTATTTTGTTTTCAATATGCCTCACGTCATTTTTGCTCCTTTATTCTTCCATTACTGCCTTCTTTTGCACTAAATGAATCAGACACCGTGTTTGCCATGTAAGTCAGGAGCAAGGACTTCAAAGAGGTATTTCTTTTAAATGTAGATAGCAGAATTACCTTTCTGACAATGTTAAGTTTCTTAAATGGCTAATTTTCAAATCTGTCATTTTTTTTTCTTTTTGGTTCCAGTAAATGGGAGCCAATCAATTATTTATCCAAGAGTCTCTGAACACCATCTACAAAAATGTCCACTACCAGCTTCCTGGGTTGGAAGATTGGAAGTCTACAGCTTGACCTTCTTACAAGGAGGCAGAATGGGGCCACTGTATTTTCGAGATCCCCTTTGTGACATGTGGTGACTGGAAGTGTGGAGACAGCTCATTGCTTCAGACTAAGGTGGGGAGGGATGGTCAGGATTCAGAACAGAATCCGCAATGATGGCGTTTTCAAGTGCTGTGGCACTGTTCTCACAGACACCTGCACAGGAGGTTCTGATAAGGAGAGGTCCTTTCTCCACTTCCAACAATAAACAGATAAGACACCACCCCAAAATGTTCAGCCCACATCCCTACCTAAGAGTGACTTAATACACCCCAAACCTCCTTGCCACTTGACCTCTTAGCATACCCCCAAAGCCCTCTGCTCACTCACAATGATGAAGGGAAGCTACAACCCAGGAGCAAATGAATCGTGAAATTCCAAATTAGCAACTTATTAATCTGGGGCACCTGAGGTTTGGGGCACCTGCATCCCTCCCCCATCTTCTGGCTAGAGCACCCCAATTTTTAATATCCTATCCAGCAATAAGACTTGTTTGTGTCTTCAGTCTGAAGTGTCTTGCATTTGTCCCTATAGAAAAATCCGGGGCTCTGCAATACACAGGCTCTCACAGACTTGGTTCATCCTGGGTGCCTATGGTACTTCCTGGGAGAGATAGATCATGTCAGGAAAGCACCCATCTGCCCAGTGGTTTAAATAGATTAGGCACAATGTGGGGGCATCCAGGCCCTTTTTCAAAATAAGATATCTGGTTTGCAAAAAGAACCTCGTCAAGCCCTGAGCCTGGAAGGCTCCAAGACTTGCTGAGGAAATCCAATTACTGCCGGGCATAATGAGCTCACTCACCCAGCGCCCTGGTCCAACAAAGCAGTCCTGCCAACATCCAGAAAGAAGGTTTGTCTTCCACAGTGCATTCGGAGGGTATGGCTTGGGAGAAAGAGAAAAACCAGGCTAATGGAATAAGAAATGTGACCTTCCGGGACCACAGGAATGCAGTTTGTTTCTGAAGAACAGCATTCTAACATTTTTCTGCTGCCTTAAACTAAAAGCAGGCTGCACCGTAAGGTAGCGAAATGCCAGTCTGAAGAGGGAAAGGGAAACTTTGAGTTTTACAGAACCTTCGCAAATCTCATCTCTGGACTGATACAACAATCAGGGGTATTCCCACCCCAAGCATTATAGTATCTGAGGCTCAGACAATTGACTGTCACTAGAGGTGGCTTCTGCAGAGAACAGAGTGAATTTTTTTTCAGCGCAGAGTGGACCTGATGCAAGCAATGGCGAGAACATACTGTGATCCTGCTAAGGTCCCTCCCAACACTGACATTATGGGAATCTGAGACCAAAAGCCAAAAATCTATTAACCACCTACTGTGCACATTGCCCTGGCCAGGCTGTGGGAGTCCCAGTGTGAATCAGAAAGCATTCCTACCCTCACAGAGCCCTCTGTCTAATGGAGGAGTCAGACAAGTCACTGGCAGCTGCAATACACAGTGGCTAGGGCAGAGGGTGGCGTAGGGCAGTGAGGGCCCTGGGGTTATGCCTGGCCCTACCTGGCCCAGCCTGGGGATGGAGTTTTCTGAAGGAAGGCGCATGATGGATCTTAAGCACAAGTGGATGGGGTGGGGGAGGCGAACAGGCAGATCTATCAAAGGGAACAGCATGTGCAAAGGCCTGGCTCAGTCGAGAGCAGCCGGGGGACTGTGTAGCTAGACACAGGCTCTGCTGCAGGCGTGGCAGGAGAGGGAGGCAGCGTGGGCCATGCCACACTGGCAAAATCAGAGGAGAGAAGAAAGCCCCATTAGTCCATTCCCCTGCCCCTGGGCCTGTCTGAATCTAGCCCCAATGACTTCATTCACTCAATCCTCCTTTGTAGAGGAAGTCAGCGGGTGTCTCCCCACTCCTGGGGCCCAAGAAGGATGGAGAAGTGGCACCCGAGGAGCAGTTCTCAGGAGAGGGCTATGGTTCATGGGGGAAATGATGGGAGCTGAATTGGGAGCAGGCCATGGGGGGGGCTGCAATGCCAGGCTAAATTTACAACATGACGTTACAGGCTGCATATAGATCATAAGATGGTTACTATAGTGAAGCAGATTAACATATCTCTATCTAACATAGTTACACATGTTTTGTTGCAAGAGCAGCTAAAATCTACTTATTCAACAAAAACCCCCAATAAATGCAATTGTATTAACAAAGTCCCCATATTGCACTTTTCCTCTCTAGACTTGCTCATCCTACACTCTTTCCATAAGTGAACAGCACCCTTAGGAGCAGCCAGAGGTAGGCTGAACCCGCCACTGCCATTTCCACCTGTGCAAGCTCAGATAAGTCACTCACTCCCCAGCAATGAGGTGGTGGAGGTCCAAGGAGAGGCCTGGGGAGGAAGGTCTGCTGAGCACACCCCGCCTCCCACCCCCAACCCCAGCAGGCGGCACGATGCCAGGCACCTGAGGGCAGGTGTGCACAAGGAAAATAAGGATGACAGTGTTAGCTGACGCCTGCAAATCTCAGGACAAAGTTGCCCCCCGGCATCTCTCCATGTGGAACAAGCACACACACCCAGTGACAGGGATGGGGTGATACCCCAGGACGCCAGAGCTCCCAGGGTGATGTGACATGTCTCCCTTGTGGCTCCTGGCTGGGTTGGGAACTCGGCCCATAGTCCCCTCCTGGGTCTGACAGAAAGCAGTGGAGATGGGGTCCAGAGCAGAGAGGTTGCATCAAACAAGAGCACAGGCGGCCTGCACCACATCCTGAGAGTCAACTGCCCTCGGCAATCAGAGCTGGTGTGGGGCAGTTCCAGGATGGGGACAAACAGCAGCTTTGCCCATACTGGGGGATGCAGGGAGTGCAGAAAATGAACGTGAGGTTGGAAACTCTTCAATCCTGGTGCAATTAATATTGCAAAAGACTTACACAGGCTAGAGCCACTGAGTGGCCAAGAGGCAATAGAGTGGCCCGACACTCTTGGGCCACGCCAAAGTCATGGGCGTGGATGCCAGTGAGTGAGACCCCAGTGTGTGTCAGGCTCCAGACTCCAGACAGCTCTACCCCTGCGCTCCTCACCAGGCCTTCCCGAGGGCTCACAGCCAGAGACACAGCTCCCACCGCCAGTGTGACTGTCCCCTGCATGTCCCTCCTGAGGCCCTCAGAGAACTCATCACGGGCCTTAGTGGCTGGGTCAGCCTCTGTATTTCACCTGTGGAGGCTATGGGTCTCCCCTCCCCCAGAACGTAAGCTGCTGTGGGCAAAGACCTTGCCACCCCTTGTCCTCATGGGGACCCAGATCCTCGCAGCGCACAAGGTGGCCCTCAAAGGTGCACTGTCATTGTTTGTCATCAGGCTGAGCTTCTTGTTTACAGAGGAGGAAACTGAAGCACAAAAACCATTTCATTAACTTGCCTGAGGTCACAGACCTCATAGAAGGCAGAGCTGGAGGGTAAGCCCCATAGACCTGAGCCTGGACCCTGCTGCCCTCTGGAGCTTACAGCTACAGCAGCAAGGCCCAGTGGAATACAACATGCACGCCACGTGTAATTTCACAGTTTCACTAGCCACATTTTAAAAGGTAAAAAGAAGATGAAATTAATAATACATTTCATTTAGCCCAATATATACAAAATAGCATTATTTTGAAGTAAAATTCATGTGAAAATTATTACTAAGATATTTTACATTCCGTTTTTTTCATACGTCTTCAAGCCCAGGAGTGCATTTTATTTATTTATTTATTTATTTATTTATTTATTTTGAGATGGAGTTTCGCTCTTGTCACCCAGGCTGGAGTGCAATGGCCCAATCTTGGCTCATTACAACCTCCGCCTCCCGGGTTTGAGCTATTCTCCTGCCTCAGCCTCCCGAGTAGTTGGGATTACAGGCGTGTGCCACCATGCCCAGCTAATTTTTGTATTTTCAGTAGAGATGGGGTTTCACCATGTTGGCCAGGCTGGTCTTGAACTCCTGACCTCAGGTGATCCACCCTCCTCAGCCTCCCAAAGTGCTGGGATTACAGGCGTGAGCCACCGCGCCTGGCCAGGGTGTATTTTTCACTCACAGTCCATCTCAGTCCACAGGAGCCGCATTGCAGTGCTCAATAGCCCCTACCGGCGAGTGGCTACTGGAATGGGACAGCTCAGCTCCAGGAGGTCCCCTGGTGGCCTCAGGACAAGTGTATGAGTCACCTGGCATTAGGAAACTCATTCACAATCACAATGACCATGACTTCCACAAGTAACACCAGCAGCAGCACCGGCTGACAAACACCCACTGCACGCAGACGCCACTGAGCCTGTTTTGGTTTTGGTCTACATCCAAAACCAACCCCAAGAGATAGGGACATTCTCTTTATTTCACAAAAGAAGGAAGTGAAGCTCAGAAAGATGAAGGAACGAGCACTCGATCACAGAGCTAGCAGGGTGGAGTTCGGAAATTAAGTCAATAGCAGTGATTACTTATTGCACACCTGCTCTGTGCCAATGCCCAAGGCTGACAGAGGAGGAGAAACCCCACAGGCAGGGTTCCTGCCCTCATAGTGCTTGATTCTAGCTTCTGGGGAGGGGAAATGAGAATAAAATCATTTCAGATCATGATGATTCTCAAAAGCAAACAGGGTACTGATGGGAACCAGGGGCACAGCCGCTATCTGGGACAGTCAAAGACCTCCCCAAGGAGGAGAAATTTAGGCTGAGACATTGTGATGGTTAATATTGAGTGTCAACTTGATTGGTGAAGGATGCAAAGTATTGTTCCTGGGTGTGTCTGTGAGGGTGTTCCCAAAAGAGATTAACAATTGAGTCAGTGGACTGGGAGAGGCAGACCCACCCTCAGTGTGGGTGGGCACCATCTAATCGGCTGCCAGCGTGGCTAGAATAAAGCAGGCAGGAGAAGATGGAAGAGCAAACTTGCTGAGTCTTCTGGCCCCATCTTTCTCCCATGCTGGATGCTTCCTGCCCTCGGACATCAGACTGCAAGTTCTTCAGCTTTTGGACTCTTGGACCTACACCAGTGGTTTGCCAGGGGCTCTAAGGCCTTTGGCCACAGGCTGAAGGCTGTGCTGTTGGATTCTGTACTTTTGAGGTTTTGGGATTCAGACTGATCCGCCACTGGTTTCTTTGCTCCTCAACTTGCAGACAGCCCATCGTGAGACTTTACCTTGTGATCGGTGAGTCAATTCTCCTTAATAAACTCCTTTTCATATACACATATATCCGATTAGTTCTGTCTCTCTAGAGAACCCTGACTAATACAGACGTGAGGGATGAAAAGAAGCCAGTCTGGGCCAGGGTAGGGATGAACATTCCAGGCAGCAAGCAGCTCACACAAGCGCTCTGAGCAGCAAGAATCCAGCATGTTTCTGCAACCGAAAGAAAGGCAGCCAGGGCTCCCTGCGCTGTGCCAGCTGCCTCTCTGGGGCACTCGGCTGGCTCCCGCATCGTCCCTCCTGCCTCGGGGTGCTCCCATGCTCTTGCTTGGAAAATGAGGAGCCGACAACCATTCTGCAGGTTTCAAGGACAAGTCAAGGCTGGGAGCCCCCAGCACGATGCTGATCATGGGAGGCTGAACTGATGCATTAGTGAGCAGGGGAGGAGAGGGTGGAAGAGCCTGCAGAATAGGACCTGAGCAGCCAAAGCCCTGGGAAGAAAATGTTAACACCCTGAGCACTGCTTCCAACACCAGCCGCAAAGGTGAGAACGACCCCAATGTCCATCCACAGATGAATAGACCATTGTGTTGTATACGCACCATGGAATACTACTCCGCCATGAAGAAGAAGGAAGCAATGACACTTGATGACACTTGCTATAACATGGGTGAACCCTGAAAATATCAGGCTAAGTGGAAGAAGCCAGCCACATACGATCTGGTTCTACATCTGTGAAATATCCAGAACAGGCAAATCCAAGGAGACAGAGGGCAGATGGATGGATGCCGGGGCTGGGAGAGGGGAAGTGAGGAATGACTGCCCATGGGCACAGGGTTTGTTCCGGAGGGAGGAAAATGTTTTGCAGCTAGATTGAGGTGACAGTTGCACAACATCGTGAATGCAGTAAATGCCACCGAATTGTACCATTGAAAACGGTTTACAGTAAATGAATTTCACCTCAATTTTTTTAAGAAAAAGAAGGGGAAAAAGAATTGCTTCAATGGAAGACACAGGTTGTGATCTCATTCAATACAGTCCCATGTCAGAACAAGCAGAGAGGGGTGACCAGCCACCAGATGCAACAGGATAGGGTGAGAGAAGACAGGAGACAGAAGCTCCAAGGGTAAAAGATAGTGGAAAGCTACTTACCAGCTCACTCCTTGCCTCCACTGTCAACTCCTCAGAGTCCTCATGGAAGGAAACCCTGTAGTGATGTGTCCCACCCCCTCCAGTGCTGTGGAGGGACCCGGGTCAGTCCAGGCTCCTGACTCAAAATGCAGCCAAGGGAGAAGCTCAGAGGCCAGCACACCGAGCCAGCGCCTCCCTCTGACCTGGCAGGCATAAGGGTATTTCTGCCACAATGAGCACCCACTGGCAGTCCCTGGCTGGTGCACACAGAACCCCTTTCATTCCTTAAAGTGGCCCTTCAGCCAGTCTAAGCCACGGTGGGAGACAGGAGAGCAGGCAGCCTGTACCCAGGTCCTCCCAGGCCAGTTGGGAGTTTTAGGATGTGCAGTGGGTCCTGAGGATGCTTGCAAGCCCTGGAAAGGATAAAGGGGCCACCTCAGACCACACAGAGGGGAACAGGCTGACCTAACACAAGTGGGCGGTGGTGCCCAACAAAGGGACCCGCCACTGCAGCTGCTGTCCACGGCGTGATCCTAGACTAGGCCTTTCACCTCCGTTCTTTAGTCTCATCCTCACAACCGAGGGATGTGCAGGGACCAGACTGGGGTGATCCCCATTTCCCAAATGAGGAACCTGAGTTGCAGAGGGTTCAGGGGGCTGCAGACAATGGGACAAGAATAGCCGGTAAATGGCAGAGCCGGTGCTCAAACATAAGTCTGATGTCAAAGCCTTCTCTGCTAAATTGTGATGCCACTAACATTTGTTTTATTCCACAAAACTCCCACAAGACAGCACATGGCATCAGTGAAGAATGTGGGCTGCAGGTGAGGATGATAGAGAGTTCTAGAGGTGGATGGTAGCGCTCGTTGCTCAACAGTGTGGATGTACTTCATGCCACTGAATTGCACACTTAGAAATGGTTAATATATTAACCATGATTAAATATTTTAATATATTTAGTACATTAACCATGATGAAAAAATATTTTAAAAAATGATCAGGTGCTAGGCCATCAAGGAATTGTCAACAAATTTTTGAAAATAGATATCACACACATTCTCTTAACATGGTAAAATTAAATTAGAAGCTAATAAAAATATAAATCTCCCTGCTCCTGTCCCCTCCCCCACAAAAGAACATGGGCTTCTTGGCTTCAAATCCCTGCTCTGGAACATACTCGCTTTATAATCCCTGGCGAGCTTCAGAGCCCCTCTATGCGCATCTATAAAATAGAAATGCAGGTGTGCGCCTCCCTCTGGGACTGAATGGGTTCAGTCAGACCAGGGACAGCACAGACCAGCGGGAGGCAAACTCCTCCTGGAAAAGGCCAGGGAGTAAATGTCTTTGGCTTCCCAGATGTCTCCCCCAGCTGCTCAGTTCTGCCAGTCTGGCACAAATGCAGCCACAGACCATACATACACAAATGGGCGTGGCTGTGTTCTAATAAAACTTTATTTACAAAAGCCCCTGGCATAGATCCTGGCACTTGCTAAGTGCCATTCACACATGTTAACTGTTATAATGAAGAAAAACAGCCTTTCTGTCCATTCACCTCTACAGACTTATGAAAGGCATAACACTTCGGGTTGCAGTTCTGAAAACCAATACTAACATCAAAGGCAGGAGGGATGCCCCCGGCCCCACTGGGGAGCTGCCCCTCCCACACTCTGAACTGCCTCTAGGTGCTTTCACCACGGGCCCTTTCTCCTCTACTTTCCAGTATGAGGTTGGTGCAAAAGTAATGGCAAAAACCGTGATTATTTTTGCATCTAATAGTGACTGTGGCCACTCCCTGCAAGCGCTCCTGCGTCCCACCTCCTACAGGGCTTCCTAACCCAGCCCTTCACAGCATGAGGCCCCCACAGCTCCTTCCCTGTCCCTGCCCCTCCCTGCTGATCCACAGCCCCCTGCACAGTCCACCTGGCCTCAGAAAAGAATGAGCAAAGAAAATACTTTCTGAAGGCATCCAGGGCTAGAGTCAGGATGCTGTGGTCCCACCAGTGGCCAGCCCTGGGGTCACTGTCTGAGCCTCCACTTACAGCAACACCAATGGCCACTACGGACATGACGGTGACGTGCTTCCATTAAAAGCACCAAGAAGGGGCCAGGTGCGGTGGCTCACGCCTGTACTCCCAGCACGTTGGGAGGCCGAGGCGGGCAAATCACCTGAGGTGAGGTCAGGAGTTTGAGACCAGCCTGGTTAACATGGTGAAACCCTGTCTCTACTAAAAATACAAAAAAATTAGCCAGGCATGGTGGCAGGTGCCTGTAATCCCAGCTACTTGGGAGGCTGAGGCAGGAGAATCACTTGAACCCAGGAGGCGGATGTTGCAGTGAGCCAAAATTGTGCCATTGCACTCCAGCCTGGGCAACAAGAAAGAAACTCTGTCAAAAAAAAAAAAAAAACAAAAGCACCAAGAAGGCTTTCTGATTTATTCTCATGCCATCCCTGTTGGAAGGTCATTTTCCGTTACAAGGGTCAGTGTGCTCCGTGGGGCAACATCTGAGGCCCGGAGTCAGGGAGCCCCACTTCTGAGTCCCCCAGTGTCCTGAGACTTGGCTCCCTCTGCGGTGTTCACGTAGACCTCACCCTGTGTGGTGCCCGTGCAGCAAAGATGAGATAACCCGAGGCAGAAGCGGGAGGTTAAGTGCTGATATTTCCTTACGTGGCCCTCATTCCCCTTATCCAGACAAAAGAAGTGAGTACAGGGGCTAAGCGACTTGCCCAACGTCACACTGTCAGTAGGGTGGGAGCTGGTCCTCAACACAGTTCCACTGACCTAGCCTGGTCCCTCATACCTCTCAGCCCACCACAATGGTGGCCACTGCTCTGATCATTAGTTTCATCGTTAGCTAAAGAAGGACCCCAAATGTGGGCGTGGGAGTTTGCTCTGTGACAAGGCTAAATGAATAAATATTCTCATAGCTTCTTCACCATCATCACCCCTCATAAATCGGCTACCTTTGCTCAGAGACCACACCTCTGATCCCCACACCAACCTAGCCAAAGAGATGCCACTGCCCCCTTTTATACAGGAAATGGAGGCTCAGAGAGGTTAATCTTCTTACCCAAGATCACACAATGACAAGGGATAAACTACAGGCAAGTCCAACTTCAGAAGCCCTGCAGGTTGATCCCGTCGCCACTATGGGGAGAGGAGTGACCCAGCAGAACTGGGACACACTGCAGTCATCCTCAGACTCCCCAAGGGAAGCCCCCATTTAGTTAGAAAGCCCAGCAGGGAGGCACTTGCCCAGTCACAGCTAAGTGAGGCAGGGCCTGAATGGGAACCCTGGCAGTCTGGCTCAGAGCCTGAAGAGACACAAGGTCCCACCCTCGAGGAGTTAAACAGATAGCCATAGCCTGCAGTGGCAATTGCTGCTGGCTTAAGCATTAGAAATTGTTCCCTCTGCCACTTGTCCCACAGCCCAATCCACCCTTACACACCAAGAGAGTGGGGCCACGGTCCTGCCACTTCCTCGTGCAGCCTTCCTGGCCGGGCCGCCTGTCCCCATCTCTCCCTGCACATGACTCTCTGACAGCACGGGCAGTGTCTGTGTGGTCACCTCCCCAGGAAAACAGAGCCCCCACCAAAGTGGGACCATCTCTCAGGCCACCTCACTGTGTCCCGTGTCCCCAGTCTCTAGTGGGCAAGATCTGCTTAAGGAAAAACTACACAAACAAATATCACACTGTATGTGTATAAAAAGTTCTGAGAACACAAATGAGAGAAGCACACAATCTTTCCGGCAGAGTCTGGGAAAATCACACTGATGGAACCTGAGAGCTGGGCTTAATCATGAATCGTTCTCCACATACTCAAGGGAGGGGAGCATTGTTTTAGACGGGGGGAAAAAGAAGCATGTGGGGGAAAAACCCAAGTGTGAAGACATGTCTACGCAACACAGAGGCAGCAGGCGTGGCTGAGACATTGTGGCAGGGAGAGGGGAGAGATGGGCTGGGGAAGCCAGGATGTGAGGAACTGGTGAGGTCGTGGGGGCGGTGGGAGTCATGGGTGGTTTGTGAAGGAGGAAAATGCCAGTCATCTCATGCATTGGGTCCACACTGTGAGCCTTTGGGAGCTGCTTACTGCAAAAAGACTACAGATAAGAATTACCCCAGACTCCAGAGCAGAGATGTTCAGCATTACAGACCGGTACACACCTCAACAGCAACAAAAATCTTGCAACAAGCCACAAGCCTCCACTGTGCGCTACAACATCAGTCTCTGCAGAGCTGCAGGTCTCCAGGAGGGTGGAAATGCCCTGCTAGGAAAGGATTCTAATTCCCCCACTCTATCCCCGAATGTGTCCCTCCTCCTTGCCCATCCCAGCTAGTGGAGCCACCACCCACCAGCCCAGGGTGCTACAGGAAGGGCCAGCTCCTCCCATGGCCTCGCCCTCCACACCAGCGGGTTACTCTGACTTAGGGGGGATGGCCCTGCTATGCCCAACATTCACTGTGGGTGGAGCCCTGGGAGAGGGGCTGAGGCTGCCCCTGCCCTCCTCCCCACCTCCTCCTCTGCTCTGGAAGGCAGAGGCCATCAGATGGTAACAGCATCCTGGGACAGCGCCACGTTCCAGGAAAGCTCAGGAGGGGCAAGGGGATCTCCCTGACTACAAGGAGCTGGCCAGCTGAAGTTAGGGCGTTCGCGGAGAGAGCACAGCACTGGCAAAGGCCAAGGACAGTGTGCCTGCGAGTGTGCGCAGATGGGGCGGGCGGCGGAGGAGGGCTGGCGGTTAGATACAGTATCGCTGGAGCTCAGAGAGCCGGGCAGAGGCTGGCGGAGAGCCGAGGCTGGCCCAGCCTTCAGGAGACCGGCGAGCTGGGGTGTGTGGGAGCGGGATGCTTCTAAGGCGAAAAGAAGCGCCAGCCTCGTAAGCGGCCTCTATCTGGGCTGCCCAGGCCGGATGCTCAGGAGCCCACAGCAGGGGGGATGGAGCGAAGGACCGAGGGGCTGGGAGGCGAGGCCGCAGCGCACTGACGCAGGCCAGCGAGGCCGCTGGCCCCGACGCAGGGCGCCCGGCAAGGTGTCTGGCACCACGAGAGTCAATCCTTGCGCGCCATCTCCGGAGGCCAGTGCGCCCAGGGCGCGCCGGCCCGGCAGGAGGGTGGGTGCCAGCCTTTCTTCCCATCTCTCGAGCCTCCTCCCCGGCGCCCACGTGGGCGGAGCAGCGCGAGGGTGTGCGTGGCAGGGGCCGCGGCGGCGTGTGCCGTGCGTGGGGTGGGGTGCGGGCTGGGCGGCCTCGCCTTCGGGCCCCGCGCCGCCGGGGCGCGGCCCCCAGCTCCATCTTCTTTGCCACCTGGGCGGAGATCTGGGGGACTGTGACCTACCCTGCGGAAGACACGGAGGGGACGGGCCGGCCACACCCCCCGCGCCACTCCGGCAGGCACCGGGTGGGTCCCCCTCCCGCTCCTTGGCTTGAGGGCGGAATCCGGAGAAGAGTGGAAATAGGGGTGGCGTGAAGGAGAGCTGGGGGCTGGGGGCGGGACCGGGAGGGGGTGTTGGGGGAAGCGACGCAGCGGCTGGGAGATTTTGCAAGGGGGTCTGAAGAGGAGTGGGGGATGGGTATGGAAGGGTGGGGGACCACTGAGGTGGGATGCGAGAGTGGAAGGGGGACCCAGAGGGGGCGCGATGGCCGGAGGAGGGGGAGATGGACGATGGGGCGGGGCGGCACCGGTCGCCGCGTCCCTTGCCGCCAGGTCCGCCCCTCGGTCGCCGGGTCCACGGGTTCCCTCTGGCCAGCGCTCGCCTCCCGCCCCCCGGCGCACCTGTACCCACCTGCTCGGCGCTCAGGCCCGAGCCGGGCAGCAGCAGCGGACGTAGCGAGCGCAGCCCCGCGCCGCATCCTCCGGCCGCCCCCTCCCCGCTGCGAGCTTACGCCGCTGTCGCCGCCGCCACCGCCTTAAAAAGGACAAAACGGAACAGAAAATGAATGCATGCACAAAAAAAATCGTAAAAAGCAATTGAGGAGGATGGCAGTCGCGCGCGCGGCTCGGCGGGGCGGGAGTCGAGAGGCCGCGGCACTGGTGGCCGCGATCCGGGCAGGCGGCCGGCGCGTGCCGCACGCGGGTGGCTGCAGCTCCCTCGGTCGCCCGCGCCCGGCTCAGGCACGGCACCGCCCCTCCCCCCGGGGAGCCCCTCCGATTGGTCTGTCTTCCTGCCAGTCAGGCAGGAGGGCGCGGCGCCCGCCCCGCCCCGCCCCCGCCCCCGCCCCGGGCAGATGCCGGGAGCTCTCCTGCCGCCGTGGGAGGGGGAGCTGAGCTGCCGGAGCGTGCGCACTGGGCCAGCGGGCGGCCGGGGCAGGGCTGGGGTCCCGGCGCTGAGCGCCCCCAGCCGCGCCGGGCAGCCTGGCGCCTCGCTGAGTCGGAGCAACCCCCGGCAGGAGCTTTCAGGCTCTGGTCAAGCCTCGGGACCCGGGAAGCTATCCCTGCCCTCGGGGGCTCGAGCCTGGAGTGGGGCTTGCAGGTAAAGCGGGGCTGGGGCCGTCCTGGCCGTCAGTGGTCAGGAAGACGCAGCGACCCCGGAGATCCATGTCCCCCTCTGTACGCATGAGAGGTCTGAAGGTCAGAGGTTAAAGCGCACGCTAACGGCGGCAGAGCCAGCAAGCGGCAGAGCTGGGCGGATGCCAGCCTAGGGAGCCTCCCCCCACCAGCCCAGGCTGCCCCCAGCAAAGCCACATCAGCAGGTCATAGCCAAATGAAAGATGTGCTGTCGAGCTGAGACTTGGGAGGGGCAGGACTCAGCTGGGCAAACATTCATTCAGTGTCATTAGACAAATATTTATTGAGCACTTGCTGTGTGCCAGGTAGTCACTAAGATGTGGGGACACCACAGTGAACAGCAGAGAGGAAGCGGCTGCCCACCAGAGCTTACTTTCTAGCAAGGAGAAGGCAGGGAAGAGCACCCACCAAAGGGAGCAGCATGGGGGAACACCCTGACTGCTGTGAACGGGACATATTTGAGAATCTGATAAAAGTATCTGGGCCACAGAATGGTGAGAGGGAGTGTGTGGAAGATGGGGGGCGGGGGCACAGAGGGGCAGCACTTGCAAGGTCTTGCAGGCTGGCGAGAGTTTGGAGACTGTCTCACCTGGAAGGTGGTCCCATGGACCATTGTCAGATTGATATTTTTTAAAGTGCATCAGTCAGGATAAGCTATGTTAGCCACAGTAACAACCAAACCCAAATCTCCCTGGTGTGTCTTGCCCACATCATACATCCTGCCTCGGTCAATGGGGCTCTGTTCATCAGAGTGGTTGGGAGCCCAAGCTGCTGGGGCTGTCTGCCAGCCGAGCACCCACATGGTGCAGCAATGTGAATGAAAGGTGACAATTATGCTGGCTTTGAAGGCTTCCTCCCCGAAGGGACTCTCGTCACTTCTGCTCACGTTTCATTGGCCAGAGCAGGTCACATGGCCATGCCTAACTTCAGAAGAGGAGGAAGTGCAGACCTCTAAGGTTCAGGGGGTCAGGAGGAACTAGGATATCTGTGAGCAGATGTGAGACTATCTTTAGCAGATGCCCTGGCTGCCCTTGGGGCATGGGCTGAAGTAGTCAAGAGTGGGGACAAGGAGGCAGTGTGGGGGCCTCCTCCACGCTGATACAGTGAAGTATCAGCGCATCAGAGCAATCTGGGTGCAGAATTGGCAGGACATGCTCACGGCTTGGACGTGGACAGGAGGGAGGGAGGGACAATCAGGGACAATGCCCAGGTATCCTGGGATGAATTGTGTTCCCCCCACCCACCCCCTCAAAAAAAAAAACTCGTATGTTGAAGTGCTCACTCCCAGGACCTCAGAATATGACCTTACTTGGAAATAGGGTCGTTGTAGATGTAATTAGCTAAGATGAGGTCACAATGGAGTAGGTTGGATTCCTAATCCAGTCTGCCTTCTATCCTTATAAAAGGGGGAAATTGGATACAGAGACACAAGCAACGGGAGCATGCCGTGTGAACATGAAGGTAGAGATCAGGTCGAGGCATCAGCTAGCCAAGGAAATGCCAAAGATGGGAGCAAACCCCCGGAAGCCATGAGAGCGGCCTGGGACAGATCCTTCCCCAGGGCTTCATAGGGAGCGTGGACCAGCTGACACCTGATTTCAGACTTCTAGCTTACAGAAGTGAGACAGTGCATTTCTGTTGTTTAAAAAGCCCAGCTGGTGGTACTTCGATACATGTGTGTAGATTAAGGGTTATGTCTGGCTGTGAGTAATCGGGATCACAACTAGACAGCGGCTTAAACAGATTTTTATTCTCTCTTAACAAGAAATGCAAAGGCAAGCTGTTCCTCACTTTATCCTCTCTCACTCCTTCACCCTCAGGATGTAATTTTCTTTTTCAAAATGTCTTCTACGTGGCAAGTTGGCTGCCTCTTCCCAGACATCTCATCACTATTCCAGTCAAGAAGGGGAAGAACAAAAGGCATACCCACACTAGGTCAGCTCCACTTCACCGCTTTCCTGAAAACTCTCCCCAGAGAGCTCTGTTTTATCTCATTGGCTGGGACGGTGTCTCATGGCCAGCCCTGGCTTCAGAGGAGGCTGGGAGTATTGTTATTATTTTTTAAGATGGTGTCTTGCTCTGTTGTCCAGTTTGGAGTGCAATGGCGTGATCTTGGCTCATTGCAACCTCCGCCTCCCGGGTTCAAGTGATTCTCCTGCCTCAGCCTCTCAAGTAGCTGGGATTACAGGCCCACACCACCACACCCAGCTAATTTTTGTATTTTTAGTAGAGATGGAGTTTTGCCATGTTGGCCAAGCTGGTCTCAAACTGCAGACCTCAGGTGATCCACCCACCTTGGCCTCCCAAAATGCTGGAATTACAGGTGTGAGCCACCACGCCCGGCCAAGGATGTTTTTTTTTAATTGAAGGTACATTGCTGCCTGAAACAAAGTCAGGGTTCCATTAGTGAGGAAAAGAAGAAGAATGACTTTTGAACAGGCAACTATTGGTTAGTAGATCCAGGTTTTGTAAAACCTGGAGCCGCTACAGTCCCCCTTAGGAAGAAGAATTTAAAAACCCCAGTACAAGACTTGGTACAAAAATGAAAACTTATTTAGAATAATAACAAATCACAACAAATTTTAAAATATTTTAAGTTGACAAATATCAAAAACGTTGCGAAAACATTATAAAACTAATATAAAATTGTATTAATTGGATACCTGATATCCACCTTTATAATATCTTCTTTTTTTTACATTTTTTGCTTCTTCGTCATTTTTGATTACCTCTTTGGAAGCCAATGATTTTATAATATTTTTCCTGTGGAGAAAATAGATAATTCAGAGTACTCCTATAATGATGGGAACAAATTTTAATGTTGGTTGGAAAACTTTGTCAGCCTCATAACTCATTATTGGTAATCTCAGGTAGTTTTTTGAGATTGTTTTCAAATTTGGAGAAAGGTCTATCATTCTTTCATAAATGAATGCTAACACTTGGAAGAATTCTATTTCTTCCAGGCTTCTTACTGGGATTTTATTAATTTTCATGATGAAAAGCAACTGAACAATTGCAAACCAGAACATGACTCGACTAACACCTCCTAAACCTCAGTGCTGGCGCCCATCACCTGGAGAGGCATAGGAGAAATGCAGATGCCCAGGCTCCTCCACATCCCACTGAATTGAAGCCTCAGAGTAGCAGGGTCTAGGAATCAGCATTTTACTAAATGCCCCAGGTGACTCCTGCTGAGCAGTCCTGGGCTATGCGACACCCCCAGTTGCCTTGTGACTCTGAGGGTCTGCAAATCCAGACCTCTCCTATTGGAAGAATGACATTTTCAACCCTTATGTCTCTTCCTCTGCCCATAGACTCCTGGTGCCAGGCACCATAGCACACATTGCCAGTGCCATGGCAAGGAGGGCACTCCTGGGAGCCATTAGCCTGTTCAGGGAGCAACAACTCGACCCACACAGACTGGCTCAGACCTACATAAACACACCCCACTAAACCCAAACCAAGGCATCCCCAACTCAATCCCCCTTCAGCTACATCCCCAAAATGCCCTTGGCCTCCGCAGCAGCTCCGAAGTGGGAGGAAGCATGATGAGGGCGGCATAGGGAAAGAGACAGAGGGTATTATGGGTTGGATTGTGTCCTCCAGAACTTGAGTGCTGAAGCCCTAACCCCCAGGAGCTCAGAATGTGACTGTATTTGGTGATAGGACCTTTAAAGAGGTCACTGAGCTTAAATGAGGTCTTTAGGGTGGGACCTAATGCAATATGCCTGGTGTCCTTATAAGAAGAGATTAAGACACAGAAGGAAGCCCCTGTGGAGACACAGTGAGAAGATGGCCATCTGCAAGCCAAGGAGAGGGGACTTGGAGGAAACCAACACCTTGGTCTCAGACTTGAAGCCTCCTGAACTGTGAAAAATAAGTTTCTGTTGTTAAAGCTCTTCAGTCTGTGGAACCCTGTCTTGGAAACCCTGGCAGCCAGCTTAGCCAGTTACAGCTAAAATATCTTGCTTTTGGAAAGTATTTCCAAACACAAGGCCACATGAACCCAGAGCTCTGGCTCTCCCAGGCCTTGGAAGGGTCTGTACTTAGCTTCACAAGGAATTCACCCCCGCTGCCACCACGTGGTCACTACATAACCCTCAGGACGACCTATGGGGCAGGGGGTCAGGTACCACCAAGATCTCCCTATTAGGGACGAGAGGTTGGGGCCCAGGGGCTCACTCACAGCAAGCAGCATGGAAGCCACGAGTCTTCCGAAGCCAAAGCTGCTTTCCCCGCCCCGTGTGCCCTGAGCCCACAAGTGGTAGGGAGGAAGTGCCCTGAGCCCTGGAAGTGGTAGAGAGGCAGGTTTCAGCTCCCTATAAAGACAAACATTCTCATCAGAGGGGCTCCTCTCTGGGAAGCTGTGAGCACCCAACACCTGTGATGGGCTGGTCACTTGCAAAGATGGTGGAAAGAAACTTCAGTTCCTGCTGCTCTTGCAGAGTAGAGTGTGGTCACCACCACCACTGCAGGGCTGGGCTGCTGGGATTAAATTCCAGCTGTGTCAGGTACCCATGGTGACCTTAGGCAAGTAAGTGAACCTTTAGTTTCCTTATCTGTAAGATTAATCTTTTAATCATAATAACTGCATAGGTTTGGGTGGGGATTCAGTGAGTGAATATATGTGACTCTGGGTTTGTTTCCTGGGCTGCCCTAATACAGTATCACAGACTGGGAGGCCTGAAACAACAGACATTTATTTTCTCACAGTTATGCCTGGCCAGAGTCCACAGTCAGGGTGTTGGCAGGGCTGTGCTTCCCCTAGAGGCTCTAGGAGAGGATCCTTCTTGGCCTCTTCCAGCTCCCGGTGGCTCCAGGACTTCCTTGGCTTGCGGCCGCATCACTCCAGTCTCTGCCTCTGTATTACACGGCTTCCTCCTCTTTGTGTGAGTGTCTTTTATAAGGATGTCATTGGATGGAGGACTCACCCAGATAACCCAGGAGGATCTCTTCTCAAGCTCCCTAACTTAATCATACCTGCAAAGACTCTTTTTCCAAATGAGTTCCCATATCACAGTTTCCAGGATGTGGACATACCTTTAGTTATTATGAATTATATGGTTATTTATCTACAGCTGTGATAATTCTAAAGGAGGAAGAGAAGTTGGTAGGAGACCATGTAACATGGAGATTGGCTTGGTCTGAGGGGCAGAGTCTTCCTTGAGGTGGTTAGCTTGAGTATTAGCTAGCTAGAAGAAGAGGAACAGAAACAATGTCCCAGGGCCAGTGAACAGCAGCATGAAGGCCCAGAGTTAGGATTTGACCTTCCACTTGAAAGGGAGCCACTGGGGGCTCTTGGGGCAGGGCGAGAGTGGCAGGATTAAAGGAGGCCTGTGAGCACGTGTGGAAGAGCAGCCTGACCTCACCAGCCCCGTGGAAGATCCCACCAAGACCGGTGCACATCTACTGTGCTGGCACTCTGCCTAGGCACCAGGAACACAGCAGGGAAACAGCTGTTTGTGCCCCCAAGGGCTCATGGGCCAGTGGGAGAGACAGAAGAGTACCTGGATCATTCTGATGGGGTAGCCCTGGGCTATAAAAGTGCAGAGGAAGGGGCCAGGTGCAGTGTCGCATGTCTATAATCCTAGTGCTTTGGGAGGCTGAGGCAGAAGGATCCCTTCAAACCAGGAGTTCAAGCCAGCCTGGGCAGCATAGCAAGACCTTGTCTCTACAAAAAAAAAAAAAAATTACAATTAATTAGCCAGATGTGGTGGTAAGTGCCTGTACTCTTAGCTATTTGGAAGGAGGTTGAGGTGGGAAATTCACTTGAGGCCAGGCCAGGAGTTCAACGCTGCAGTGAGTTAGGATCATGCGACTGTACTCCAATATGGGCAACAGAGTGAGACCGTGGCAAAAAAAAAAAAAAAAAAAATTGCAGAATAAGGACTGCTTAGGGAGTCCAGAGAGGCTTCCTAGAGGAGAAAACCCTTGAGCTGAGGTCAGACAATGAGAGCAGAAGCCATGCAGAGGGACCAGCATGTGCAAAGGGCTGGAAGCACGAGGACCATGCCATGAATTTCCCACCTGCGTCCCCGAGAGGGCAGACAAGGTTGGAGAGTCTGGCAAAGTCAGATCATGGGCAGCCCTGAAGGCCACACTGGAACATCTGCTGATGTGTGAATTTTGAACAGGGCACTGCACACTGAAGCTGGTGCAGCCTTTGCATGGAGGCTGATGGGAAGGTGGACACTAGAGGCTTTTGAACTGATCCAGATGAGGGAGGTCAAGGGCCAGAGCCAGGGCAGTTTGAGCCACAGTCCCAGAAGGACAGGCCAGGACTCTTTAAGTGGCGTTACTCTCCCCTCCACTGGGTGGTTGAAACTGATCCCCCTTGTAAGTCCTGCCTTCTGGGCAGTGGGCTGTGCTTCCAGGGCAAGAGGGAGGATGGCAATGATACTGAGAGCAAACATGGCCAAGCTTGAGCTGCAGCAGGCACTGATTTAAATACTTTCCAAGTTCATTGTGGGTTTTTCGTTTGTGTTGTTATTTGTTTGTTTGAGACAGGGTCTCTGTCACCCTGGCTGGAGTGCAGTGGCAGGATCACAGCTCACTGCAGCCTCAACTTCCCGGGCTCAGGTGATTCTCCCACCTCAGCCTCCCAAGTAGCTGGGACTACAGGTGTGCGCCGCTACACCTGGCTAATTTTTTGTAGAGACAGGGTTTCGCCATGCTGCCCTAGCTGGTCTCAAACTCCTGGGCTCAAATGATCTGCCCACCTCAGTCTCCCAAAGTGTTGGGATTACAGATGTGAGCCACTCTGGCTGGCCTCCAAGTCTTAGTCCTCACAACAGCCCTAGTTGGAGAGCTTGCTCAAGATCACACAACCAGTAGAGCCAGGGCTAGAGCCCAGACAGCCTGGCTCCAGGGGTAAATAAAAACTCATATTGTTAATAGCAATAACGTTGACTGAGCACATGCTGTGTGCCAGGTACTGGGCTGAGGTCCATATATATTAACTCATTTTAATCCCCACCCTACCCTTAGAAATTGAGGGATGTAGGTCGGGCATGGTGGCTCATGCCAGTAATCCCAGCATTCTGGGAGGCCAAGGCAAGTGGATCACCTGAGGTCAGGAGTCCAAGACCAGCCTGGCCAACATGGTGAAACCCTGTCTCTACTAAAAATACAAAAATTAGCCGGGGGTGATGGCGCGTGCCTGTAGTCCCAGCTACACGGGAGTCTGAGGTGGGAGAATCGCTTGAACCCTGGAGGTAGAGGCTGCAGTGAGCCGAGATCGTGCCATTGCACTCTAGCCTGGGGGACAGAGCAAGACTGTCTCAAATAAAAGAAAGAAAAAAAGAAATTGAGGGATGTGAAGGTTCAATAACTTGCCAAAGTTTACCCAGCCGGAAAGTGGTAGAGCCAGGATTCACACCAGTCAGCCCAGCTCGCAATATCTACTCCCCTCCTTTCATCTCCTATGCAGGAGGGACCCACTTCTGTGCTTCCGGGAAAGCTCCAGGCAAGCCCCTGAGGCAGAGGGACCCAGAAAAGCCAGGGCTAGGGGAGGAATAGGGAGTACCAGGCTTTGTTGTTGGCTCAGCATAAATTAGCTGTGTCCCTAGGACGAGTTCCTTCACCTCTCTGAGCCTCAGACTTCTCTCTGTCAAATAGAGATGGTGCCACACCCCACGCCTGCCAGGAAGTCTGGGACTGGAATCCTGCTTCCACCGCTCACTCCCTGCATCACCTGGAGCCCCCGCTCCCTCATCTGAGCACTGAAAGGAACAGAACCTACTTCATAGGCTACTTAGGCTGTTTCAGAAGATGACACTCATGGCGCACCTAAAACAGAGTTTGGCACATCCAATGTGCTCAGTTGGTGAACACTGCCAGCCTTCATGGCAGAGAATCTTCCCTCCTTCCATCCCTGCGCTAGTTCCATGTTCCAGAGGAGATAGAGGGAGCATAGGTAACTTGGCCATGTTCACTCACACAAAAAGTATCGGAAAACCACACCAAGTTCATATTCTCCATCAGTTCACTTTCAATTCCAAAAAGACAGGGATGAGAATTATGCCGAGTGAAAAAGACAGTATGATTCCATTTATATAACTTTATCAAAATGGCAAAATTATAGAGACAGAAAACAGATCCATGGTTGCCAGGACTTGGGGAAGGGAAGAGAGAAATGGCTGTGGCTATAAAAGCTGAGCCTTCTATAAAAGCTATAAAAGCTGTAGCTGAGGCTTCTTTGTTTAGAGCTGTTCTGTATCTTGACTGCGGTGCTGGGCACACAAACCTACACGTGATAAGAGACATAGCACTAAACATGCACACACAAGTTCATGTTAAACCAGAGATGTCTGAATAAAGGGGGATGGATATGGGATCTCTCTGAATTATTTCTTACAACTGCATGTGAATCTATAACTATCTCAAAAATTTTAAGACAGTGGTGCGCACTGTCCATCTTTTGGTGAACATGAAGGTAGCTGATCCAGGCTTTTGCACGGCATAAGGCTCCTCCCTTGGGCAGGGAGATGGGACCAGGGGCCTGTGGGATTTTCCTCCAGGAACAGGGTGGGTCTGGCCAAGGTGACTGTCACCTGTAATCCCAACATTTTGGGAGGCCGAGGTGGGTGGATCACCTGAAGTCAGGAGTTTGAGACCAGCCTGGCCAACATGGCAAAAGCCCATCTCTACTAAAAAAAAAAAAAAAAAAAAAAAATTAGCTGGGCATGGTGCCACACGCCTATAGTCCCAGCTACTAGGGAAGCTGAGGCAGGAGAATTGCTTGAACCCAGGAGGTGGAGGTTGCAGTGAGCCGAGATCATGCCATTGTACTCCAGCCTGAGTGACAGAGCAAGACTCTGTCTCAAAACAAACAAACAAACAAACAAACAAAAAAACAGTGTGGATCAGCCGTGAGGGCTGTGAGGCAGGCTGAGTCTCCAAGTTCTCCATCACAGACCAGCACAGGGAGAGTCTGGCCAGCGACAGGGTCCCTAGGCCTGGGCATTCTTCTTTCTTTTCTACCTTTCAATGAAAACAGCTTTCTGTGGGCTCTTTCTGTTTCCATGAATAATACATGTCATTGTAAAGAATTCAAACAGTACAGGCAGATATAAAGAAGAAACCAAAGGTCACCTTGAATCTTGCTAGCCAAGGGTAATCCCGCGAACACTCAGGTGACCCTCCCTTCGTGCTTCTGCTCATGAGCAGATACATGTGTGTAATTTTCCAGGAATGCGCTTATTTTATGCATGATGTTTTTATTATGGATACTTCCTCCTCCCCCTCCCATATCATATCCCCCACCAAATAGCTCATGTTAACAACCTAGCTTGTTTTATTTCACATTTTTTATATTTTTCTCCATAAGAATAAATAACTACATTCATATATACATACATACATATGGGGGGTTGGGGGTCATTGTTTTACAAAACGAATTCATGATAATCACATTTTCTGCTTCTCACTTTTCACACTCATCAACACCTCGTGCAAATTCCTGCCAGCATCTGGGGAAATCTCTAGACTGACAGGCTGAGGCCATCCCACAGTTCACAGAGCCTTTTCCTATGGGTTAATGTCCCTTTGTCATTACCAACCGACAGCCATGGGCGCTAAATATTCTTACACAAACCCTCAGATAGCAGGACTACTTTTATTTCTATGGGATGGATTCCCAGGAGTGGAATGGCTGGTTGGAAGGTCTAAACTTTTGTCTGTCTGTTTGTTTGTTTTTTGTTTGTTTGAGACAGAGTCTTGCTCTGTCACCCAGGCTGGAGTGCAATCTCAGCTCACTGCAACCTCCGCCTCGCAGGTTCAGGCGATTCTCATGCCTCGGCCTCCTAAGTACCTGGGATTACAAGCACACACCACCACCCCCAGCTAACTTTTCTATTTTTAGTAGAGATAGGGTTTCGCCATGTTAGCCAGGCTGATCTTGAACTCCTGACCTCAAGTGACCCACCCACCTTGGCCTCCCAAAGTGCTGGGATTACAGGTGTGAGCCACCGTGCCTGGCCAAAAAGGTCTAACCTTTTTAATTTACATTTTTAAATTAGCAAATAATAATTGTCCATATTCAGGAGGTACATAGTGATTTTGTGATACATATAATGTGCAGTGATCAGATCATGGCAATTAGCATAGCCATCATCTCAGATGTTTATCATTTCTTTGTGTTGGGACCATTCAAAATCCTCCTTTTTGAAAAAAATAAAATAAAAATAGGGGCCAGGTGTGGTGGCTCATGCCTGTAATCCCAGCACTTTGGGAGGTCAAGGCAGGTGGATCACCTGAGGTCAGGAGTTCGAGACCAGCCTGGCCAATATGGTGAAACCCAGTCTCTACTAAAAATACAAAAAAAAAAAAAAAAAAAATTAGCCAGGCGTGGTGGCGGGTGCCTATAATCCCAGCTACTTGGGAGACTGAGGCAGGAGAATGGCTTGAACCCGGGAGGCAGAGGTTGCAGTGAGCAAAGATCGCGCCATTACACTCCAGCCTGGGCAACAAGAGCGAAACTTCGTCTCAAAAAAAAAAAAAAAAATAGGCAGATTACCTTCCCAAGACTCTAACACACACCCTTCTGCTTCAATGTATTTCCTGCATTGCCAACCTCAACCCACGCTGCAGCATGTGTAAATGTTGTCACTCTGATGGGTGCAAAGTGATGTGTCCTTGTTATTTTAATTTGCGTTTCTCTGTCCATTGGTGGATTTGAGCACCTGGTTTTATATATATTTATATATATATATATATATATATATATATATATATATATATATATATACACACACACACACACACACACATTATGTATATATTGCATATATATACACACACACACACACACACATATATATATGATTTGCTCTTTTAGATTTGATTTGCACTTTTGAGGTTTGTCTATTCTCTATCCCTTGCCCACTTTTAGTAGGGACATTTTGTCTTGTGCGCTGTTACGGCTCTCAGCATAACAATGACCCCTTTGCCTGTCGCCAACGTTCAAGCACTTTTTCCAGATCCAGCATTCATCTTTTGACTTCATGGCATCTTTTACCACACAACGACAAACTTTTTACATAGTTAAATATGTGTCTCGCTTTTTAAAAATAGCTTCTGAGTTTTATTCTTGGTAGAAAGTCTCCAGGACACATAGACTCATTATGCAGCTTCCAAGATTTTCTTGAGAGTACAAGAAAACTTAGTTCCTTCGGGCAGTTATTATACAGTGCTTATTTGCAGTACAAAAAAATTTAAAAGTGGTTTGGCTGGCAAATATGACCTTATAAAATACCTTTAAGTAAAGAAGTTTTCTATTATTTTAAAAATGTTTTTAGTGTGAAATGTTGTAAGAATGCCAAATATCATATATATAACACATATATGTTCTCTAAAGCACAATAAGAGGATTTCATTTGCATCCATATACTGCCTCTAAGGAAAGGCACGTGTACACACACACACAAACACACACACACACACACACACACACACACACACAAAAGGCAGTGGAATTATACCATGTGCAAGTGGTGCTGGAATGACCCAAGAAAGCTTTGAATGATCATAGTCACGTCTATATTCACCGCCCCTCCAGATAGTGAGAAGTTCTGATTATCCCTTTTGAGAATAGGGGCGGGTCAGAGAACAGGATCCAATCACTAATTGTTGAATTGTGATGTCTGTGCTATCTGGGACATGACTTCAAGTCTTTACTATATTCAAAGAAGAGAAAATAATAAACAAGCATAGATGGACCCACCATTCAACTTAACACATAGAGTATTAGCCATATCCCACACATCTCTCCCCATTTGGTAACCATTATCTTCAAGCATGTGTTTATCTTTTCCCAGTTTCATATACATGGTATATACATCTTCTTCCACATTTTACTTTTTAATTAATATCAAGTTTTAAAATCAATTTTGATATCTGCGGCTGAACTGGGAATGGACATCAGTTTTATTCATTTTACACCGTGCCACTATGGACCCCCTCCATTCTTATCTTCTGATGCACATGCATAAGATATTTCTAGAGCAGAGATATTCAACTGCAAAACTATCGACCTTTGGGCAGGATAATTTATAAAGGGGGGCTGTCCTGTGCATTGTACAATGCATAGCAGTATCCCTGGCCTCTACTTAAGAGATGCCAATTGCATCCTTCCCTCAAAATGTGACAACAAAAAGTGTCTCCAGCCATTGCCTTCCAGAGGGCAAAGTCACCCCTGATTGAGAAACATTATTCTGGAGTATATGTTATAGAGATGGAATTGCTAAGTCATGGGCATGAACATCTTCAACTTTACAAGATACTACATTTTCTAAAATGTTTATGCCAATTTATTATCCAACTACTAAGGACTGAGTTTTTGTGTCCCCCTAAACTTCATATGTGGAATCTCTAATCCTTAATCTGATGGTATCCGGAGATGGAGTCTTTGGGAGATAATTAGGTCATGCGGATGGAGTCCTCACAAATGGGATTAGTGCCCTTATAAGAAGAGACAGGAGAGAGATGATCCCTCTCTTTATCATGTGGAGGATACAGCCAGAAGGCGGCCATCTACAAGCCAAAACAAGGGCCCTCACCAGAACCTGACCATGCTAACGCTCCGATCTTGGACTTCACCCTCCAGAACTGTTAGAAGTGAATTTTTGTTGTTCAATCCACCCAATTAAAGGCATCAGCCAACAATCTATAAGAAACCAGTTATTTCACGTATTTGCCAACGTATAGTATTGGCTGAATGTTAAATTTTTGCCAACCTGGTGACTGTAAGGTAGGCACATGTTTTGCATTTGTTCTTTTTTTTTTTTTTTTTTTTTTTTTTTGAGACAGTTTTGCTCTTGTTGCCCAGGCTGGAGTGCAATGACATGATCTCGGCTCACTGCAACCTCCGCCTCCCGGGTTCAAGTGATTCTTCTGCCTCAGCCTCCCACGTAGCTGGGATTACAGGTGCCCACCACCACGCCCAGATAATTTTTGTATTTTTAGTGGAGACAGGGTTTCACCATGTTGGCCAGGCTGGTCTCGAACTCCTGACCTCAGGTGATCTACCCGCCGCAGCCTCCCAAAGTTCTGAGATTACAGGCGTGAGCCACTGTGCCTGGCCCCTTGCACATATATTCTTTTAAGGGCTTGTCATTTCATATTATTATAGTTTCCTTTGGGTGTATAGAAATGTTCACTTTAATATAGTAGGGCCAGTCACAGTGGCTCACACCTGTAATCCCAGCACTTTGGAAGGCTGAGGCAGGCAGATCAGTTGAGGACAGGGGTTTGAGACCAGCCTGGGAAACATAATGAGACCCCATTTCTATAAAAAATAAAATAAAAAAGGTAGCCAGGTGTGGTGGTGCATGCCTGTAGTCCCAGCTACCTGGGAGGCTGAGGCTGGAGGATCACTTGTGCCCAGGAGTTCAAGGCTGCAATGAGTTATGGTCACCCCAGTGCACTCTAGCCTTGGCAACAGAGTGAGACTTTGTCTCTAAAATAATAATGATAATAATATAGTCAATATTTTCCTTTGTGATGTGAGCTTTTTGTGTTTTGTTAAAGAAATGCTTCCTTTTCTTGAGGCAATAAAATATTCTCCCATATTCCCTTTTAAATGTTTTTAAGTTTTACTGCTTGTTTTGAGAATAAATGCTTCTGGAATTGTGTTTTATGTACAATGGGACCTAGAGAGTCTATTTATTTTTTCTCTCATGGCAACAACCAGTTGCCTAACCAGTTGTCCTGGCATTACTTATTTAGAACTCCATCCTTTTTCAATTCAACCTGTGACATATATTAAGCTTCCATGAATGCATGGCCTGCTTATTTTATTCCATTCGTCTATTTCCATGCTAATATCACACTGGCATAATTCCTTTAGCTTTATAGCAAGTCTTGATATCTGTCACAGTAAGTTCCCCCAACTTGTTCATCTTCTTCAGAGCAATTAAGCTATTCTTAGTTCTTTTCTCTTTTATATAAAATTTGGAACTAGCTTGGCAACTTTTGCAAAGAACCCTGTTGGGATTTTGATTGGAATTGTATTGAACCCATCACACAATTTGGAGAGGCATGACATCTTATAAGACTGAGTTCCCTCATTTATGAATCCTCCTATTTATGTAGGTCTTCTTAAACATCTTTCTATATGGAAGTATAATTTTCTGTGCAAAGGTCTTGCACATATGCCAATAGATTTATTTTCAGTAAATTTTATTTCACTATTGTAAATGGTATCATTCTTAAAATTATGCGTTCTTTATGTGAGAGGCAGAGGATTCTGCATGTCCTCATTAAATCAAGAATATTAATTGTGTTGTTCAAATCTTTTCTATTCTTACCAATTTTTCTTTTTTACTCTTTGGCCTGTCAATGAAAGACGTATGTTGAAACATCACACCCATTAGGATGGCTGCTATGATTTGAATGTGTCCTCCCAAAATTTATATGTTGAAACAGAATCCCCAATGTGATAGTATTAAGAGGTGAGGCCCTGTGGGAGGTGATTAAGTATTGAGGTGGGACCTTCATGAATGAGATTAATAAGAGGCCCAAAGGAGTCTGTTTTCTCATTCTGGCATGTAAAGACAATGCCAGAAGGCACCATCTATGAAGCAAAGAACAAACCCTCACCAGACACAGAATTTGCTGGTGAGTTAATCTTGTACTTTCCAGCCTCCAGAACTGTGAGCAATAAATTTCTACGGCTTATAAATTACCCAGTCTATAGTGCTTTTTTATAGCAGCCCAAACAGACTGATGCAATGACTATTATTGTTTAAAAAAACAAAAACAAAAAGTAGGAAGTGTTGGTGAGCATATGGAGGAATTAGAACCCTCATATGCTGTTGATAGGGATCTAAAATAGTTAAGTCACTGTGGAAAGCAACATGGCTATTTCGCAAAAAAAAAAAAAAAAAAAAGCATAAAATTAACATACAATTCTGCTGTGCCACTTCTGGGTATACCTAAAAGTAGTGAAAGCAGAGACTTGAACAAATATTTGCACACTCATGTTCATAGCAGCATTAGCCACAACAGCGGAAAGGTGGAGGCAACCCAGGTGTCGTCCATCAACAGATGAATGAGAATATGATGTGGCAGGTACCTGCAATGGAATGTTATTCACCCTTAAAAAGGAAGACATTTTGACACATATTATAACATGGATTACATTATGCTAAGTGGCATAAGCCAGTTACAAAGAACCAATATTTTATGATTCCATTGATATGAGGTTCCTAGAGTAGTCAAATTCATAGATACAATGTAACATGCTGGTTGCCAAGGGGTGGAGAGAGAGGTAATGGGAGTCAGTGTTTAATGGGTACAGAGTTTCTGTTTTGGATGACTTAAAAGTTAAGGAGATAGGTAGTGGTGATGGTTGCACAACAATGCGAATGTACTTAATACCACTGAACTTATAACCACTTAAAAATGGTTAAAATGGCAGATTTTATGTTACGTATATTTTACCACAATAAAAAAAATTTAAGTGATATGTTAAAATGCTCCACTAAAGAGTGAAATTGTCAATTTATCCTTTTAGTTCTCTCAATCTTCATTTTATGTATTTTTGTTTCATATACAGCATCATGCATGAAGTTCTAGAATTGGGATCTCTTCATGGTGAATTTATTATTTGGTAGTAAACCTCTTTATCCTAATTATTACTTAATCTAATCTTAATCTAATGATTTTGTTCAATATTCAGAGCTGCAGCAGCTATCTTTTACTTCACGTGCCTTTTTCCATCCTTTGACTTTCAACATTTCTGTGTCCTCCTCGTGCTCTGGGTACATCTCTTGAAAACAGCATACAGTTGGGTTCTGCATTTTTAGCCAACCTGATAACCAGCCAGCGTATTCACCTAAACAGACTATAATTACAGATATTTTTGGAGTTCCTTCTACCCATCTGATTTTGTATTTTTATTTGTCTTGCTTTTTCTTTACTTCCTTTTCTCCCTCTTTTCCTTCTTCTTTTGGATTGCTTGAGCTTTTTTCCTTATTTCTTTTTCCTCTACTGTCTTAAAGTTATACAGTTTACTTCCATATTTTCAGTGACTAAAATAGACATTTTACCATATTATTTTATGGTAAAATAAATCAAATCCTAAAGGAATCAAAATCTCAATTGTCATCTCAAACAATAAATGCTTTAACCTCAATTTCTTTTCTCACAGAAGCATGTGTAAAACACATGCTATGACATGAATTATATTATGCTAAGTGAGATAAGCCAGTTACAAAGGACAAATATTTTATGATTCCATTGATATGAAGCTCCTAGAGTAATCAAATTTATAGGTACAATGTAGAATAGTGGTTGCCAAGGGGTGGAGGGAGGGGTAATCGGCATCTGTGTTTTTGGTCCAGTTTTTTAGTTTTAACATCTACATTTTTAACATACAAATTAGACCACTAATTTTATATGCACAATACGTATTATCATTCACTCTTAAATATGTTATTATATTTCCCCTTTTTTCAATCATTCTTTTGATTTCTTCCTTGACCCATGTATTATTTAAAGGTGTTTTACTTAATTTCCTAATATTTGAGGAGTTTTGTAGACATCTCATTGTTACTAAACTCCAATTTCCAACTACTATCATCAAAGAATAATTTGAAAAAGTTCACATTTTCATGTTTCATTTGTCTAATAATCTTTAATGGAAGCTGGACATTGTGAACATTATGCCGTTGAGTGTTTAGTTTTGTTTTCTTCCTTTAAAGAATGTTTGGCTTTCTTCTGTCCAACATTTAATTTACTTGCAGATCAGTTTGATGCCTTTGCAGTTTAGTTTTAATTTTTGTTAGGTTTGGTCTTAGGGTTGCTTTTACATGAGCACTTGGTCAGCCCTTTACCTAAGTCATGACCATTCTGGGCTCTCTACTGAATGCCAAGGGAATTTAGCAAGATCTTTCCACTCTGACTGATTAGAACTCAAATGTCTCCCAGCCTTGTGAGAGATCCAGTAGTTAGTCAATTTTCAGCTCCCTTGTAGCTTGTCTTTGCCTAAATGCAAAAAGTTTCATCTGTTATATGTTTGGCTTAGTATTCATTCAGAGACTCAAGAGGACCCAAATGTGGCGTTTTAGAGCTCTTTATGTGCATGGCTCCCTCTTGTCTGATATTCTACCTCTCAAATCCCAGCTTCCTTGGGTTTCTCTGCCTTCTACCTCTCCTCAGCTCAGCAAAGTCACCATGCTCTGCTTCAGTTCCTCTTCTTACATTACAGTTGACAAAGTGCCAAGTCATCATAGAGTTCACCTTATTTGCATTTCTTCTCTCAGAGATTACTGTTGTGCTCTGTTTGTTGCCCAAGATCTGAAAACAAAATTTTTTGCATATAGTTTGTCCAATTTTCCTCATGGATAGGAACAGAAATCTCAACTCTTCATTTTCTCTCAGCATCTTGAATATATTAGTTCTATGTCTTTGGCTTTCTATTGTTGCTGTTGACAACTCTGTGGCCAGTTTACCACATTTCATTCATAAATGTTCATAAGATACCACTGAATATGCAATCCATCATTATTTTATTGACAGTAAGAGATAAAAAACTGCCAATTATAATTGTAAGACTCCATCAATGATAAGATTAGTCCCAATTTCAAACGTGTTAAATTGTGGGAAAATACATATCTTGGAATTGATGAAATACGGTCACTTTTATTTTTTGTAGAGTATCTTTTCTGTTTTTGTTGCATCTTGATTTATCTTGATGTCTTCTTATTTCATCTGAAATTATTATATGTAGATTATTTTTCTTTACACTGCTTGATATACTTCGTTTTTCCTAGATTTGAAATTTGTCATCTTTGAACAGTTGTGAAAAATTCTTAGGCACTATCTCTTCAAATATTGCCTCTCCTCAGCTTTCTCTATTTTAGTCTTCTGGAACTCCAATTAGGCAAGTGTTAGACTTTCATATTTTATCATGCATGTCTTCAAACCTCTCTTATTTCTCTTTTCTTGTCACTTTGCATTGCATTCTCGGTAATATCTTCAGATCTGTCCTCTGGCTTATTCTGTCTTCAGGCAATCTGATCTGCTATATAACACAACAATTGAGGTTTCAATTTCAATCATTAAATTTCTTTGTTTGTTTGTTTCTTTGTTTGTTTGTTTTAAAGACAGAGTCTCACTATGTTGCCTAGGCTGGTCTCAAACCCCGGCACTCAACAGATCCTCCTGCTTCAGCCTCTTGAGTAGCTGGGACAATAGGTATGTGCCACCATGCCTAGCACATTCACTATATTTCTTACTACAAGATGCTTTAGTTGGTTCTTTCTCAATTCTTCCGGGTCATTTTGTTTGACTTTTGCTCTTTGAACTTTTAAATTCCATTTTTAATTTCTTAACACAGTTTATGTTTATACATGATTATTTTTGCTCTCTGAATTAGATGTCTACTATCAGAAATGCTTGAGGACCTAAATACATTGTTTATTATTCAGCTGCTTCTTGCTTACATTGAGCCATTTCGCCGTGTGTTGGGTAATTTTTATTATGAGCTCAGGCAGGATATGTGGTGATGGGACTAGACTGAGGATGCTTTTCTCCAGACAGCACTGGCATTTGCTTCTTCTAGGCTCCAGGAGGCACTACCAATCTGTAACTATAATATTTTAATTTCGTTGCCCGGGTGATGTTTCTTGACATTAGGGGCAGTATAAATTTGAACCTCAGTCACACGACAGAGCAGTCCTCTGGCTACAAAAGTTCAGGAAAGACTCTCTAGCTTTGTGTACATGTTTCCACCCAGAGGCAGCAGAGATGGCTGTGTTCATCTGTCCTCTATATCCGTATGAATCCCTCCAGCTTGAAGTTCCTGTTGCAGGTGCCTGTACCCATTGGGGCCTGGATTTCCATTTTCATAGCCACTCTAGTTTGGGCTGATTATTCCTGTTTTTTGTGAAGAGGCATAATCTTTGGGCATTTCTCTGGATTCTCCTGTGAGTTTAGCAGGGCATTTTGAGTTTGTTGTAAATAGTTTCCCATCTCCATATTTTAGTCTGTGAAGGTGTTTCAGTTGACATTTTCAGATGAGCATACCATTGGGATCCCAAAGCCTTCTTGCAAATTTTTTATTGTTTACTTTATTACATTTAAGTATTTAATCTGTCTAAAATTTACTTTTGTATTTGGCATAATGCCAGAGTCCATTTTCCCCTTTCCAATGGCTAGCCCGTTACCAGCAATATTTATTATTAATTTATTCTTTTTTACTGAATTTAACCATTAGATTTGTCGTAAACTAGTCTAGCACATGTTCTAGATTTAATTCTAGTTCCATCTTCTGTTTGACTCATCTATTTGTCCATTCCTATATCAACACCAATTACTGATTAGATTCCAGTGGCTCTTTGTATCCTCTGATGTAGGAACACTCGAGTCTCACTTGAATGTTCTTACATTTTGTAATTTTTAAACTATTCTCAAAGATTTAGTTTCAGAGACTATTTTGTACTCACTTTGTTAAGGAGGCGGTCTCAGCATGTATTTGCTACACTTAATTGGACTAAATTGAGAAGCTTCATGGGGAGGTAGACAGAATTTCACTTGGACAAGCCACTTACCCTCTTCCAGACTCAGTTTCTGCCACTAAGGAAGGATGGGCTAGTGCCCTAGACCTCTGGGCTCCTTGCCGGCTCTAGAATCCCAGCCCGGATTGGCTTCTCCTTAAGCACTGGACAACATGCAGTGATAAGAACAGCTGTTTGTATGTGTGTATTTTTGTTTGTTTTAGAGACAAAGTCGTGCTCTGTTGACCAGGCTGGAGTGCAATGGTGCCGAGATAGCTCACTGTAACATCAAAACTCCTGGACTCAAGTGATCCTCCTGCCTAAGCCTCCCAAGCTGGTACTACAGGCATGCACCACCATTCTGAGCTAATTTTTTAAAAAGAGATGGGGTCTTGCTATGCTAGCCATGCTGTTCTCAAACCCCTGACCTCAAGTGATTCTTCCCACCTTAGCTTCCCAAAGTGTTGGGATTACAGGTGTGAGCCACCACACCCAGCTTTTTTGTGTTCTTATTGGCCAGATAACGCATGTCAGGCGTCCTGCTCAGCCAGTTATGTACATTCACCCCTCAGCATCTCATTTAATCCTCAGGCATCCCTGGGAGGCAGGTGCTATTCATACTATCTCCATTCTATAGAGCAAGGAACTAAAGAATACAGCGCTATAGTGACTTATTTGCTGAAGATATTGGTTGAGTAAAAAAGGAAACAAGGGAATGGAGTGGCGAGCTTTGGGGGAGTATGCAAAGACCAAATTATGTTATTACATAATTAGTGCACATTGTTCTTGATACATGAAGAAGCCCTCAGTAATAATAGCTTACTCGTTTATTGAGTGCTTCCTATGTACTTTAGGAATATTAAATCATTAATCCCACAACCTTCTTAGCTAATAGGCACTATTATTATCTCCAGTGTACGGACCACGAGATTGAGCCCCAGGTATGTGAAGTCACCAGCCCACCGGCACCCAGCAGAGGTGGCTGATGAGCCCAGACCGCTAGGCTCCAGGGACTGTGCCGTCTCTAGGCAACCGCAAAAATTACCACCCACAGATATGGCGAACCCTGTGATTGTCACCAGCTCACCTGTCTCGGGTGGGAAGGGGATGTGCAAACATGGAAGCGTTGCCATTGGAAGGAGGGATGGAGCTCGTGGCCATTTCTAATGTTTAAAACTATCGTTTAAATTATACTTTGAATGTTTTTATGTAAAGGAGGTGCACCAAAGGGTTAACAGGTGGTTGACTCTGGAAAGGACTCCCGGAGAGCAGCTGCTCTGAATTTTCTAATTTCGCTACACTGGTGATGTATCATGTATTCCTGTGTGATTCGAAAATGTTAAAAGTCATATAATAATGTAGAAGACGACCCTTCGCGAGCGAGGCCCCCCACCTCTGGCCACTGAGGGCACTTACGTAACTGCGGGGCGGGCGCAGGCCTCCACTGGGTGAGCGGCAGGCGGGGGCGGGGCTGCCCGGAGCCTCGGCCCCGCCCACCCCTCTCCCCCGCCCACTGTCCCCGCCCAGCCCCGGGCTGCTCGGAAAGGCCGGAGTCCGGAGCACAGCAACGCGCGGAGCGGCCCGGCCCCTCTGGTGGTCCCGCCCACGCGACCCGGGCGCAGCGGCGGGCGCCGGACAGCTGTCCCGGCGGGCGAACGACATGCAGCGGAACTGCGGGAGGCTGCGGTTCGGTGGCTGGACTTGCGTCCCCCACCTCCTCTGTCGCGCGTGCCCTGCTCCCCAGTGAGGGCGTCCCTGGGATGGGATCTGGGCGCCCGGCGCAGCGCGGCTGACAACAGCCGAGCGGTTCCGGTGCGCTGGCACGTGGCTCGGGCCTGCCCCCCCGGCCTGGCCGCCTCCCGGCGCGTTCCCCGGTGCAGGTGCCTGGCCCGTGCCCCGCCATCTCCGCCCGGCGCCGCCTGTGCTGAAGGAGCCACGCCCCGGGCTCCGGAGCCTGCCTCTGCAAAGTCCAGGCCCGCGGCGCGCAGGTCAGGGCCGCTGCTCCGGGCGGACGGGGACGCGCGGTCACAGGCAACTCCTGTCCTAAGGGCAAGTGAGACAGGATCAGGGCTGGTATGAAGGCATCTCCATTAGCAGGGAACCAGACACCTTCCATCTGACTGCTCTGCTATCCTTCGCATGCTGCCTCATGGTCCAAAGTGGCTGCTGAGCACCAGCCTTCGTGTCTGCATTCTAGCCAGCAGGAACGAGGTAAGAGTGAAAAAAGATGCCATTTCTTTATGAATATGTCCCAGCAGTTCATGTAGATCACAAGAAGCCAGTCCACTTTACAGGCAGAGGTGGACTCCAAAAGGTCTGATGACTCTCAGAAGGTAATGTGTGCAGCGGGGGAGCAGGATTCAAATGTAAGTGGACTGCCATCCGTACAATAGCAGCCAACCGGAGGGCTTCCTGCAGTCCAGCACCTATCCAGCACTTACCTAGTCGTTTAATCCTCACAGCTAGTGAGAGAAGAGCTGGTTACCCTATTGTACAGAGGAGGTCACTGAGGCTCAGAGAGGGTAGGTGATGTGCTCAAGACTTCAGAGCCAGTACATGGAGAGGTTGGGACTCCAATCCGGGCAGTCTGCTCCAGAATCCACACTTTGACCACCACCCTCCACTGTCGCTCAGCCTTGTAAACTCTCCCCTTGGAATCCTGTCTGCAAACCTGGTTCAAGTTGAGATGAGAAATGAGGCAAGGGAGGGCCATTGGTGTCTAACAGTCCCGTGTTCAAAAATAATAAAGTACAGCGTGGGCAACATAGTAAGACCACCGTCTCTACAAAAAATAAAAATTAACTGGGCGTCATGGTGTGTGCCTGTAGTCCTAGCTACTTGGGAGGCTGAGGTGAGAGGATCGCTTGAACCTGGAAGATTGAGGCTGCAGTGAGCCAAGTTCACACCACTGCACTCCAGCCTGGGTGACTGAGTGAGACCCTGTCTCAAAAATAACAATAATAATAATAATAAAGTACTTCTTTTGCACTGTATTCGTCACCTTGGCCTGCCATAACAATATGCCATAGACGGAGTGGCTGAAACAACAGAAATTTCCCCCAGTTCTAGAGGCTGGAAGTCCTAGATCAAGGTGCCAGCAGGGTCCAGTTCTGGTAACGAACTATCCCTGGCTTGCTGGCTGCCTCGCTATGTCCTCACATGGTGGAGAGAAAGATTTCTCTGCTTTCTTCTTAGAAGGTGACAGTCCTATTGGATTAGGGCTCCACCCTCATGATCTCATTTATCCTTAAATACCTTCTAAAGACCCTATCTACAGATACAGCCATATTGGGGGTTAGGGCTTAAACATCTGAATGTGTGGGGGCTGAGTGGAGGATGCAATTCAGTCCACAGCACAGGGTTAGTTTACTTCAGAAATAAATGAACTAGAATTTCAAAGTCAGGACTACAGTATCAAAAGGTGAGAACCCAGCCTTTAACAGTTTAACTTTTCTCATGGTGTCTAGAACAATGTAATCAACATTCCCACTGTTCAGATGGGGAGAGTGCTGAGTGCCCTTGACAAAGTTCTTGGGAATAGCCAGGATCTAGACTTTGCTAGGGCAGTTGTTTGTAAACCCACAGAGGCCATGGGCCATTTCCTGACAGTAACTGTAATCATCTTCCGAGCTTGGGTCTGGTTCCCAAATGATACATTGCATAAACTAAAATGCTTTTCCCTTTGAGGCTTGCTCAGCAAGCTGCAGAATCTGGTTGATCGGTTTGTACTTGAGTTTTTTCCCTTACTGGTAAAGAGAGAGAGGGAAGGCATGTGCTGAGTTCGGCCATGTGCCAAGCCCTTTGCAAACATTAGCTCCCCGACCCCACCACTGCTCCTTGTTGCTTCCCAGTTAGCAGCTTGGGGGTAAAGGAGCTCTCAGGGTCACACCATGTCAGAGCTAGGGGTGAGCCCAGAGCTGTCATTCAAGCCCCTGTTTGCTTTTGCTCCTGCTGACCCCCAAAGGAGCTTCTCTTCGTAAAACAAAATTCTTTTTAAAAAAAACTAAATGTCCAAAATTCACCATCTGTTGCAATCTCAATGTATTACGTTGGTGCAAAAGTAATTGCAGTTTTCAAAGTAATTGAAATTGCCATTGAAAGTAATGGCTAAAACTGAAAATACTTTTGCACCAACCTAATAAAAGGGTTGTGCTGGTGAAAACTCCTGTTGGAATGGATTTTTCCCCTTGGAATCTTGCCAATCAATTAATTTGCAGCTCTGCTACTGGCCTTTCTAAAACTTGAACCTGGGAGGTTGAGGCTGCAGTGAGCCAAGATCACACCACTGCACTCCAACCTGGGTGACAGAGGGAGACCCTGTCTCAAAATAATAGGTTTTTCAGCCTTCCCTTGGTGGGCCATGCTCTCTTCCTCTGTTTCCTCTGTAGCTGACACATTACTGTGTGTGGGCAATGTTCTCCACGTAGTAACACCCTGTACTAATGATGAGTGCGCTGTCTACGTGACTCTATTTAGGGCAAGGCAATTTGGTGTAAATCCTGCATGAGGAGTTCAACAAGAACAAAAAGCTTCAGAGGAAAACATCCTGCAGCCTTCCCCTTTGTCTCAGTAACTATGGTTTCTGGGCAAATTAAGAAAACACTCAAGAAGGTTTTCTTTTTTTTTTAATGGAGCTGAAGCACAGAGCCTCAGATGGGCACAAAATGATGAACACATTTATTTTGATTTTTTACTTATAATACTACCATATAGAGAATTACGGTAAATATAATATTCCCTCCAATTAACAACAACAACAACAAAAAACCTTCTCTGCGCCAGAGCAGGGAGGCTGACCAAGAAAAGAGTAGAAGATGGCCACTGTGCTCCAGGGCAGAGGATACCTGGCCCACCTTCCCCTGACCCCAGAGAGTTGTGGGGCCTCTGTCAGGAGGCACCGGCTCTAACAAGAGCTGTGGGTGTGCTCTGGGCTTTCTGCTTGGCACTGCTGCTCAGTGATCAAACCACATCATCCTTCTGAGTGTCTTCTTGTGACATAACGTTGATGATATTTGCTTCAACCAGAAAAGGTGAGACTCAGATTCAGGGTTTTGTGTGTATTTGAATTAGAGCCGACCCAGGGCCTTGGGAGCTCTCCGGGGTGCTGAAAGGATGGTCCTCAAACTCCAAGGATCAGCATAGTCTGTGCATAGGAGTGAGCCAGTGAGAATGTCATTCATTGAGCACCTACTGTGTGCCTGGCGCCTGGCTTCCTCATTATCTCGTTAACACATATGGTTGCTATCAGGCTGTTTGCCTCTGCCTGGCCTCAGCTTGGCCCTCCTGCTCCTGAAGTCCCCAGTGCCAGCCGCTGCACCAACATGTGTGTGGTCTGACCGCCTCTGTCCTTTGGTCTGTACAACAACTGGCTTGCCTGTGGCAGTGCCACCCAGCCAGCCTGCTGGGCCACCGACTTGCTTTGTATCTCCTGGCCTTGGAAAGGCTGACTTGGGCATGTTTGTGAGGGAGATTGGAAAACTGGAAGGTGAGGTTCTTAAGGTCACATCTTGATTATTCTCTACCATTTTTGTCATGTGTGTTTGGTTCAGGAAAATTTGAAACTGAACCGTGAGGACAGGGGCATTCAGGCTATCATCCTATAACCCCACTCCCCTGTGCTGGACTGTTACAATTATTTCTATAAAATCAGCCTCCCCATGGCACTGTGAGCCACTTGAGGGCAGAGCCTGTGCCTTATCCAGCCCTCTAGCTTCTGAGCCTGGCATAGGCTCCTGATAATAGTGGGAGCTCAGTCACCATTGATGAACCCAGATATGAAATGGATGGAAGGGTGAGCCCACAACTTGGATTTCTGTCCTGAGAGCTGGCGTCTGTGGGAGAGGGTTCTGTACACAGTCACGCCAGCCTCTGCACTCACTGAGCACTTGCTGGGCTTCTGGCTCTGCTCTCAAAACTTCATGAATATCAACATTTCCAATCCTCACTGAAACCCACGAGATAGGGACTATGATCCTCATTTTACAAATGGGGAAACTGAGTCAAAGAGCTATGCATAACTTGCCAAATACCACACAGCAGGTCAGTTGCAGGGCTGAGACGAGAACCCCAGCGGAGTTGCCATCTCAGCTGTCAACCCTCTGCACCACCGGTCCTGGTGCCAAGGCTTCATCCCATCCCCCATGGACCTAGTAACTAAAACTTTGGGTGACTTACTTGATTGTGCCCAGTGACCATCACGCAGCTTGGATGGGAGGGAAGGTCCTGGCTCCCACACTGCTGGGCGGTGCTGGGCGGAATCACTGCATCTTTCCATACTTCAGTTCCCTCAACTTCAGGGGGAGGCTCACTCCTACCATGGAACTTCTGGGAGGTCATAGGCCATCTGTGTGAAGCCCAGGGCCCTGTGGTGGCATGATTGTATGCTGTGATCTGAATATGATCAGTCGTTATTGATGGTCTTGAGGTTTTCCCGTGTGGTATTTCTTTTTCAGAAAAGGAAAGGGGGCTGGCCTAAAGGCAAGAAGAGAAACCCCCCGAGGGACCTTGCTGTTCCGTGTTCCTACGACAGGGTAAGATGCAGGGAGATTACTCTGACCCAACGTTGAAGTAATCTGCAGGGCTCACCATGTGGCCTGGGCCACGTGGCGGGGTTGGTACGATCCCATCTCAGCCTTTACCTGTTCTTTTAGGGTGCTTGGTTAGCTAGGGGGCCTGACACCACTGGGAGTGTGGGGTGGGCTGCTTAGTTCTTTAATCTGTAATGAGGTCCTGGTCCTGGAGGAGAGAGGACAGAAGAACCAGGTTTGGGTTCCAGACAGGAAAAGGGGTAGGTGTGGGCTTGGTGGGTCTGCTTTCCATCCCAGGCTTGAAGACATGGGCGCTCTGTGGCCTTGGGTAAGCTGGTTAACCTTCAGGGGGCTCAAGCCACCCTTCTCAGCACCTGGGACCTTGTCCCTTTCCCATGAATCTTGCGCCATAGAAGAAAGGTCCCATGCCAGCTGCTGACCAGAGCTCTGAGGGTCACCTTGCCCCATCTAGAAGCTTGTACACTTTATCCTCAGGGTTCACACGGCTCTAACGCTGAGGGGCTTCCTTCAGTATTCCTGTGGCTCACATGGATGAAACTGGTTTGGCCACAGCCTTTCTCCCTCCCCTTCAAAAGAAGTCCTTGAGCAGGAGGGGGAGGGGCCTGCACCTGGAGTATTAGGCCACACCTGTGAGCAGGTGGCATTATGTTCATTATACAAAGGGGGAAACGGAGGCTCAGATGGGTTACGTGGTTTGTCCACATAATGCAGCATGGCTATTTGAACGTGTCCCCTGCCAGACACAGCCACCCAGCCTTCATACACCTCGTGCCCTGTGGGGAGCCCCTCTTCTCATTCCTAGGCCTTTTACGAGACTCTGGGTTAACAAGCCACTGGAGGATGTGCCCCTCTTAGCCTTCAGTTCTCTGGTTAGACTGAACAAGATGGGCAAACCTGTGACTCGTTGTGAAAACCGGAAAGTGGAATGAGCTGCCCCTGGCCGGCTCCCTTCCCCACCGGTTCTCAGAGCCAGGTTTGTCCCTTCTGTGGCACAGGTACATGATATTCCTGAATGAGCAGAGAAGTCAGCTGAGGGCCACACACCCCGATCTGCCTTTCACAGAAATCATGAAGATGCTGGCTGTTCAGTGGGCCCAGCTGTCTCAGGATAAAAAGGGGTAAGTCCTGTTCTATGTGGTGAATACAAAGCGAGTCCCCCCGTGAGATGGGGCCTGGGCAGCCCGCAGCCACCGCCAGGGGCCGTTCCCTCCTAATCCATTTCTTACACCACAGCCAGAGGGAACCCTCTAGAGTGCAGACATGAGATGCCACTCACTCACCCATTTAGAGCAATTAATGGGTCCCCTTGCTTTTGGCAGCATCTCCTAAACTGGGTCAGGCAGAATGGCCCATCCAGGAATCATGGGCCGGCTGTCAAATAAGTCTAGGAAATTCTGGAGGAAATCAAGATCGTAGATTTCTCCCTCAGCAGGACATTTTTGGCGAATCTACAATATATTTGTGTAGCACTTGTTATGCCTGGCACCATGCTAGGTGCTGGGGATACAGCCACAAGCATGGCCAATGGGGCCCCTGCTGTCCTGGAGTGAGGCTGCGGAGGAAGAGACCGAGCCAAGCATGTAAAGGGGCATGAGAGTCTCTACGTGTGAGCGCTGGTGTGCGGTGTTTCTCAAACTAATTTACCAAGGAGCCTCTTTTTCACAGAGCACCTGTTAACCTCCTACAGAGGCATGTTCTGGGGGCCAGGGGAGGAATGCCAAATTATGGCATAAGGTCAAAGCCCATTTCGCATGAAATACTGTTACATTCCAATATCACTTCTGCCACCCCCAGCTGTACCTTCCAGCCACACTGAACAAACGTGTCATTTTCTGTTCAAGCCATGCCTGCCTCAGTGCCACCTCCTACAATAAGCCCTCCCACACCCCTAAGAATATCTGACCTCAAAGCCCATACTTTCTCCAGAACAGCACCCTGCCTCCAGAGTGTCATTTCCTTGAGTCAAATACAAAGACCCTGACGTGAACTTCTTTAAACCTCTACAATTTCATCTTGCTTTAGTCATAGAAAACTCTTGTTTAACAATTGACAAAATCCTAATGGGGGGCTCAGTTAGTAACATCCCTCTCCTTCCTACCCACGTTTCCAACCAACTAGGAACTATCCAGTAGCCAGTCAGATGGAGATTAAATGTCAGCTGTATTCACGCAAAGCGAGGGGGAGGGTGTCTTTGGATCAGTGGCTCCAGCTGCTGGCAGTGCCGGACAATTCCTGGCACTAGGTCAGAGCAGGCCCCTGAGCATGTGGCCAAGAGCAGTGCAGAGCCTTCGCTGCCTGCCAGCGGATGGCAGGGGCAAAGAGAGAGGGAGGGGCTCTACTCAGCATCCCAAGGCCTGGGGTTGGATCTGATTCGTCTGTCACTAGTGCCCAGCCCAGGACCCTGTGCAGGGAAAAGTGCTGATGTTTGCATGAAGGATCATTGAAGAGAAGTCTAAGGTTCCCCCTGGCAGGAGCTGATAATGCTGCCCTTCTCTGCAGTCATCAGACCAAACCTGGAGAATGGTAGTGGCCACAGCAAGGCAGATGCCAGTTGATGGGAAGGAAAACAGTGCCATTCAAACAAGGAATGAACTTGCTTGGAGGTAGTGAGGTCCCTGTCCCTGGAGGTGTGCAAGCAGAAGCTGAGTAGTAGCTTCTTGGGATCATCCTAAAGAGCCCCAAGGAGGTTGGACAAGAGGATGCCCAGCCTCCATCCCCATCCCAACCCCAAATCTGGAGCGCCTCAGAATCTCTGTGCTCCTTCCTCCAGAGGTATGTGTCTCAGGTGGACGAGGACAAGTAGGGCTATGTCTGCGAGCTACAGGCCTTCCAGAGCTCTGAGGCCTACCGAGCTTTCCTGCAGAGGTGTGCAGCCCACAAGGCGCTGTGTGGGATGCAGGAGTGGACTGGAGCTCACCTCTCCCAAGCCGGGGTCTGGGATGTTTACGCAGCAGAAAGTACGCTGGGAAAGCCCTTGGTGTTACTCCACCTCCTTCAGCGCTCACACCAGTCGCCTTGATTGAAGAGCCAAAGCAGTTGGACATCCAGTCTCTTCCTTTTCAGCCCATCCTGGACCGGTTAAAGATTAAAGATAAGAGGCAGCTTGTTCCCTCCTACCTGGGAGGGTCAGTGGACATTCAGGGAGTGCTGAGGCAGCGGTTACTTTGTAGTGTTTAGAAAAGGGAAAGGAATCACGGTGACAGGCCTGGCACTTCTCAAATTCCAGCATGCACACGGTCACCGAGGGTCTTGCTGGTAGGCAGGTTCTGCTCCAGCAGGTTCAGGGTGGGGCCTGGGAGTCTGCATTTCTGACATGCCCATGGGCCATGGCTGCTGCTGCTCCAGGGCCCACACTGACTATGCTGCAGGTTGGTTCCTGCAGCACTCACCACTCCTACATGCCGCGGCACCCTCCCACAGCCCAGCATCTCTGCCGTGGGCTTTTCTCAGATGGCCATGGGGCCACATGTGCAGGGCAGAGCTAGCAAACTGAGCATCTATGTAAACCCACGCAGACAGCTTTCCACCACCACCGCCATGGTGAGACAAATCCCAGGTGGGTTCCATACCCCAGAGAGTTCCCATGGGACTGAGCCCCATTCCTGTAATGGCCCTGCCCAGCCAGCTGACTCACTTCCAGCCCTACTGGTGCTTCCTGAGATCAATACCCAAACAAACCATTGACACCAAAATCCTCATCTGGGGGGCCCGGCTCTGTCCCCAGAGTCTGAGGCAGAGGAGGGAACCCTATCCATTGTCTACTCACTATGCCTTCACCATGGAGGACACTTTCCACTCATTTTTCTTTTTCATCCTTTTTGAAAGTATTCTCAATCGCAGAGCCCATCAGCAGCACTTTTACATTGAGACCCACAGGGCGGCCACCGGCCACCAGGATTCCAGTCTTCTCTGAGGGGCACAGGCCTGCAGGGCAGCATTGAAGTGTCCTTGTCAGTGGGGGTCCAGGCGCCAGTCTCTGGCCCCACCAGTGGCTGCCCCAGGGCAGAGGTAGGCTTCTCCCAGTGGTCCTGGGTCCACCCCCGTTCACCCTGCATGTTCCTGCCCTGCACGCTCCATGGTCAGGGCTGGCCCGCGTCCCTAGGACGTCACAGCAAGGCCTGCCTATCTTTCACGTTGCTGCCTCTCCGGCTGAGCACCGGAGGAAGCATGCATCAGGGGCTCTGCCATCCACGAGACTCCAGGACCAGCCACGTGTGTCCCATGCTCCCACCGGGACTGGCTGAGAGAGCTGCCTTCCTGGTGACCAGGGTGTGGGCTCCAGAGTCCAAGTGCCCAGGTTGGAATGGCAGCTCTACCACTCGGTGGCTCTGTGGCCTTGCACAAATTGCTGGAACACTCACTGCCTCAGTTTCTTCATCTGAAAAATGGGGCTGTCACAGGCCCTTCTCCTCAGGGCTCAGTGAGGATGAATGAGCTAAACCACAGAGAGGTTGGTACTCAGCGCCTGGTACATGGCAAGTGTTCACACTTGCGGTAAGTGTTCACACTTAGTGCCCCTCCCTGTGCGCTGGGGCATGGCCCCCACCCTAGCTTCCTCCAAAGCAGGGGTCAGCAAACTTTTTCTGGAAAGGGATAGATAGCAACTGTCATAGGCTTTGTGGGCCACGTGGCCTCCATCGCAGTCATTCAACTCTATGCTTGTAGCAGGAAAGCAGCCATAGACAATATGTTCACAAAGGGCCGTGTCTGCATGCCAATAAAACTTTATTTATAAAAACATACAGAAGGCTGAGTTGGTCCACAGGTAGGTCTACTCTGGCCCATCGTACTTATTGGGTTTCCACGTAACCTTTGTTTTCAATCAAGTGCCTGTAGATAAAAATAATCAACTGGAAAATCTCTGGTCTGGCATAGAACTAGCAGATATACCCACGCATGGTGGCGTCTCTGATGGTTCCAGGGGAGCTGCAAGGCCTCTGGTCCTCATCATGAATGTCAGATCTCTTGGTACCAGAGTTAAGCAGAGGGTGCCTGAGAACAGCTGTCATTCCTGCTCCTGGTTTTCTCCCAAAATGCCATTTGTCCAAGCTTAGCAGAGAACAGCTTGTCTTGCTGAATTCTTCATTCATGCTGAGGCCCTGCGGCCTTCTCCTTATTTGGGGGATTGTTTGTAAATTGTCGTCATGCAAAAACCTGGTGTGTTACAAGGAAAGGTCACTCCAACACAGCAGCCTCGTCTTTAAACAAATAAAATATATCACTGCCTTATTTAAAACATAGTAATTTTAAGAGTTTGCTGTATAAAAATAAATTAGTAGTCAATATCCATTTTAAAAGTATCACCTAGAATCTGCCATGCTAAAAAATGAAGTTTCCATTTTTCCTCGTTTCTCCCTCATCTTCATTCCGTACCTAGCCAGGTGCTTATACATTGACATCAGAGGTACCTGGTGTTTCCTCTTGGCTCATTGGGGTTTTCAGACCTCAGATTAAATTGAACAGCATTGATCCTCCTCCAGCAGGTAACATGAAGACCCCTCGAGATGATGTTTGCAATCAAAGAAGGCACCTCTGACCCTCTGATTGGTGTCCCCCAAATAGGGCTGAGCCCTTTCCTGAGACAAATTCTGAAAACGCACCTCTATCTACTGAGGACCTAGCACTTTCTCTCTCACCGGATGACAGAGGTCTTGAGATGAATTGAAATTCTCATCTGTGCTCAGAAAGGTGTCACACCTAGCAAGGAAATTTACAGTGGGGAAAGGGAGTTGCAGGGCCCAGCCCTGTCCACACAAAGCCCGTGTGTCTTTTTCAGCTGATTTTATGTTCAGAGAAGGCGCCTCCTCCCTGCTCACCTGAAACCCTTTCTGTCCTCAGGGAGATGAACTCAATGACCTCTACTGCGGGACCTCCAGGCAGCTCTTCAGCTCCCTGTGCAACAAGAAGGAACCTGCTGCAAAGGCAGCACCTGCAGCGCCTCTCAGGTAACCAGCCTGGGCCAGGCGGCTCAGCCGCAAACGCTGGCCTTGACTCCACCTGCGCCAGAGGTCACCAACAGGCGGCCCACGTGACACCTCTTGTTATTAAAATGCAATTTTAAGACAGACTCTAGTCAAGCCCACTTACCACCAGGTGGGTGTTTAGGACAGGGTAGGTCTTCCACTATATCTGTTTTCCTCTTAGTTCGCCAGGCCCGCCTGCTCTGGGCCACGCAGGACACGGACGTCAGCTTCTCCTGGAGCGCTCGCTCACTTTATTCCATCTCTACGAGCTCCTCAAGTATCCCAGAGCATCCCCAGGCCTGTGGCCACCTCGGGTCTGGATGCCGCATTCTCTGACCTGTGGCACATTCTGGGTGCCCATGATTATGATGAGGTTCTGTGCCCATGTGGCCTCAGGGCTCTTGAGACCACCCTTCAACCAGGTCTTTGCTCACCTGTCTCCTGCCCAGGGACGCCACCCAGGTCACCGGTGCAAACCTCCAGCCCCTGCCCGTTTCTCTCCATGAGTGCATTGCCACCTCGCAGCCTCTTCCACTTGCTCATTCCTGGTGTTATTGCCTGTCTCCCACTGGAAGAGAAGGCCCTCAAGTTCAGCAACTGTTTTGCCTGTTTTGTTCACTGTGGTGAACCCCGGGCCTAGAACCACGCCTGGCACTCCCAGTAGGTGCTCAATAAGTATCCAATGAGTGGACAAATGAATGGATGTGTTCAACAAATGACCCTAGAGCGTGTATTCCTTCCAGGGACAGAGCGAGGTACTGGGGACACAGGAAGGACGAGGCAGAGCTCCGCGCTGACGAAACCAAGGGCCAAGCGTGCGAGTGAATACGAACATCCTGGCGTTAAAACGTCTTGCATTCTAGTGAAATGAGACCCATTGGACACAGAGAAGCCCCACCACAATTGCATCTGTGTAAAATCGAGAGAAAGATCGTGAAAACAGCCATGGCAGGTGCTGGACTAAGGGGTGACATTGGGTTTTCTCTTCCCACCTATCCTTTAGGGTTGTTAAAACAGAAATAGATCTCACGTAGGCCCCTGCTCTGCACCCTGCTTGCTGAGTCACGCAGGGCCAGTTACGCAGCTACCGTGTGCTTACCCGGCCTCATCTGTAAAATAAGGATGACACTGCCTGCCTGGCAGGGCTCTCCTGAGAATACACAGTGCCTCGTGCAGGGCCCAGTGCAGCAGAGAGGTCACCTCCTCCAGGAAGACTTTCCTGACCTGGGCTTGGGGTTGGGCCTCCCCAGGGCTCCTAAGGCTTCCCCACATACCCTTCACTTTGCAATGATCATCCCCTGTTACTGTCCCACAACACACATTACACACAACACCATACAAACACATGCATTCTACACACACACAACATACACATGCACTACATATAACACACATTATACACATTACAAACACAACACATACCCCACACTTCACACTCATATACACACATACACCACCCACATACACTCCAAACACTCCGCACACATACAAACACATACTACATACAACACACTCATACCACACACATGCACACACGGGTCTGGAGGGCGGTGCTGTGTGGGGCTCCGGGCGCATCCCTGATCCATAGCAGATACTGAATATTTGCTGAAGGAATATCCAGGAGACTCGTGCTACGTCTGGTGTTTGAAAGGAAATGAACAGTTCTTGGTAATGTCTTGTTTAGGGTGAATAATGGCACTGAAGACAGAAAATGCATCTTATCACCTGCTCTGGAGCAAAACATGTGTGCTTGGATGCGTAGAGTTATTCTGTGTAAATTACCCACCAGAGAGAATTCAGGCGTGTTTCAAAATCTATAAAACCGTGTGCTGGGGGACCATGAAAAGTTGTAGATGCACGTGGCCGTGAACCACTGTAACTCTCTGGGGGCCTGCGTGACCGTTTAAAAGGAAACAGACATGGGCAAACCTCGTTTCATCTTCTCTCTAAATCACCTACAATTTTACAGTAGCAGTCGGGCTCTTGAGAGCTTTCCCATTTCCACTTTTCTTGGTGGATCTTGCTGGAAATCAGTGCTTTTGGCAGCTGCAGTCTCTGAGGCGGGGCCCTGATTGGGGATGGGGTGTTAACCTTGCATTCTTTGGGGTTCAGGTCTCAAATGGCTCTTGTAGCCCTGGGATCTGAGGAGCGAGACCAGGACTCAGCTATCTCCACCCCGGAAGAACCTTCCCTGCTCTTCCACATCCAGCCCAGGCCTCGGCTTCCTCGTCTGCAAAACGAGGGTGCTGAGAAGATGGGAGCAGGGGTCCAGCGTTTTCATCAGCAGGGCTGTTGAGATGTAATTCCCATGCCATAGTGCCCACTGGTTGAAAGTCTATACAGTTCAGTGGTTTCTAGTGTATTTTCAGATATATGCAGCCATCACTGTGGTGGACTTTAGAACATCTCTGTCACCCCAAAGAGCAACCCCGTTTCCATTGGTGTCACTCCCGGGGCTCCGCATTCCCAGCCCAGCAGCCTAGGACAAGTTTTCTGCCTCTGCAGGAGGCCCCCAAGTTTCAGATCTTGATGTCTCCTTTCTGTGGGGAGTCCAGCAGGCATCTCCACCTTAGGGACAGCTTAGTGGACAGTGCTGTGTCACCATCAAGGGCCTGAATCCCCGCTCTGTCACCTACTACCTCTTTTACCTTGGGCAAATTCTTCACCCTTTGCCTTGGTTTCCTTAGGTGAAAATGGGATCATCGTGCTGACCTCAAGGGCAGCTGTAGGATTCGATGTTCCTCATGTCACGGTCTCTAACCGTGTGGCACATTCTGGGTGCCCATGGTTACGATGATGGGTTTGGGGGCTGGAGGGATCAGTGACTTTCTGCCTCCACCCCCTCTCTAGGAACGGCAGGCTGCTAAGGAACCCCACAGGCACATGCTGTGTGGCTCCCTGCACGCTGTCCTTCTCCTGCCGTGGCTTTTCACCTTTGTGTGCCAGTCTTGCTCCTGTTCATGCCTCAAAATCCCACCAAAAAGACAATAACAGGTGCTGGCAAGCATGTAGAGAAACTGAAGCCCTGCTGCTCTGGTGGTGACAGAGGGCACACTGCATTGGAGAATGGTCTGACAGCTCCTCAAAAGGTTAAACATAGAGTTGCCGTGTGACCCAGCCATTCCGCTCCGGTGGCCAATCTGAGGTTTCAGTCCAGGCTGTCTGGTTCCAAGGACTCTGTTCTTTACCACTTTCTATGTGTACACCCAAAGAACTGCAAATGTATGATCAACCAAAAATATGAACATGAACGCTCATCGCGGCACAGTTCGTAATAGCCAAAAAGTGGAAACAAACCAAACGCCCATCAAGGGTTGAATGGATAAACAAAACGTGGCCCATCCTTACAACAGCGTAACCTTGGGCCGTACAGAGGAGTGAAGTATGATATGCACCACGATGCGGAGGAAACTTGAGAACATAGTAAGTGAAAGAAACCAGACACAAAGGACCACACACGGTGTGATTCCATTCACACCAGATGTCCAGAGCAGGAGATCTGTAGAGGCAGAAAGGAGATTGCTGGTTGTCTAGGGCTGGGTTTCGGGAGGATAAGGGAGTGATAGCCAAAGGCTGCGAGTTTCTTTATAAAGGATGAAAATGTCCTAAAATTGGGGTGATGGTTGCATGTCTGTGAACCTACTAAAAACCACTGAATCACACACTTACTTTATTTTTATTTCTTTATTTATATTTATTTATTTATTTATTGAGTCAAGGTCTCACTCTGTCGTCCAGGCTGGAGTCCAGTGGTACAATCACAACTCACTGCAGCCTCAACCTCCCAGGTTCAGCTGATCCTCCCACCTCAGCCTCCTGAGTAGCTGGGACTGCTGGCGTTGGTCACCATGCCTGGCTAATTATTTTGTAGAGATGGGTTTTACGCCACGTTACCCAGCATGGTTTCGAACTCCTGGACTCAAGGGGTCTGTCCACCTCGGCCACCCAAAGTGCTGAGATTACAGGCGTGAGCCACTGCACCCAACCATGATATGTGAACTAGATCTCAATAAAGCTGTTAGGCAAAAAACAAAACAAAACAAAAAAACACCATCTCAATCAAGGACCCTTACTCCAGGAGGCCTCCTCTGCTGGCCTCTGCCCCTGCCTGGTCCTGGCGTGCTCTGCTTGTCTGTCTCTCTGTCCACCAAACAGGGGACCCTGAGGCAGAGGCTGGTTCGCCCACATGTGGACAGAGGGCCAGGCCTGGAAGTGCTGCTAATTCTCTGCTCGTGGGCTGACCTCTGTGACAGGATTTCTTTGCTTTTTAGGGGAATTTAAAAAAGATCCTGCCACGTACTCATAGCACCTGGAGCCTCTGGAGGAAGAGGAGGGACAAATGAGGTCAAGTCAGAGGAGGAAGCTGAGGGCCCCGAGTCCCTTCTGCTCAGATGTCCGCATCCAGAGAGGAGTTCTGCTTCTCTCAACCTGTGTTTCTTGCAAGAGTTTATCTATAAATTGCTGAAAAATGGGTAATCAAGTTCAGCAACTCCCTGGCATCTGTGATGACCTATGGTTTGTAATCCTAGTCAGAATCACCTACATAGAGGATATAATATTAATCAGAACAAAACAGAAAAGTCGCTAGAGGAATAACAATAGTAAAATTTACAATCAGATGAAGAATAAAGTTTTCAATGAGGCACAGTTCTAAGCACTTCATACAAATAACCTGTCTTAATTCTCATAAAAGTACTGCAAGGCAGGTGATAATATCATCTCCTTCTAAAGATAAAATGCAGCACAGAGAGGTTAAGTAACTTGTCCAATGTTGAACAGCTAGTGAGTGGTCAATCTGAGATTTAAATCCAGGCTGTCTGGGTCCAAGAACTCTGTTCTTCACTACTTCTCAACAACATCAACTATGTAAAATGACACACATACATAAACCCACATCAATGGTAATGGTGGTAATCTCTGGCCGGCAAGATGAAAGAAGATGTTATGCAATTCTTCAGTCCTTTCTGTGTCTGCCACATTTTCCCCAATGGATAGATGTCACTTAAATTATCAGAGGAAGAAACAAACTCTATTAAAAGGAATTTCAAGGGCCGGGCAAGATGGATCACACCTGTAATCCCAGCACTTTGGGAGGCCGAGGTGGGCGGATCACCTGAGGTCAGCAGTTCGAGACCAGCCTGGCCAACATGGCGAAACCCTGTCTCTACTAAACATACAAAAAAATTAGCCGGGCGTGGTGGCACATGCCTGTAATCCCAACTACTTGGGAGGCTGAGGCAGGAGAATCACTTGAATCTGGGAGGTGGAGGTTGCAGTGAGCCAAGATCGCACCACTGCACTCAAGCCTGGGCGACAGAGCAAGGCTTCATCTCAAAAAAATAAAATAAAATAAAATTATTGTTTTATTCTGCTTATAAAATTAGCATATTCATTGAAGCTAGGCACAGTGGCTCCTGCCTGTAATCGCAGCCCTTTGGGAGACCAGGGCGGGTAGATCACTTGAGGCCAGGAGTTCGAGACCAGCCTGGCCAACATGGTGAAACCCCGTCTCTAATGAAAATACAAAAATTAGCTGGGTTTGGTGGCAGGCACCTGTAATCCCAGCTACTCAGGAGGCTGAGGCACGAGAATCGCTTGAACCCAAGAGGCGGATGTTGCAGTGAGCTGAGGTTGCACCACTGCACTCCAACCTGGGTGACAGAGCGAGACTCTGTCTCAAAATAAATAAAATAAAATAAACATATTAATTGAAGAAAATTTTGAAATTTCAGAAAAGTATATGAAGAAAATGTAAACACTATCAGTAGAGAAGTGTTGTTAGCATTTCAGTGCAGTGTTTCTAGTCTTATTTTCTATAAATATCTGAATCTACCCGCCTATTTCTCTATCTCTCTACCTAAATATATCTGCATGTTATTTGTATATCTGCATATTTATCTTATATTTATCTAAATAAATATATCTAACTATATCTCTATATAGAGATAGAGATAGAAAGATGGAGAGAAAGAGAGATAGAGAGATGGACATGAAGGTAAAATCCGTCCTGCAGCTCCCATTTGCAGAAGAGCGTGAGCATTTTCACATCTCCTTCAACGTTCTTTTAGGCATCGCCCCTCCTGGCTGCATAATATTTCATCATATGCGTGAGCCGCACTGGCTGCCCAGTTCCTCACTGTGTCGTTGTTTGTTTGTTTGTTTGTTTTGAAACAGAGTCTCACTCTGTCGCCCAGGCTGGAGTACCGTGGCATGATCTTGGCTCACTGCAAACTCCGCCTCCTGAGTTCAAGTGATTTCCGGCTAATTTTTGTATTTTTAGTCGGGATGGGGTTTCACCACATTAACCAGGCTGGTGTTGAACTTCTGACCTCAAGTGATCCGCCCTCCTCGGCCTCCCAAAGTGCTAGGATTACAGGCGTGAGCCACCGTGCCTGGCCATTATGACTGTACGTTTTGGTGACACCTGGTTCTTACGTTAGAAATCAGGCTGCTGAACGTTCTGCTCTGTGTGTGTCTTTGTGCCCATTCTTGTTGGCTTCCTTAGAGGGATTTCTGGAAGTTCAATGATTATGTAAAAAGCACAAGCCTTGCTGGGACCCTGGAGTGGCGTTGGAGTCTCTCGTGGTTAGGAGCCCAGGCCCTGGCCTGGCCATCGGGGGCTGGAATCCTGGCTGTGTCCTCCGTAGCCATGTGCCCCAGGCAGCTTTCCTCACCGCCTGCCTGTCATCCAGGGATGCAGGTAGGTCCTGCTCCATGGGGTTGTCATGGCGATCACAGAGACTTGTCCGTGTGGACCACCTAGAGCAGTACCTAGCAGGGCACCTGGCGCCCTGGGGTCACCTTGGATCAGGGTTGCAGCTGACCCACTCCCATCCCTCCCAAAGGCCCTTCAGCCCAGACTTTTGTGCACCCCAAATTCCATCAAAATCCTTTTTCCTTTGAGAGTAACTTTATTCATTTCCCTGCAGCTTATTAAAGAATTCTGAAGAACAGTGGGTGTTAAATTTTTTAAAAGAAAGAAAACATTCCAGTAATCCAAAGCCATCACGCAATAGCCCACCCGACAGAGGTCCCTGAAAAACAGCCCACAGGGGTCCTTGGGGTTTGCGTCCACGACCCTCTAAGCAAGGTGCCTCACCTGGCGGAGCTCCTGAAGACGGGAGCTCCTGAAGACAGGCGCCCCCTCCTAGGATGCCAAAGGTCAGAGGCCGCAGTGGGAGAGGCCTGGCTGACAGCTTGTATTCCAGTGGGCTAGAGCCTCCAGAGCCCTCACCACTGGATTGCCCCTTCTCTTGGCTGGGCGGGACCTGATTTCCACCTGCACAGCCCTGGTGAAGCCACGCAAAAGGAACCTGGGAAAGGCTCAGGTCCAGAATTGGATGGACACAATTGTGGAACTCAGCCCTCCTCCCCGGCTGGGGGACCTCTGGACAGGTCCCTGAGCCCCTTGGAACTTCGCTTCCCCAGCCTATAAAATGAGGCAGGCATGCCTCTCTGAGGGTCTGGTGAGCTCTTGAGCTCCTGCAAACGGCCCAGAGTGAAGTAATAGGAGTTTTTGAGCTGAATTCTCAGTCTGTTGCTCAGGCTGGAGCACAGTGGTGCAATCGTAGGTCACTGCAACCTCCACTTCCCAGGTTCAAGTGATTCTTCTGCCTCAGCCTCCTGAGTAGCTAATTTTTTCTACTTTTAGTAGAGACAGGGCTTCACCATGTTGGCCAGGCTGGTCTCAAACTCCTGGCCTCAAGTGATCTGCCCATCTCGACCTCCCAAAGTGCTGGGACTACAGGCATGAGCCACTGCACCCGGCCAGAAGTCATAGGATTTTAACGAGTGGAGACAGTGTGGGTGGGGCCATTATTCCACTTCCTGGAGAGGAAGAGAGATCCTGGCAATGTCTATAGATCTCAGGTGCTCTGCAGGGCATGAGTGTATTTATTTACATATTTATTTACTTGCTTATTTATTTATTCACCTATTTATTTACTTATGTACTTATTTACATATTTACTTTTGATTTGCTGACATATGTATTTACTTATTCATTTACTTATATATGTATTTATGTACTTCATTCCCTTTCTTATTTACTCTTTCACTTGTTGCCCGTCTATTCATGACATCTGAGTGTCTCTCTCCCAGTAGAGGCCAGGGCATGCACCTCTCATGTTCCTTTCAGAACCAGCAGTAGAGGCTGGAGGTGGAGCTGGCAGGGCTGAAGACCTATGGGGGGGACCTGGAGGAGTTTGAGACCCTCAGCATGGTGCTGATGCTGTCCCACTTCAGCCCGCAAGTGATGGACACCGGGTGAGCCGGGCCGTGGAGGGCGCTCGCTGCCCCCTCCACTCTCCCTTCTCCCCTCTCCCCTGCCTCATGCTCCTTCCGGTCCTCACTAGGCCATACAGCCAAGGCCCTGGGACACTCCTGTCTGTCCATTGACTTATTCGTACATGCTTCACTCTTTTCTTCACTCAACAAACATTCCTGTGTGTCAGCGCATCCCAGCTATGCTGTGTGCTGGAGGATGGGGAGATAGACAATGACTCCGGTCATCCCTAACCCAGCCCCATGGGTACCAGGCCCTGAGCTGGGCACTGGGCAGAGGAATGCAGAGATGAAGGAGCCCCTGGTAAGGAGCCTGTCAGGGGACAGGGGCAGGGGGCTGGGGAGTCTGCCTCCATGGACAAGGTGCCGTTGGCACTCAGGTGGGAGGCAACGAGTTATGCAGCAGGGTGGCTCAGCGAAGGGCCAGATAGAGGCCAGAGCCTTCCAGCGGGGCCCATGGGGACAGTTACAAACTCCTTCATCAAAGGGGACACCGGCACGCAGGCAGGGAAACCTGTGTGTGCAAAGGGAAGGAGATTGGAAATGCAGAGGAAGGGAGGGAGGGAGGAGAGCAGTAGATGATGCATCCTTGTGCAGGATCGGAGGATACACGCTTTTTTTTTTTTTTTTTTTGACGCAGTCTCACTCTGTTGCCCAGGCTGGAGTGCAGTGGCGTGGTCTCTGCTCACTGCAAGCTCCGCCTCCTGGGTTCACGCCATTTTCCTGCCTCAGCCTCCCGAGTAGCTGGGACTACAGGCGCCCACCACCAAGCCCGGCTAATTTTTTTTTTGTATTTTTAGTAGAGACAGGGTTTCACTGTGTTAGCCAGGATGGTCTCGATCTCCTGACCTCGTGATCCGCCTGCCTCGGCCTCCCAAAGTGCTGAGATTACAGGCGTGAGCCACCATGCCCAGCCGGATACACTCTTTTCTTTAAAGAAAAACTCATGAATGCCATTTCGTCCTAAAATATTCAGACGCAATCCTTTGGACAGTCAGAAACTGCGGCCATTCCCCTTCCTCTCCCTGGAAGTTTTCGCTGTTAACATTTTCATGTGCATCTTTCCTTCCAGGCATTTTTCTATTTATGAATGAATGGGTTGATAGTTGAATAGTTGAAAACTGGCACTTCTCAGGACACCACCAGCAAGCAGGCTTTGTCCTTGGAGCAGGGTCCCTGGGGGTCATGTGCTGAGCCAGGTTTCAGCACCTTAGATGGTGGATGGTCTGGGGGACATTTGCCAAACAGACCTGATGTGGCCCCACTAGTGCGTTTCTGACCAGCCGTCAGCACCATACAAACACTAGCAGAGAAGCTCGCCTGTCAGCAGCGTGATTCCTATTTCTTACCCATGGGAGGGCACTGTTCATATTGTTCTTGGTGTGCTGTTCTGCGCCTGACTTAGCACTCCTTCCCATCTACATGTAGTCCCCTTTGTTGTCACCTGTGTATGGTGTGATGCAGCCAACCCCAGCACCCTGTCCCCGCTGATGGACACTGCAGTGGGGACAGCCTACGGTTACACCAGCACACGATGGTGCAGTGACTCCTAGGGCACACCACGGCTGGACACAGGCTGGAGCACTCCTGCTCTCAAACAGTGAAGCTCCGACCCAGGCCCCTGGCATGAGAGGGGTGGGTGGGTCCTGCTGCTGCAGAAGCTTGGAGAGACCCTTCCCCTCCATGCCCCTCCCATTCCCCTAACCTTGAGTGAGAGCATTGGCCTTGGAGTGATTTCCATGTGAAATTTTACACATACATCATGTAGGATTGGACAAAAGTGGTCAGGCTCGAGGGCTACTAAGGAAGAAGGAATAGGCAGACTTGGGTCTTACCAGATGCAGGGAGCAGGTAGGAGGCACACTCTTTAGTGTTAATAAGCCCACCAGCCCCCATTCTTTCTTCCTTGACACTCAGATGCAATTCCTGCAGTCATGACATTGGCTGCTTTGGGAAGCAGCTGCAGAATGCTGTGGGCTGTTGGGCAGTGGGGGGCTGGCTAACGTCAGGTGTGTTCACATGAGCGTCCTCACAGGGAACGTGTGATGGAAGGTGCTGGAGCTGGTACCTGGGCAGTGTGATGAGAAAGGAACGTGGCTTTCAGAAAGCAGAGTTACAAATGCATCTAGCATCAAGTAATGTCCAGAAAGCAGTTTTGCCAGATTCAGCTCCTTCCTGGCTCCAGCCACTCTCTCTACTTCCTGCAGTTCCCACTCCAGTCCGCTCACTAAGTTCATTCCTTCCAGAAGACATCTTCTGAGCACCTACTGTATGACAAGCCCTGGGCTTGGTGCTGGAAGTCCAGAAATTAGAGATGTTTTATGACTTCACAGGGCTCTGAGTCTCAGAAGTGTGGCACAGGGGTAGTGAATCAGGGGTACTGGTGTGGTCAAGGCATCGGGGTGACCTTGAGTCATGTACACCAGGGGTACTGGGGGTGCCAAGGTGGGGAGCAGAGCTTCAGCCTTCAAGACCCAGTCCCAGGGCAAAGTGAACCTCCGAGTTCTTTCCCAGGCCCAGTAGGTCTCCAGGAGGGTTTAAGAGGAGAGTGAATGAATTAAGATCAAGTGAGACTGGTGCTCCCCCAGCTTTGTCCTGGCAGTAACTCTTCCTCTCCCTTCCCTACTCTGCAGCATAAGGCCATGTCCTGCCCCAGGACCAGCCTCCAGGACCCCTCCCAGGTGCTCAAGTGTAGCTCCCATAGCAGCAAAGGAAGGATGCAAAGTCTCAGGGCTTTGCAGGTGGACAGTCAGACAGCTTTGCTGACCAAGGAGAAAATAAGTTTGTGTGTGTGTGTCTGTGTGTGTGTTCATGAGTGTGCATGTGTGTGCATGCATGTGCATGTATGTGTGCACGTGTGAGTCTGTGTGAGCAACCAGCTCAGTCTGTGTCTGTGTCTGGGGCTCAGCAGAGCATCTGCTCTGTAAGTGTTCCTACTGTGGACTATAACCTGGGCAGCATTGATTTGGGAAGATTTTGGTAACATGGCTCCATCTTTCCACACCTGACATCCCTTAGAGGGACATGTACACACCCACTCTGACCATGTGCACAGGCGCCAAGCAGCCATGGGGACCAGAGCGCTTACGGTCTTGGCCTCTGGAGCCCTGATTTTGAGCCCATTGCTACCTCCTGTGGGCCACCACGGTGACTTGGGGCACAGTTGGTTTTCTCCATTGAGGAGACAACCAACAACATTAGGTCAATAATCGCTACTTGTCAGCCTTAAATGGTGGGGTGAAGATGGAGTAAGGCAATCAACTTGTCCAAGTTTCGGTCCCCAAGAAACCAACCCCAAGATCAGCATTTGCCTGCAAGCGGGTTATCTGGGAGGTAATCCCAGGTAGGGGATGTTATAAATAAATTTTCATGGCACTCGGACATAAATTTAATTTTCTCAGCAAGGCAATTTTACTTCTATAGAAGGGTGTGATTCGTGGATGGAGCAATGGCAAAAGCACACCTGAACAAGGGAGGGGAAGGGGTTTTTATTTCTGACTCAAGCAGCCCCTCCTGCTGTGTCATTCCCCTATTGGCTAGTGTTGGACTGCACAGTCTAAGCTAATTCCAACTGGCCATTTCAAAGAGAGCAGGGGTACGAGCTGGAGTGGCGGGGTGAGTAGTTTGGCAGGAAAGATGGTTACAGAACAGGTGACTCAGGATGACTCAGGTCAGAGCAGGTGACCAGGGGTAACTCGGGACAGAGCTGGTGATAGAGGCAAGGAGGGGGTTGTTTACTGAAACTAGGGGCAAGGAGACGAAAAAAACGAGGAAGTTAAACTTTAAAACGAAGAACAAAGAACAGGGGAGCTGAACATACTGATACATTAGTTATTTGGAGAGGATCTCAGAACCCATTGTACTCAACAATTTACAGGCTAAAACCTTTGAAGAGGAATTTATTATATGCTATAGGGAGTTAGGGAAGAGAAACTGGGAAGGGAAGACAGCTTTGTGAGTTAGGGGGTTATCCTAGCCACTGGAGCTGGGAAAGCCAGAAGCCAGCGCAGCGCGTGCATCTGAGAGTCAACACGTGATGGCGAGGAAGCCAGGGTGTTTGTGCAGCAGCTCCCTCCAGTCTGCAGGAGGACCGCTTCCAGGAGGACTTCCGGCCTGCTGCACCAGTGGCAACCTGAGCACAGAAGGCCAGAAGAGCCCCTGGGCAGGGAGTGCGGTGCTCCCCCTGGGAGGCTGTGCCCTGGGTGCTCGGGTGTGGGGGTCGCCCGCGCTCCTGGGAGCCGAGCAAGGGCGCGCACCCCGCAGTGGGAGAGGGGCTTCCTGCGCAGCGCGGGAGGAGCTTCCAGGACGGGAGCTGTCTGGGGCAGAGCCCTGGCTACGGTGGCCTCGCAGCACAGCGAAAGCACAGGGACTGCGCAGTCGGGAGGCGCTTGCTCTCCGTGCAGACCCCCGGGTGCGCGGCCGCAGTGCCTGCAGCCATCGCCCTACGGGGCCTCGCGACTCGGGCATCGCCCCTGCTCTCCAGGCAGGACTAGAGCTTCCAGAAAGTCCCAGGGCACCCCTCGCGCATCCCAGGGGCCAGGCGGGCGCTGCAAAGCCTGCTGGGAGGTGTAGTTTTCGCTGAAGACGGGGCTGCCCAGAGCCAAAGCAGGGTGGGCTCCAGAGCAAGAAGCCATCGTGGACGCGGCGTCTGCGGGAGGAAAGCAGCTCCTTCTGGCTTCGCGAAGGCCGCCTAGTCCAGGAGCCCCAGCGCCCTTCTCCCAGCCAGGTGGATGACAGTTCCCAGCGCCTCGAAGGCCTGCTCTGTGCCGCGCGCCCTGCACACACGATTGCATTTCCTGCACGCAGCCCCCCGGCGGGGCAGGTCGAGCCGTTTACGGATGGAAGAGAGGAGCCCCACACCTTGTTGGAGGCGCCGTCAGCAAAGGCGAGGGCTTCTTTTCCATCCTGACTGTGTCTGTTCTCTGCTCTGACCGCGGGGCCTGCAGGGCTGTTAGCCCCATTTGCAGGAGGAAGGGCACCCTTTTCTTTCCAGACCAGTCTCTCCCTCCGGGCAGTTACCACCTCCTCCCTACCGGCCCTGCCCTCCCACTTTACCCCCTCCCCACGGTATCCGGCATTCTCCCTGCTTCCCCTCTGGGCTGGGAGCTCTTCCAGAGCCCGGACCCTGGTGCCAGCTGGGCCAACCTTGATGAGTGATTAACAGTCAGATTCTCCAAATTAGACTATGAATAGGATTCACAGATAAAGCAGATAAAAATACAGACACCACCAGCTAAATCTCAATTTCAGATAGACAACTTTCAGTGTAAGTCTTACAGTAGGTAGGTAGTCAGACAGGAGCAGGGCAGGAGAGCCACCACCGCCCCCCATGCAGCCAGTGCCAGGGAAAGTTGGTCTCCCACTCCGTAGAAACACTGGAAGCTGGTGATCAGCAGCTTTCCGAATAGATCGCAGGAGTTGGGCAGGTGGGCTCAAGCATTCACGCTAAGAGGCAAAATGGTGGAGTTTAACTGGTCTGTAACCTTCTAGGAGAACTCCACTGGTAAGGGAAGCACGCCTCAAGAGAGCATGCGTACAACTCTGGTAAACACACCGCAATGCAGCCCCTCCCAAGTACTGGCAGGCCACTGTGAATACAGACAGCCCACCCCAAAGGAAGAATCAGGGAGAAGGGACACAACCCCGAAGAAGCATGCCAACATATAAAACCCAAGGTCAAAGGTGAAACCGCACACTTGATCTCTCAAGTCACCCACGTGGCCCTCTTCCAAGTGTACTTTACATCCTTTCCTTCCTGCTCTAAAACTTTTTAATAAACTGTCACATTAGCTCTAAAACTTGCCTCGGTCTCAAACTCTGTCTTATGCCCCTAGGTTGAATTATTTCTTCTGAGGATGCAAAGAATTGAGGTTGCTGCAGACCCATATGGATTTGCCACTGCTAACGTAAGTATATCCCTTGCAATATTTGGGATATACTTATATAAAAGTTATCCGTTGTTTATGTGAAATTCAAATCTAACTGGATGTATTAGTCTGGGTTCTGTAGAGGGACAGAAGTAATAGGATAGATCTATATATAAGGAGAATTTATTAAGTATTAACTCACATGATCAGAAGGTCCCACAATAGGCCAAATGCAAGCTGAGGAGCAAGGAGAGCCAGTCCGAGTCCCAAAACTGAAGAACTTGGAGTCTGATGTTTGAGGGCAGGAAGCATCCAGCGTGGGAGAAAGATGGAGGCTGGGAGGCTAAGCCAGTCTCTCCTTTCACATGTTTCTGCCTGCTTTATCTTCTAGCCTCACTGGCAGCTGATCAGATGGTGCCTACCCAGATGAAGGGTGGGTCTGCCTTTCCCAGTTCACTGACTCAAATGTTAATCTCCTTTGGCAACACCCCCACAGACACATCCAGGATCAATACTTTGTATCCTTCAATCAAGTTGACACTTAGTATTAACCATCACACTGGGCATCCTGTATTTTATCTGGCAACCCTAACACTGACTATGTAGCTCATTTAGCTCAGCCCCTTCCTGTCACCATAGGAAATACAGGTGCCCAGAGGGGGAAAGGGGTCCTCCCAGACACACAGCAAATTGGTAGTAGCTATCCCCAGGCACCTGGAACTGAGACAGGGCTTTTCCACAGAATAACACTAAAGTGGCAGTTTCCAAGTGAGGAGGGAGCAGTGCCATGGTCCAGGAGGTGCAGTGCGTGTCTTGGGCAGCAAGAGGAAGGATTTACCTGCAGATGGTGGGCAGGGTTAATTCTGGCCTTGGTGCTACCTCCAGAAGCCTGCAGGACCTGAAGCCCACCCCTTCGCCTTTTTTCCCCACTGCCACAAGCGAGTTAGAATAGCTGGGGGATCTAATACTTCCAGTCTCGATGTCAGCAGACACGCCCAGTCCCCACACTCAATCTTATCTCCACCTTAGCTCAGGTGGGGCACTGAGCAGGGCACTCCCTCTCTCAGCCTCAGGTTTCAGATGTATAAAATGGGATATCAATACCTGACGGGGTTACTGCAAGGATGAAAGCAGATGCATTTTTTTAAAGTGCCCTGTGTGATGCTTGTATCCTGCAGGGGCTCTAGACCTAGTTATTCATGTTGTTATTGACAGTCACTCTCCCAGGATCAATGCTGGGAGATGCAGTGATAACAAAACCCAGATGGACTGCCTGGCATGTGCCATGCCTGGGCTGACTGTCTCGTGTAATCCCTGTGGTTGAGCCTTATTGCTAAAGTGATTCCATTCACAGTGCACCTTGGGGTTCAGGTCGGGCCTTGGGTTTCATGTCTGGCCAGCAAGCAAGCCCCCCAGCTGAGGCGCCCACACATCTCCACCCAATGAGCCCGCACTTACAGGACCTAGGGCCACCATTCTGGGTCATTGGGGATGAAACAGCCAAACCTGGGCCTTCAGCATTGCGGGTGAGGTCGAGGAGCAGAGAGGAGTGACAGACACAGACATTGGTGCACATGCGCCCCCTCCTAGTGGGTCGGGTCGTCGATGCCAGCCTGGCCTGCACCTGGAGCTTGGGTCCCAAGCCTCAGCAGGACATTCTTCTCTGGCCAAATTTAAAGTGCCCCAGGAAACCAAATCACTAGGGGTAACAGAGCAAGCAGAGCTGTGGCATCACAGTCTCAGTCACCCTGCTGGGACAGGAGGCATGGTAAGAAATGAATTTTACATATGGCCCAGCACACAGATATAACTAAGACCAAGCCCTTGCCCAACAATATTTACTCCACTTCAGAGGTGCGCTCTGACCCTTTGTTTTCTTTTCTATTTCATATGTTTTAGCTACTGCACACAGCCCACTGAATTGCTTTCAGGACTTCCTAATAAAGCATGGGATGCAGCTTTAAAATCTTAGACAATCCTCATCACAGACCCTTTAAATTTGACGACCCACTTTTATGGCCAGACAAGTTGAAGTCGTGAGCCGTGAACTATTTCCTCTCTTCACGCCGGGAAGTGCCTAGACCACAGTGGGGGGCCGGCCAGCCCTTCCATCCCAAGAGCCAGCCCCTGTGGCTCCTGCGGCCCCTGCATAAATATGGAACTCTCAGGCCAGGATGGGAACTGCCAGGGCTCAAGCAGTAAACTTTATAAGTTATTACAAAACAGAAGTGTACACAGGGACACTGTAATAAAGCGTATTGGGAGTTACGGGAACTCTCCAACAAGTTTAGAATCTCTGGTTTCAAAAACTATTGCAACATTATAATAAACAAATATCCAAAAGCTTAGAAATAGAAATTAAAGATAAAGATGGTCACGTTTGACCAAAAGAACAATATTTTCGTACTGAGCTTTGATGATACAATTATTAATGAGGAAGATGATTTTAAAATTAAATTCCCCTTGTAATTCAAGATACAGTGATACAAGGCATAAACGGGCAATTACGCTATAGTGCATTCAATCCTTAAAGCCACCGCTGGTTTTCTGTATAACCCCCACAGGTTGCAGGAAGGTCAGCCATGAAACATTAAAATACCACTGTCTGTCTACATTTAAAATTAAATTCAGATTCACATAAAAATGATTTGTATAAAGAGTTAAATATTTTTAGAAAAATTGTTCTGCAAGAATCATCAGCTCTAGATATACCAACATTTGTATTTCAAAATTATAAAAAATGTATCTCAAAGTTATTATAGCCTATAAGATACTCTTAATAGCTCCAATAAAAAATGCATCAGCAGAAAGGTCCTTCTTAAAATGGAAAGTGTCCTAAAATGATTTGTGAGCTTGTATTTGCCAACAGCAACTGATGTCACATTCAATTATATCGATTGAAAACAAAGTTGCTAAAAGTGTAAGCTTTGATAACCTAATAAATGAATTTGCAGAAAAGTGAGCCAGGGAAAGCTTCTAATCCAGTTATCACATAAAGTATTATTTGTTTTATTGTATAAATAATCACACCCAAAATATTATTTTGACAAATTTGTAAGTTTATGTTGTTACTCATGCATCACTATTATCCCTATTACATTGCATAAGTAATAAATTTTTCAAGGGAAAAGCTTTCTATTTCACCCCTGTAACTGCACTTTCCTCCTGCTTTTTGAATAAGGGGCCTGAATTTTTATTTTGCACTGGGCTTTTCAAATTATGCAGCAAGGGATGATCCAGCAGGTGGAGAGCTCTGAGCTCCGAGTGGACTGTGCCGTGCTGTCTGTGATATCTGCTAACATAGAATGTCTTCCGATATGTTACTGTGCATGTGGGGAGTACTGGCTTTGAATCAAAAGATCCTTGGTGAAAACCCCTGCCTCACCACTATGCGTCCTTGGGGAAGTCACCTCTGCACCTTTTCTTTGACGTCAGGTAGTGAGATGGCACAGGGAAGCGCCTCCTGTGGGCACCTGCATAGAGGGGAATGTAGGTGGCTCTTAAGTGCTGAATCTCTTCCCGACGCAAAAGTGTGCTCTAAGCACCAGCCGCATCGACATCACCTGGGAACTGGTTACAAATGCCGAATCTAGAGCTCGCCCCAGACCTATTGAGAAAGAATCAGCATTTTAATAATATTCCAAGATGATCTGTAGGCCTGGGAGTGTCTAAGAAGCGTGGCCCTAGACAAACGGCTTGGGGATTACCTGAGTACTTTGCCGTTTAAATTTAGTCCTAACTATTGCTATTCAAAGAGTGACCACTAGAGGGCACAAGAGTCAAGTGATTAGTTGTTTGATTTGCCAACCAGGAGCTTGGAAAGAGAAAAATAAAATGTCACAAACAGGGCTGGGAGTTACCTCCAAGAGTCAAATCTTCCTCTACACCCCCGATCCCCACCCCAAAGACAAGAGCTTTCTGCTGACCTCCTCAAAAGCATGGGTTTTTTTTGGGAGGGCCAAGGTGAGGGTTGGGTTTTTTGTTTGTTTGGGGGGTTTTGTTTTTGTTTTTTTGAGGCAGAGTCTTGCTCTGTCACTCAGGATGGGGTGCAGTGGCATGATCATAGCTCACTGCAGCCTCAACCTCCCAGGCTGAAGCAATCCTCCCCATCAGCTTCCCAAGTAACTGAAACCACAGGTGTGCACCACAATGCCCAGCTAATTTTTTTATTTTCATTTTTGTAGAGACATGGTCTCACTATATTGCTCAGGCTGGTCTCGAACTCCTGAGCTCAAGTGATCCTCCCACATCAGCCTCCCAAAGTGCTTGGGTAACAGGTGCGAGCTTCCGTGTCCGGCCTCAAAGGCATGTTTAATCGGAAATGTGCATTGGCCATGGGCCTCCAGATCTGAGGTCGGAGGACTGATTTCCACAGCGGAGGCCCTACAGTTGAGCCAGCCTGCAGGGATGTGGGAACCCAGGACTGGGGGGTTTGGGGCTTGCACGGCACTCACTGCCACCAGGTGACCTTGGGCAAGTCACTTCTCTCCTGGCCCGCGTGCCTCTATCCTTAAAGTGCAGGCAGTTGGCGCGCGAGATTCCCGGGGTCCCTCTCGGTTTTAAAGCCTAGGCTTGCATAGTATGGGTCTTTTCCTGTTGCAGCTTTCTGGTTTGTGCCCCAGAATTTGCCAGGGAAATAGAACCAAGCCCCAAGCTTCTGTCTCCAGAGATAAGATGGCCTTCTCTTCCTGTCATTTAAGGCCCTGGGAGGCCCTAGAATTTGGAGTGTCTGGCAGGCCTGGACTGTTAAGGTGCCCAGCATTCCAGAGGCGATGGCACATTTGTCTGTGTCAAGGAGGCTCTGGGCATGGGTAGGGAGGTGCGAGGTAAGAGAGGGCAGAGCTGAGGGCACAAATCCAGCCATTTCACAGATGGGGAAACCAAGGTTCAGAGGAGGACATGGCTATAGCCCAGGTCCCTGTAGCCCGGAGTCAGTGGTGGAGCCAGGACTTGAACTCAAGTATTGGAGTGCAAAAGGCAGCAGCCCAAATGCTGACGGCATCCTAGCGAGGGCTCTGAGCCCTGGAGTCGAGTGGGTGCTTGTTGCCTGGGTCTCTGGGGGAGCTCGCACTCCCTGGCATTCTCATGGGCACCTCCTGCCCCAGGCAGAGCTCCAAGCCTTGGCCAGCAGAGCAGGACAGGCCTGCAGGGGCTGCCCACGGACCTAGTGTTCTCGGGGTTTCTGCCAAGGTAACAAGAGCAGGGAGGGCTCCCTCCCCACGCTGGATCCTGTCCAGTCCTCTGCTTGGCTCCAGGGGCACTAACTGGGACCCTCAAGCCTGCTGGGCCACAGTGGTAGGCCATACCATCCCAGAGCATGGCTCTGACCAGGCCACTCCCCTGCTTAAAGCCTCTAGGGGCCGGGCACAGTGGCTCAAGCCTGTAATCTCAGCACTTTGGGAGGCCGAGGCGTGCGGATCACAAGGCCAGGAGTTCGAGACCAGCCTGGCCAATATGGTGAAACCCCATCTCTACTAAAAATACAAAAATTAGCCAGGCGTGGTGGTGCCCACCTGTAATCCCAGCTACTCGGGAGGCAGGAAAATCGCTTGAACCCAGGAGGCAGAGGTTGCAGTGAGCTGAGATCCCACCACTGCCCTCCAGCCTGGGCGACAAGAGCAAGACTTCATCTTGGGGGAAAGAAAAAGCCTTTAGAGGCTCCCTATTGCCTGGGTGATACAGCAGGTGGCATCCTCACTCCTCAGCCTGGTGTTCAATGCCTTTGGCTTGGGACCCACCCTCCTTGGCCATGCACACCAAGCTGTCCTGCCCAAGGGCATCTCTTGCTGGGCCCACCTAAGCCCACGCATGCCCGCCCACCTCCCTCTTTCCATCTCTATTTATAGAGCCCCTGCCGGGTGCCAGGCAGTGCTCTAGGCACTCGGGGGCAATGGTGAGCAAACGGAGCCCTCCCTCTTTGGACTCATGTTCTAATGGGAGGCAGGCGAAGAAATCAACAGCTAAGCTTATGGCACCCAGCAGGGAGGAAGGAAGGGGGACGGGATGGGAGGGCTGCAGTGTCCCCTAGGGTGGCCAGGGAGGGTGTCTGAGAAGGTGGCACATGTGTTGGGATCATGAACTCTGGGCGTGGCTGTGTAGCATCCAGGCAGAGGGAACAGCAAGTGTAAGGACCTGAGGCAGGAGTAGGCTCAGCATGTTCCAGGACCAGCAAGGCCAGCTTGAGGCCAGTGAGCAAAAAAACAGTGGAGGTGGGAGATGGGGCCCACGGGTGACACCGCCAGGCCACGCAAGGCCTTGGGGGCATTGGAAGGACTTTGGCTTTTACATTGAGAAGACAGAGCTCCTGGAGGGCTTTGTCCAAGGACTGATGAGCCCAGACATCACTGGCTGCTCCGGTGAGCCTGGAGGGCAGACAGGGGAGGAAGTGGGGAGACCATGGGAGGTGACCCGTTTCCGTAAACCTGAACCCCTGCAGATGCCATTCCATCTACCTGAGCCCCTCCCTGCAAGCTGTGTTCGGAGAACGCCTATATGTTCACGAAAGCTAAGCTCAAATGCCACGTGCCTGCTCCTTCCTGCACCCCAGGTAGAAACACCCTCGTTTGCCTCTCAATTCCCACTTTCTTTGAGCACTGTTTTTGAAAGCACCTGCTTTGTAGACCCCTACAGAAATTCTCACTTGTGAGCATCTCCTGCTCTGGTACCAGATGCTGAGCCCTTGCAAGAGAGCAGGGAGCTGGGCTGGTTTTGCCATCATGGAGCAGTGCACCTGGCCTTCTGCACAGGCCCCCAAGCCACCCAGCAGGGCCTTCTGGGTAGCCTCACCCAGACCAACGGAATCAAAATCTGTGTTGGGGTGGGGGGCTTGAGCTTCTGCTTTTAAAATTCTTCCAGGGGTTTGGGTTAATTTGTCTCCCTGGGGCTTTGTGTTAATTTGTCTCGCTGGGAGTAGGGCCCAGCGAGATCGTCCTAAATTCAAATCCTGCAGCAGCCATAGTAGCTGTGGGATGTGGTCACTTAATCTCGCTGAGCCTCGGTCCCTCTTCTATAGCCCCAGGTGCCCAGCAGGCCGACAGAGGCTGTGGCCGCCTCTCCCACCTCTTTGAATTGGGCTGAGAGACAGACGCGCACCTTCCGGAGAGGACCGTCAGGCTGAAGAAGACACAGCTAGTGTCTAACGGGAGGGTAGGTTCTAAGGAAGTGAAGATTTATGAGAGAAATGAGTGAGTGTGATCATGTGTCTCATACCACAGCGTGTGAGTCCGTGCAAACGCCATGTCTGTCCCCTCTCAGGAGAACCCTCTCTCAGAGCTATGAAAATCCTTACCTTGCCTCATTCAGACTCTCAAAGTCTGAACTCTGTCACTTTAGAGCACAGGACTCAAATGTGACTGTGCTCAGGAATCAGATGGGGGTTGGGTTAACATGCACATTCCCATGGGCAGGTCCAGGGCAGGGCCCAAGATTGCATTTCTAGCTCATCCTTGGTGATGCTGGCACCACTGGTCCACAGATGGCACTTTGAGCAGCAAGATTGCAGCCCCTAAGCCCTACTGACATAGAATCTGCAATGTAACACTATCTCCAAGAGATGCGTTTGCACACTAATGTTTGAGAATTACCAGTGCAGAGACTTGGAAGAATGCTTATTTTGGGGTTCAGCATGCCCTAGAGAGAGGCCAAGAATACGTTTGTCATTCTGGTCTCCTTTCAATAACTGTGAGTGCCTCTTGGTTTATTGTTAGACATTGAGTTATTCAGATAATTCCTAGTCAGCTCCACAAAAGCCCTATGTGAGTGTGTGCAGTCATGTCTGGCCCCCAGTGGAGGAGTGGCAGAGGGTGTGTGGTGGCCCGGGAAAGGTGTGGGTTCTGCAGAGAGGGAAATTAACTTTGGTTAAGGCTGCTTACTGGGTGCCAGCTTTTGTGCTGATCACTGCGCCTGGATTAGTTACCGTATGTACTCCTCACAGCAGCCTTTGGAGGCAGATATTACTACTGTGTTACAGATGGGGAAACCAAGGTTGGGAGGAGGAAAGGCACTTGCCCAAGGCAAGCTGGCTAGCAGAGGGTGAGACCGGGATTGAAGTCAGGCTTGTCTGTGTGTCAGATGGGGCAAAGCTAGCTGCGGCAACAAATCAACCCCAGATTGCAGGAGCTTGGCAAACAGAAGTTCATTTTTGTTCCCTAACAGTGCAAGCTGGTACTCCTGGTTGATGGGCCACCTTCCTCCACATGGTGACTCAGGGATCCAACCTGCATCCAGCCTGTGGTATCACTCTCCCCAGGGCCTCGGAGAGCCCACTCCTGGCTGGCAGTTGGAGGATGACTGTGTAGAGACGGTAGAGTCTTCTTTAAACCCATAGCGCAGAAGTGGGACTCATCATTTCCCAGGCTTCCCATTGGTGAGAAGCAGTCACATAGTCACACGCACGGTGAGGGCACTGGGAGCTGTCACCCAGGCTGGAGTGCAGTGGTGCAATCATAGCTCACTGTAGCCTTGAACTCCTGGGCTCCAGTGATCCTCCAGCCTCAGTCTCTAGAGTAGCTGGGACTACAGGTGTGGGCCACCATGCTGGCTAATTAATTATTTATGTATTTATATTTTTTGTAGAGACGGTGATATGGTTAGGCTTTGTGTCCCCACCCAAATCTCATCTTGAACTGTAATCTCCATAATCGTCACATGTCGAGGGAGAGACCAGGGAGGTGATTGGATCATGGGGACCGTTTCCCCCATGCTGTTCTCGTCACGGTGAGTGAGTTCTTTGAGATCTGATGGTTCTATAGGGGGCTCTTCTCCCTTCGCTCAGTGCTTCTCCTTCCTGCTGCCTTGTGAAGAAGGTGCCTTGCTTCCCCTTCACCTTCCACCGTGATTGTAGGCCTCTCCGGCCATGCTGAACTGTGAGTCAATTAAACCTATTTCCTTTATAAATTACCCAGCCTTGGGCAATTCTTTACAGTAGTGTGAAAATGGACTAATACAGACGTGGTCTCATTGTGTTGCTCAGGGTAGTCTGAAACTCTTGGGCTCAAGCGATCCTCCCAGCTTGGCTTCCCAAAGCACTGGGATTACAGGTGTGAGCCACCGTACCTGGCTGGGGTTGTGATGTTGAAAAATCACACAGCCTTGGAGCGAGAAAGGCTCTGAGGTTCTGTTCATCCATCCGGCACCTGAAGGTGCTCTGCAAAGCTGGCAAGATGATCATCCAGCCCCTGCCAGACATGAGGCCACAGCCGGCCCAGTGACCTGGAGTCACCCTCTGGTAAGGCTGCTGCCCTGGGACCTGCGTTTCTGGGATGCTGCTGACCTCTGCCCTCCAGGCTGACCCGAGGCTGACCGGGAAGCCCAGTGGTTCGAGAAACAAGGAAAGGTGGGAGTGCGGGCCCTCCCAGTCACCTCTCACCCTCCTCAGGTCACAGTGATTATCTGATTCATTCATTGATCAATCAATAGATACCCTGGACTGGTTGCTAGGGACAGTAGGTGTACTAGTTGAATGGCCCCCTAAATCCATGCCCACTTAGAGCCTCAGAATATGACCTCATTTGGAAATAGGGTCTTGGAAGAGGTAAGCAAGGGAAGATGAGTTCATTATGTGACCGGCGGCAATACCCTGACATTCCTAGTGGGTTGGGGAAGCCTTCTCCTGCCCTGCTCATGTCTGTCTCACCACCTGTAGCAGCTAGGAGGGGCCCTACTCTGAGGACTGGTGCCCTTTTAAGAAGAGGAGGCGGGCACAGTAGCTCACGCCTATAATCCCAGCACTTTCAGAGGCTAAGGCAGGCTGAGGTCGGGAGTTCAAGACCAGCCTGGCCAACATGGTGAAAACCCATCTCTACTAAAAATAGAAAAACTAGCCAGGCGTGGTGGCGGATGCCTGTAATCCCAGCTACTCAGGAGGCTGAGGCAGGAGAATTGCTTGAACCCAGGAGGCGGAGGTCGCAGTGAGCCAAGATTGCGGCACTGCACTCCAGCCTGAGAGACAGAGCGAGATTCTGTCTCAGAAAAAAAAAAAATAAAAACAGAAGAGGAAACTGGATACAGACACAGAGAAGCTAATGCCATATAAACAGAGACAAGGAAGACTGTGGAACAACGGAGACGCGATGGGAGCGATGCTGCCACAAAGACCGCCAGCAACCAGCGAAGCCAGGAGAGAAGCAAGGACCCAGGAAGGAGCCAACCCCGCCCACACCTGGGTTGCAGACTCCTGACCCTAGGACTGTTTGGGAGAGTGCATTTCTGTTGGCCGAAGCCACTCATTGTGGCGCTTTGTTACGGCAGCCAGGGCACCACCAGCGAGGGGCAGAAACCAGCGGGTGAGTCATGTGCAGGCCAGGAACGGAGAAAGAGGAAGAGGCAATTCACAGGCAAAGACACGAACAAAACACAAACAAGGGAGACCAAGAGCGCCTGCATTGAGCAGGGGTGGGAGGGTGCGGTGGAGGGCAGCAGGAGAGGACGCTGTGTGAGGGTGGGGAAGGAGGGCTGAGAGTGGGCGCCTTCGTGAAGCAGGGACTCTGGGCAGAGAGAATAGCATGGACGAAGGCTCTGGGCTGGGAAAGAGCTTGGTGTGTTCAGGGGACAGGAAGGAGGCCGGTGTGGCTGAGTGGGTGGGAGGGGCAGAGAGGGGCCTGAGCTCAGCGGGGAGGGTCACTCTCGGAGGCCACAGGAAGGAGTGGGCATTTTCTTCTAAGTGCATCAGGAAGTCTTTGGAGGGTTTTAAGCAAGAGAGTGACATGATGGGATTGATGTCATTTGGACTGCTGTGTGGAGGATGTGAAAGCATTCATTCATTCATTCATTCATTCCTTCATTTCAACAAGTAATAATACAAACAACCTCAGGACCGTGACCAGGCCTGTGGACAAAAGAAATGGCAGAGAGATCACAGCCTTGGGGAGTCAGGGCTGTCAGAGAATTCCCCTCTAAGATGACCTGGAGCAGGGGCCTGGAACAGCCATAGGAGGGCTGGGGAAGGGTGCTCCAGGGTGCGCAGTGAGCACAAAGGCCAGCTGGTGGCTCACACCCCTGCAAGCCATCTCTCCTCCAGGCTGGAGTCGGTGCTTCCCACAGTTACTTCTCACGACTTTCTCATTTTGTGAGAAATTCCTGATAATGATGCTCTCAGCTTTCTGACAAAGAGCTCAATTGTTCCTCAGGCGGTACCAATCTTAATCGTTATAGTCAAGAAGTTTTATAAGCACTTTTTTATTTATTTTTTTTTAATTTTTTGAGACAGAGTCTTGCTTTCTCACCCAGTCTGGAGTGCAGTGGTAAAAGCTCACTGCAGTCTCCTCCTCCCAGGTTCAAGCAATTCTCATGCCTCAGCCTCTCGAGTAGCTGGGACTACAAGCGTGTGCCACTATGCCCGGCTGATTTTTGTAATTTTAGTAGAGATGGGTATCACCATGTTGGCCAGGCTGGTCTCGAACTCCCGACCTCAAGTGATTCTCCCGCCTTGGCCTCCCAAAGTGCTGGGACTACAGGTGCGCATCACCATGCCTAGTTAATTTTTGTATTTTTAGTAGAGATGTGGAGGGAGGGGTTTCACCATGTTGGCCAGGCTGGTCTCGAACTCCTGACCTCAAGTGATCTGCCCTCCTTGGCCTCCCAAAGTGCTGGGATTACAGGTGTGAGCCATCAAGCCTGGCCTTATAAGCACTTTATAATTTGCAAAGCCCTTCTGCAATTCAGTTCAATAGCCCTTCCCTGGCCCAGAGGTGTGGGGAGAAGGCAGATGTGCACACAGATCTTATCTCACCTTCAGGAAGGTCTGACTCCATCTGGTCATACAAGATAACCGCTGTGCAAGTTCCAAAGCAAGGCCAACATAGAGACACATGCCCAGGTGCACTGATGTGAAACATTCACCCGTCATTCAACTCCCAGAGGGGCCTCAGAGGCAGCAGTCTAAAATGTGGCAGGTTGATAACAAGCTGGTACCAGGTCAGGGTGTGTCTGCAGGCACAGAGCTCCCCGCCAGGAGGGAGAAGACAACATTTGGTCCTTGGCTCTGTGGCCTTGAACAAGCGTCTTAACCTTTCTGAGCCTCAGCTGCAAAAGATCGATTCTATTTGATTCTCACAGGAGGCTCTGAGCCATCAAGAGTGGGTCAGGCTGGGCCTGGCACGGTGGCTCATGCTTGTAATCCCAGCACTTTGGGAGGCCGAGGCGGGCAGATCACCTGAGGTCAGGAGTTCATGACCAGCCTGGCCAACATGGTGAAACTCCATCTCTACTAAAAATACAAAATTAGCTGATCGTGGGGGCCAGCGCCAGCTACTTGGGAGGCTGAGGCATAAGAATTGCTTGAACTCGGGAGGTGGAGGTTGCAGTGAGCCAAGATCGCGCGGCTGCACTCCAGCCTGGCAGATAGAGCAAGACTCCATCTCAAAAAAAAAAAAAAAAAAAAAAGAGGCCGGGCGCGGTGGCTCACGCCTGTAATCCCAGCACTTTGGGAGGCCGAGGCGGGCGGATCACAAGGTCAGGAGATCAAGACCATCCTGGCTAACACGGTGAAACCCCCTCTCTACTAAAAATACAAAAAGTTAGCCAGGCGCGGTGGCGGGCGCCTGTAGTCCCAGCTACTCGGGAGGCTGAGGCAGGAGAATGGCGTGACCCCGGGAGGTGGAACTTGCAGTAAGCCGAGCTTGCACCACTGCACTCCAGCCTGGGCGACTCTGTCTCAAAAAAAAAAAAAAAAAAAAAGAGTGGGTCAGGCTGGGCATGAATTCGCCTCTATCAACTACCACCTGACCCCGGACAAGGCAGTATGGTTTCCTGAACCATAAAATAGGGGGAGTGATAGAACCCACCTGATAGCTATTCTTTCTTTAAGACTGAGCTCCAGTGTCACCCTTTCCCCAGCCCCTCGCAGTCCATCTCCGGACCTCACCGTCCATGCTCTGCACTTGCCACCCTGAGCCTCATTCCGAAAATACCTGCCCGTGCTGCCCTCAAAGCTCAGCATGTCTTGGGCCCCCAGTGTCTCTCCAGGCAGGTTCTCTGCACAGATGTCAGGCCAGACTGTCCCTCTTTGCTCAGGGAAAAAGAAGATGAGCTCTCAAGGTGCCAGCCTGTAGTCCCTGCACTGGGGCAGGACAAAGGTAAGTAGAATCAAGAATCGCCACCAGGACTACACTTTCCCCAGGAAAAACTTGAAACGAGTTCACGTAGCATTTTGGATCCCACCAGAACAGCAGCCCTAGAGAAAGTGCCAAGAGAATTCCTATACCCAAGTTTCTTCTCTTTCTCTTACCAGAAGCTCTTTGGCATTTCACAAAGCAAGTTGCAACCAGAGTCTGGCAGCTTCCATTGTATCGAACAATTAAGGAAAACAATGATCTGTGATCACGGCAAGCTTCTGGGTAATTTATATTTCTAAAGATTGTCAAAAACAATATCTCCTTCGCTAAAACTGTTCAAATTGCTCCCACAAACATCAAAAGTGCTCCCCACCCTGCCCCCCACTTTCTCTGCCCGTCTCTATGGCAACGTGGAGCTGTGCTATTCTGATCACTGCTACCAAGCCAAGCAGGTGTCCGGAAAGTTTTGGGGAGGATTTTGAGTTGGGTAATTTTTGGCTCTTCTTGACATTTCCTAAGTGCCGTGATGCCTAAAATTTTGTTCTATTGTTTCCTGCTAAAGTGAACAAGAAGTTCCCTCTCCCACCAGCTCTGGCTTTTTTTGTGTGGTTTTTTTTTTTTTTTTTTTTTTTTTTGAGACAGAGTCTTGCTCTGTCACCAGGCTGGTGTGCATTGGCGTGATCTTGGCTCACTGCAACCTCCACCTCCTGGATTCAAATGATTCTCTTGCCTCAGCCTCCTGAGTAGCTGAGACTAAAGGTGCATGCCACCATTCCCAGTTAATCTTTGTATTTTTAGTAAAGATGGGGTTTCACCATGTTGGCCAGAATGGTCTCGATCTCTTGACCTCATGATCCGCCTGCCTCAGCCTCCCAAAGTGCTGGGATTACAGGCGTGAGCCACCGTGCCTGGCCTAGCTCTGGGTTTTGAAACGATCACAGGAGGGACTCAGGGCTGAAAGAAGTGAGGGAGGAGGCCAGGCGTGGTGGCTATTGCCTGTAATCCCAGCAGTTTGGGTGGCTGAGGCAGTTGGATTGCTTGAGCCCAGGAGTTCAAGACCAGCCTGGGCAACATGTAAGACCTCATCTCTACAAAAAAATACCAAAAAAAAAAAAAAATTAGCTGGGAATGGTGGAGTGTGCCTGTAGTCCCAGCTACAGGGTGGCTGGGATGCTGAAGTGGGAGGATTGCTTGTTCCCAGGAGGCTGAGGTTGTGGTGAACCGAGATCATGCCACTGCACTCTAGCCTGGGTGACAGAACAAGACTCTGTCTCAAAAAAAAAGAAAGAAAGAAAGAAAAAAAAAAAGAAGTGAGGAGATGTTGCAAATGCCCCCCCACCCCAAACCACACCTCGGGGGTGTTTGTCTAAGAAAACATCTTTTGTGACCTGTGTGTTATCTTCTTTACAGCCACCTGAAACGCAGAAGGGAGCTTGCTGGGTTTCAGACATGGGTAAGTGTGGGGTGGCATTGCAGCAGAGATTGGAGGCCGTCGGACCAAAGAGGTGACCCAGAGTGGCCATGGGCACAGGACTCAACCTCTCAGAGCCTCTGGTTCCTGGTCTATAGCCTGAGGACGATCCTACCTCCCAGGTTGTCAGGTGGATTTAATGGGCCACCAGGTGTAATCAGTATTCAGGAAGGGATGGTAATGGTCTGTGGTGTGGTTATGGAGGAAGCTGATGTCCACCAATTCCACGTCCACGCAGGTTAGCTCCCAGGTCTTCCCAATAACCCTTTGGGGCAAAGGATTTACTGAGTTGACGCCCAGGGAGGTCCAATGAGTTGCTCCAGGTCTAACGACATTGCCTAAGCGTGTCATAGCCCCTCCCCATGCTCAGTTCCCTGATTTAAAGTCAGTGCCTCTTGGAAGCAATCACCGTGTCCTTCGGGAGGTGAGTAGATACATAAGTGGATACGTAAGCTGTGGTCCATCCAGACAATGGACTATTACTCAGCAATAAAGAGAAATGAGTTATCAAGCCATGGAAAGCCACGGAGGAAACTGAGCCGCATATCACGGAGTGAAGGGAGCCAAGCTGAAAAGTCTACGCACTGCACCGTTCCAACTCTGTGACATTCCGGACAGGGCACAACCATGGAGATTGGGAAAAGATCAGTTGTTGCCAGGAGGCAGCGGGAGGGAGGGATGAAGCAGTGGAGTGTCAAGAGCCTTAGGACAGTGACGCTGCTCTGTATGATGCTGCAGTGGTGGTCCACGTCATTCTACATTTTTCCAAACCCACAGAATGCACAATGCCCAGGGTGGACCCCGATGTAAATGCTGCGCTCTAGGAGATAGCAATGTGTCAATGCAGGTTATCCATTGGAACAGGTGTGGGGAGGCTTTGCATGGGGAGGTGTGGGATCTACGGGAACTGTCTGCACTTTCCACTCAGCTTTGCTGGGAATCCCAAACTGCCCTTAGAAATAAGGTCTATTAAAAAGGGGTAGGGGGCGGCTGGGTGTGGGGGCTCACACCTGTACTCCTGGCACTTTTGGGGGGCAGAGAGAGATGGGAGGATCACTTGAGCTCAGGAGTTCAAGACCAGCTTGGGCAACATGGCAAAACCCCTTCTCTACAGAAAATACAAAAAGTAGCTAGATGTGGTGGTGTGTGCCTGTAGTCCCAGCTACTTTGGAGGCTGAGGTAGGAGGATCACCTGAGCCTAGGAAGATCACACCACTACATTCCAACGGAGTGAGACCCTATCTCAAAAAAAAACCTGGGGGGAGTAGGGGGCAGAATAAAGCCAGCACCTCCTCCAGGGAGCCGTCCCTGACCACCATCACCTGCTGCAATTTCTCCCCCTGCCAGGAATCCGCAGGCTGTCATCACTTCTCCTCTGGTTAGCCCCTCCCCAGAATAACAGTGGCTGGGGTTTCCAGCTTCCGGACCTAACAAGCCCCTCCAGGGCAGGTACGGGGCTGTGTGCCTTAGACCCTTCCACCTCACACCAGGGCACCCAGTGAGACCTGTGAGGGAGCGGGTAGCAGGTGTTGAACGATTGCCCCTTCCTGCCAGTGACTGACATTTGTAAGAGAGACTCAGCATGAAATGACAGCTGCACGGTGTGGGCACATTGATGTACTTAGCAAATGAGGCCCCTGCTGCTGCCGTGTCCTGTGTCCAGTCCTGGTGACACAGCCCTGGGACCTGAGACCTGTGCCCAGGCCCCATGCTGGCTGCTGTCATGGTCTCCCTGCATCCAGGGCAGGCTGGGCCCATTTCGAAGGTGAGGGCTGGGGGAGGTGGGGGATCTCAGCTGGCACTGCTCAGTGATGTAGGGGCATGACTGGGACACAGGCAGGCCTGGGAACAGCGTCTCTCCCCACACGGGCATTTTCCTTCTTCTGCCTCAAAGTTGCTTTTGCATCCTGGCTTTTTTTTTTTTTTAATTCCCCAAATGAAACTTCCCAGTGCACTTGGTGACTCGTCTGTGGGCTGTGAAGTGGCGTTCGCTCTCTGCCTTCAGAGATGAGCACATCACCACTCAGACCCATGGGAGGGCTCAGAACTACCCGGCGACAATGCAGTGTGTGTGTGTGGCAGGTGGGTGTGTGCACGGGGGTGTGTGTGGAGGTGCTGGCAGGCGTAGGCCTCTGATGTGGCACCAGCCCTGGTGACACAGAGCCGTGTGACCAGCACCGAGCCCCCCACGACACCCCCACCAGCCACAACTCCAGCCACTTGGGCTGTGATTCCAAGGAGACTGTAGAGTGGGCAGGGAACTCAGGTTTATAAAGGGAACACTGGGAAGGAGGGAGGAGTGGTGGGCCCAGGGTGGGATATGAGCAGGGAAGTGGGAGAGGACGAAGGAGGGGGGTGGGAGCCCAGAGGCTCTACGGCCCAGCAGCTGCAGGGTGTGTGATCCTGGGAAGCTTCCATACCCTCAGACCCTCGGACAGTGAGGGAGGCTGCCCCGTGTGTCACATTGTGTTAGGAAGATCTGTCGGGGTATAGCAGCAAAGAGAGCTTCCTACCTTAGATGTGGTCAAGGCCTGGTGGGATGGCCTCAGGAAAGAGGCAGTGGATGGGGCACATGGCCTGAGTGAGCTCCAGACCTTGCTAAATTGCAAAGGCACCCATGCGGTTCCTCTGCTGCACCCCTATCCAGGACTCCCCATAGAATGCAGACTTCTGGTCCAGCTGGCCTGGGCAGGACAAGCTCTCCAGGTGGCGCTATGTGCATAGCCTGAGCTAAGCACCTCCAGCTTGCAGCATGGCTTCTCTAGCTTGCTTTATTTATTTATTTAGAAACAGGGTCTCACTATGTCATCCAGGGTGGTCTTGAACTCCTGGGCTCAAGCAATCCTCCTGCCCAAGCCTCCCGAGTACCTGGGACTACAGGCATATGCCACCACTGGCTCCAACCTTAATGTGCATGCAAATCCCAAGGGCATCTTATTAAAATGCAAATTCTGACTGAGGAGGTCCATGGTTGGCGCGGGATTCTGCATTCGTAACAGGCGTCCAGGTGACTGAGGAATGCTGGATGCTGATGTTGCTGGTCTGGTGGACCCATCACACTATGAACCACACTGCTTTATACTCATGGGTCTCAAATGTTCCTATGTCTCACAAACCCCCCAGGAACCTGTTAAAATGCAGATTCCTGGGCCTGGCTCCCAGGGATGCTGACAAGGCTAGTCCTAGGGTTTCGCTGTGCTAGAAGTCCAATGTGTGGCCGACATGCCCAAACATGTTCTGTTCTTTTCTATTCTTATCTCTTTTACTTTTTCTTTCCTTATCTCTTTTACTTTTTCTTTTCTTTTCTCTTCTCTTCTCTTCTCTTCTTTTGAGACAGGGTCTCACTCTGATGCCCAGGCTGGAGTGCAGTGGTGCAATCTTGGCTCACTGCAGCCTCAAACTCCCCAGTTCAAGCAATCCTCCCATTTCAGCTTCCTGAGTAGCTGGGACTATGGGCACATGCCACCACGTCTGGCTGATTTTTAAATTTTTTTGTGGAGATGGGTTTTTGCCATGTTGCCTAGGCTGGTCTTGAACTTCTGGGCCCAAGCAATCCCCCTGGCTTGGCCTCCCAAAGTGCTGGGATGACAGGTGTGCGCTACCATGCCCAACCAGCCGCACATGTTGTTTTTTTGTTGTTGTTTTTTGTGTGTGATGGAGTTTCGCTCTTGTTGCCCAGGCTAGAGTGCAATGGTGTGATCTTGGCTCACCGCAACCTCAGCTTCCCGAGTAGCTGGGATTACGGGCATGCGCCATCAAGCCCGGCTAATTTTGTATTTTTAGTAGAGACGGGGTTTCACCATGTTGGTCAGGCTGGTCTCAAACTCCCGACCTCAGGTGATCCACCCCCCACCTCCAGGCCTCCCAAAGTGCTGGGATCACAGGCGTGAGCCACCATGCCTGGCCCATGTTGTTCTTATCTCATTAACCCAGTGGGCTAAAAACTCATTGCCACACTCAGTAGCTTAAACCACAGAAATGGATTCTGCCACAGTTATGAAGGCCGGAAGTCTGAAATCAGTGTCACTGGGCAAAAATCAAGGAGAATCTGTTCCCTGCTCTTCCAGATTCCAGGGACTGCCTGCATTCCTTGACTTGTGGCCACATAATTCCTATCTTCAATGCCAGCGTCTTGGAATCTCTCTCTGCTCTATGTCCACATCAACTTCTCCGTGTGTGGTCAAATCTCTGTCTGCCTCTCTCCTGCAAGGAGATAAGCCAGGCTAATGGCCCCTTCTCAAAATCCTTAATCACATCTGCAAAAACCCTTTTCTAAATAAGGTACCATTCACAGGCTCCAGGAAGTGATCTCTTTGGGGGCCTTGTACACCAATAGCCTGTAAACCGCCACACTCTGCTGTCTTTCAAATGACAACTCACCAAGCCTCTGTCCTCATTTTCTTTGAATACTTGGCATGTAGTCCAATGCCTGGAACAGGCAGGATGTCACTAAATGTTTATATTTTTTAATTTTTATTTATTTTATTATTATTCTTATTATTTTTGAGACAGAGTTTTACTCTGTCGCCCAGGCTGGAGTGCAGTGGCATGATCTCTGCTCACTGCAACCTCCAGTTCCTGGGATCAAGCGATTCTCCTGCCTCAGCCTCCTGTGTAGCTGGGATTACAGGCATGTGCCATGACGCCCGGCTAATTTTTTTGTATTTTTAGTAGAGATGGGGTTTCTCCATGTTGGCCAGGCTGGTCTCGAACTGCTGACCTCAAGTGATCCACCCACCTCGGCCTCCCAAAGGGCTAGGATTACAGGTGTGAGCCACCACGCCTGGCCAAAAGTCACTAAATGTTTGTTGAGTAAATGGAAGTAGGTTTTAAATAGGTGTAGGGAAGGAAGTGGGCCAAGAACTTGAATGCAGAGTCTGAAAATCATGGGCAGACATCAAAGGACTGAATTGTGGGGGGTATATTTGGATGTCAGGTTAAAGAGTTTGGACACTGTCCTATGGGCAAGAAAGAGCTTATATGAAGTCCTTGCATAGGTGATTCATCCATCCATCCATCCATTCATTCATTCAATACTCAGCAGCAACATGCAGAGCTCAGCTCTTGGGGGAATGAGGACAGGTGTCCTAGAAAAGATAGCATTGAACAGCTGGCTCTTTCTCCCACCAGAGTTGTGTTTTAATAAGTTCTAGTATTTCTAGCAGTTACTGCTTTAAGTGTGTGGCTACTAGATTTTCTGGCTCATTCAGATTCATGACAATGAAATCTTTGTGGATTGTGCCTGGCACCCTTACATAATACCACTCTTCCCGTGAATGCTTTCCATCATGCGTTCTTCCTTATCAATAGTAATTTGCCATTTTTCAAATGTCTGCTGTGATCTTCTACTTCTCAATATTTTTGGTGTGTTTCTTGTAAATAGCGCTTAACTGGACTTTAGTTTTTGCCCCAATCTTACAGACTTTGGATGGGAAATTCAGCCCATTCACCGTGTTACGAAGGCGGGTAGCCATGGCTTTATTTATTTTATCTCATCTTATGTTTACTATTATTAAGCTTATTGTTCTTGCTATTATTTACTTTCCCCCTTAATTTTGCTTCCTTACTCTCCCTCCACCCCTCCCCCAACTTCTACCTAGTAATTCAGGAGTTCTACTCTGCTTCTTTCCCGTGAGTTGCTACTTTCCAATTCCTGAGAGTCATAATTCAACCAATCTTTCCCTGATAATGTATTAAAAGTAAATGGTAATGAAGCCCCCTCCCCACCACCAATAAGGCTTTCCTTCCCCAGCTGAGAGTCATAATTAAACCAATCTTTCCCTGCTAATGTATTAAAAGTAAATGGTAATGAAGCACCCCTCCCAACCACCAATAAGGCTTTCCTTCCCCACTCACCAAATCAGATCCTTTTACTTCCTCCTTCTCCCCTCAACCAAATGTGATCTTAAAATATTCTGACTTCTCTGTGATAAGATTCTATTTTTTTTTTTAGTTCCAGGCTAATACAACTTTCTCTTGAAGCATGTAGCTTATGTTTTAAGAATCCTTATGTGGCACTGCTAGTACAAAATCACAGGCACATGTGGATTATCCATACTGTATATTTTGCAAGGGTCATTGCTTAACACCACTTCCTGTTCTGAGCGTTTGCTCTATCTTGAAATCTCTACTGTGATTGAACTGTCTCGGTGACGGGGGAACTCTGAATATCTTCCTCTGAAAGGGGACATCACTGAGGTCCTTTCTCTGTCTTGCCACAGTGGATATTTTCTCTCTTTTGTCCACATAGATGAATCCTGTAGTAGCCATGGTAAGGATCCTTGATCCTATCATCAGAGTCCCTGGACATTGCTCCAAAGTCCCCTAGGAACCACTTCAACTTTTCTCCCCTTAGATGTGACCTGTTCTTTCTGGAACTCTGCAAGACCGTCTCTTTATCCTTGGCATCTGGGATTTCCAGGGACACGTTCTCCTGGCACTTTGCTCACCTCTGTTTCCCCTCCAGCTCTTCCTGGAGTACCTGTCCTTTGTGCAATACACCTCCTGGAACTGTCTTTCCAGTCTCTGCTTTTTGTCCTGATGATTTTCATGTGCTTTTCCTCTACATCATGAAGCATTTACTCCACATTATCTTCCAGTTTGCTCATTTGTCCTCACCTCCACTCTTCTCTTTCTGAATTTGCCTGTTGCTTTTTCAGTCTCTTAGCTCCGTGGAGTATGTTCAGTGTTGCTGTGTTCTGATAGAGGCTCCTTAAGCCATCTTGTAGATTTTTTGTTGCACTTCCTCTCTTCCCTTAGACCTCCACAGGAGGAACTTTTCAATCTGTCCTCTTCTCTCTGCTTAATGAGCCCCTGCAAAGGGTTTGGGAAGTGCTTCAGCCTCTCTGTGATTGTGTGTTCACATTAATATTTATTATTTTCTTAAATGTGCATAAATCTCACAATGTGAACAGTGATCATCTTTGAGTGATTTTTTTTCTCCTTTCTACTTTTAGTAATTCTCCAAATTTTCTACAGTTAGTGTGTGATAAGGTGGAAAGACATCTTCAAGACTTTGGGCAAATAACTATGTCTGAGCCTCAATTTTCACATCAATAAAAAATGGGCTCAGTGCCACCTCCCTCCTTGGGTCACTAGGGGGGCCCTTGAAAGCTGTGAAAGCCCCTAAGCCAACCTGGACAGAGCAGGCGAGGCTGACGGCAGGTGTTCTTCCTTCCTCTGTGAGCCTCACAGGGTCACACGTGAACATTGGGGATCGGGGGTGGGCAGTGGGGGCAGCTGGAGAATCAAATGAGGTGACTGACATGAACTACGCCGCTTTGACAAAAGTCCTCCGAAGTAGTGTGTTCAGAACTCATCTCCAAAGCCATCTGGAATATTTGCTCCCAACATGTTGGTAAGCATTATCTCTGACAGTCACTCCGAGCCCCAGTTTCTGCTGTGATAACTAGGACAGGTAGCTCAGGTTGGTTGTGGGGACCAGAGACAGAGCAGGCAGGGTCTCACGTTCCCCAGGGCCTCTCAAGGATAGACCCTCGCCCTCATCTCCAAACCACGCCTCCCAGACAGGAACCAAACTCCCAGAGTCTCCAAACTGCCTGAGCCTTGCCCACTCCCTGGGCTAACACACACTTTAAAGGAATCCCACAGTCACCGTGTGAAAAGCTTGCTACACTGCATTTGATTCTGGGCACTGAAAGCAGTACTTGGCTGCAGACACTCGTTTCAAACAGGCCCCATTTTTCCATCTCTGCTGCTGTTATTAGGGGAGCCCTTAGACTCTCTTGCAGCGCCGGAATAGGCGCTCAAGACGTGTGTTAATATTGCAACAGCAAATATAATGAATCTGCAGTTGGGGACGCTGAGGCCGGAGTGGTGGATGAAAGGTGGCCGGAGCCTTTTCCACGGGTCCAAACCACCTGTTACAGGAGAAGGCGAGCGGCCTCGCTAAGCAACTGGACGTTCCGCGGGCGGGGCGGGGGCGGGGCCGGGGCCCGAGTCCGCTCGGAAACTTTCGCTGTGGGCGAGCCGGACCCGCCTTCTGGCCCCTCGGGCCCAACCACGCAGGGGGAGTGCCGGGCCGCAGCTAGGCGAGGCGCACCGTGATTGGCGGAGATGTGGAGTGATTGGCGGCTACACCGGCCACTCAGCAGGCCGAGCTGGCGCCGCATCCGGGGGGCCGCGTCTGGAGTGGAGGGAGGCCGAAGGCCCCGCCCCTGCCCCGCCCCCTCGTGCAGAAGGCCGCGCTAGCCGGCTCTTCAGCAGCGAGTGCAGATTGCTCCCCCGCGGCCGCAGATCTCCCGTTTGCGCCGCGTTCAGCTGCTCCCGAACAACTTTTCTGCCGGCCCAGAGGCCCCAGGGCGTCGCAGCGCCGCGTGCGGCCCACTCACGGGCCGGTGAGTACTTCGGCGCTGGGGCAGTGGCGCGGTGGCTGTGGGCAGCGCGCAGGAGGCGGGCAAGAGCCCTGAGGCACTGTCCTCTTCGGGCCTCAGTTTCCCCTTCCGAGCTGATGGGTGGCTGGCCCCAAAGTCCCGACAAGGTCCCCGAAGTTGGAGGGCCGGGGGTCCCGCCCGCTCTGCAACGCGCAAGGCGACCCCTGTTCCGGGCCCGAACGGGTCACCCGGGGGGCGCGCCCCGGTCCCCCGCGCGCTGTCGCCTGGAGCCCCGCCGCGGGCGGGACAGCAGGCCCGAGAGGCGGAGCGGCCGGCGGGCAGGCCCCCTCCCCGCGCCCCGCGCCATCCCCCCCGAGTTGCCCCGTCATGCCCCTCCCCCGCGGTCCCGGGACCCACGGCCGCCCTCGGTGCCCGCCCGGCCGTTGGAACGCGCCTGGGCCCCCGGGAGGTGTTGTGGGGGGGAAGGGGGGTTCAGTCCCCCAGGGGGACCCGGCCCGCCCGAGGGGCAGCTTAGGGGTCATTCTGAATCCCCACAGCCCACTTAGGAGCGCTGTGGCAGTTCCTCTCTCTCTCGGGGCCCCTCAGTAGAGAGTTGAGGGGTTTCAGTGGCAGCACCTGGACCCTGCCTCGTATGAACTCCACCCTCTGGATCATTAGCTTTTTGTTTGATCAACGAAAACTTTCTGGAGAATCCTACCCAGCCCTTTTGGATGTGATGGCGCCCTGGCCTCTCACCCACTTAGCAGATGATGTTATGAATTCCAAGGAAGTCGCATTTGTGCAACCCCCCACCACCCAGATTTAACCCTCTCAGTAGCCTTAGGCGGAGAAGTTATAGTCCCCGTTTGACACCCCAGGAAGCTGAGGCTCAGCAGGGTTTGGTGCCAGCCCAGGACCACGAAGCTGATGGGGCAGAGCCTGGTGTGAGGCCTCTGCCCTATCTCTCCAGAAGCAGCCCCGTCTCTCCTCACCTTGGACAGTGACCCCTGGCATTTGGCCCAGGGCTTTGCAGTTTGTAAAGGGCTTTCTCTTATGCCAGCATCCATCACTCAAGGAGCTGTGCCCTGGGTACCCCATGTGCTGGCTGCCTGTTCTCTGCAGCAGGAGAGGGAGCCCACGGGAAGCCCAGAGGCCACCTTTGTCACTGTCGCCACCTGTTTACTTCTGTGTCCAAGGGTCTGTGATTCCCATGGGGTCTCCGTTGTATCCAACCAGGGATTTGGAGGGAGGCTTCTCCACATTTCAGCCTCTTTTCCCTACCTGCTGGTTTGTCCTCCCTTCGCAGACACAGGAAAAGTTGGCTGGGAGACCCCATCTCACCTTCTTTCCCAGGATGGAAGAGCATGGAGGGCGTCTCTGACTTAGGCCTCCCCTGCCCATCCCGGACCAGTGCTGGACAGGCTTCTGGGGCTGGTCACAGAGGGGACCTCAGCTCAGTCTCAACCCCCAGAGATGTCTGCACTGCCAGACAGACCCGAAACACCCATCCTTGACGGTGGCAATAAGAATCATAATAGGTCGGGAGCTTTATGCCTACACGGCTCCCCTCCCCTCCCACTTCCCTACTTCCGGAAGTGGTACCACCACAGCCAGCCAGCCCCAGCCACAAACCAGACCACCCCCTGTGCCCTTCATTCCTCACTCCCAGTTGGGTCTCTCCTGGCTCCTGAGCCTCACTCGGATGCCTGCCCTGGTTCAGGACCCTCGCCTCTCCCTGGACGACCCCCAGGCTCCTCCCTGGTCCCGATCCGGGCCTGGCTGCACGCAGCCCTGCTGGTTCTTCAGCTGCCACTTCCCTCTGGGCTATCGGGTCAGGTCCGCCTCCCGAGCCAGGAGCCGGCATTCTTTCGGGCCCTCAGGGACCCGCCTCGCTGCTCACTCAGCCTCTCCCTCCTGTGTCCTCTCTCCAGCAGTCACCTCCCAGCCACCTGCGTGTTCCTGGCCACAAGCCTGGCTCACTGTCCCTCTGCTGCCTCCTCTTCTGGGCACAACCCCTGCTGGAATGCCCAGCCACCTCCCAGCTTGCCTGGCTCCTGCCTGCTTGTCCAGAAGGCTCAGTCAAGTCCTCCTGCAGGATTTCTGGCCTGCCTCTTCCCACAGTGGAGTGAGGGCCCCCTTCTGTGCCGTCTTTGTGGGTGTCTGTTTAGGTGTTAACCCTTCCCATCTAGATGAAGCTGCTCCAATGCTGGCCCTGGACAAGACTTCTCTAGGGCAGGGGGGCCCAGCACAGTGCTTGGCACAAGATGGACCTACCCTCAGTCCACACCTGCTGCCCATCCAGGCCAGGCCTGGAGCAGGTGCCAGGTGTGTGGTGGGGGCTTGGCCACTATGGCCGTCATGAATGCTGCTTGGGGCAGTCCCAATTCAAACCCCTCTGTTCCTGTGAATGTGCCACATTGGATAGAGCTGGAATGTTCCTTGGTTTGTCCCTTAATACTCTGAGCAAAAATAGGTACCTGGGATCCATCAAGGGCTTTGTGCCCTTGTCTTGAGGAGCAGCCCTGTGCCAGGGGGCTGGGTCAGGCCAGGCCAGAGCAGACATCCCAGGGCCAGGACCTCCTGGGCCTGCTCCCTTAGAGCTTGCTCACAGATGGGTTTTAAAATAACATTTGCTTTAATTTCAAAAACATCACACATTCATTATAGAAAACTAGGGAAATATGTTTAAAAGAAGAATAAAATGAAACCGCGCATAAGCTTTATCCCCAGAGACAACAAGTATCTTTTTTAGGGGGCGTTTTCTTCCGTTTTTTGGCAGATAAATTTTGTTTTCATCCTAAACAGACTCCGGCTAATATCTTCTGCTGCTTTAAATCCTGCCTTAACAGTGTTAGGCCCACCTTTTCCTTGTCTCAAAACGTTCATGTACGAGGTCACGTTTACCAGCTGTACAGCGTTGCACCATATGGAGGGGTGTAGGCTTTATAGCCAGCCCCTTTCTGGACAGTGCTGAAAGTGCCATATGATGGACATTGTGTGTGAGCCCCGAGGGCATCTCCAGTGACTCCCCTGGACTGGCATCCTGGAGGCAGAGGCACTGATCAGAGAGAGTGAACATCATCTTGGCTTCCCACAGGGGCTGTTTCTGAGGCACTGGCTTGGGAGATGGGGTTGCCCCCCCAGAGAGAACAGAATGGGGGTGGCCTGGGTGAGGGCCAGAGCCCTTAGGGCAGAAGGCCACGTGTGGTCATTCTGCTGCGGGTCTGAGTGGATGCATGGTGCCTGCAGCCCTCTCCAGGTGGCGGCCTCTCAGCTGAACTCCTTGGTGCCGGTGTTTGTGTTTGGACGGGATAAAAATATGCCTCATTGCTCATGAGGAAAGAATGCTAGCAACTTTGGTTTTGTGGATCTTACACAGTGACGGCTTCTAAGCCATTGCTGTGGTCACCAGTAGGGAGTTGGGGCTGAGTGCCCCACCGTGCAGGTGGGGATCTGAGGGTGCAGAGTGGATGCAGCTGGAGATGCCTGGATGCTGGGGTCTGGGGGAGGGACTTGCTAAGGTCCCACAGCATTATTGCCTGGATGGTGCTCCTGCCCTAGGCCAGGCTGCCTCAGGCTTCTGCCCACATGCATTAAGTGCTTAACGTATTCCTGGCAAGGCAGCCGGTCTTCCGAGTGGATAAGCTGCAGCCCTGCCCTCAGGGCTCACAGTGGCTGTAACATGCAGGAAGACTCAGAGAGGGAAGGACCAGACAGCAGGTCCTTCCACCGGGAGATCTTTTCTGATCTTCATTGTCCCTGTGACCAACCATGACCAGGAATTGTTGTGCTTGTTTTGAAATAACAAGCCCTTTGATCCAAACCAGACTTGGCCAACCCCCAGGGAACCTGAAAATTAATCCTCCTGTATTCATCCATTCTTACTAACCAGAGATTTTACTTTAAACAGTTTTTTTTTAACTGCAGTGTGACATACATGGTACATAGGCCAGCTAGAATCTGTTTTCCTGAAATTCCTTTTATGAAGTGTTTTCCAACTGAACATGCCTTTGTTTAGCACCTGGGAGTAATGGCTTAGGGTTTTTCTTTTCCTTTTTCTTTTTTCTTTTTTTTGAGACGGAGTCTCGCTTTGTCACCCAGGCTGGAGTGCAGTGGCGCGATCTCGGCTCACTGCAAGCTCCATCTCCTGGGTTCACACCATTCTCCTGCCTCAGCCTCCCCAGTAGTTGGGACTATCGGCGCCCGCCACCACGCCTGGCTAATTTTTTTGTATTTTTAATAGAGACGGGGTTTCACTGTGTTAGCCAGGATGGTCTTGATCTCCTGACCTTGTGATCTGCCCGCCTCGGCCTCCCAAAGTGCTGGGATTACAGGCGTGAGCCACCGCGCCTGGCCGGCTTAGTTTTTTTTTAATGCCCAATAGTTTGCTTTCTCTTCTGCCACACACGTAATCCCCATAGCACCCCTATGTGGGAGGTGCTATCCCCATTTTACATATGGGGAAACAGACACAGTGAGGTCATGTGGCCACTAGTAAGGGTAACCGACGCCCCACACCATGTTGCTTCCAGCTGTAACCTCTAGCAGAGGGAGGGCTCTGATGGAGAGGTGATCGCCTGAGTGCTGTGTGTTTACCTGAGTAGGTGAGGAAGACAGGGACTCGGGACAGACATAGCTTGGAAGCTCCCACAAAGGAGGTATCGCTGGAGCTCTTGACTTGAAGGGTGCTTAGGGTCTAGGCTGGGGGAGGGGGGTAAGAAGGCATTCCGGGAAGAGGGCCCTGCAGAAACAGAAGTGTGGAGGTCAGCATTTGTATGCTGATGTTGAAGGGTAGCCAGTGTTTTGCAGTGAATGGGCCCCGGGAGAGAGGGTGCAGTGGCATGGCGGTCTGATTTCAAAGTCGTCTTTTTCAGAAATGAGCTTGCAGAAGCATTAGAATTGGGCAGGTCTGGATTTGAATTTCAGGTCTGGTACCTGGAGCTGTTTGACCTTGAGCAGGTCCCTCCCCTCCCTGCACCTGGGTTCCTGTCTGTGAAGTGGGGTGAGGTTGAAGGATAAAACATTTCCCCATCTATAACTCTGGGATGACAATAGGATCTACCTTCCAGGTCCATGCGAGGAACTCACGACAATAGGACCTACCTTCCAGGGCCATACGAGAAACTCATGAGAAAAGACAAGTACAGAGAACAGAGCCGTTGGTCTTGATGGCAGAGATGCCCTGGCGTAGGTCAGCCCTCAGTAAAGGTGCCCTCTCTCTCTGTCTGAGAAAGTGACACCTGACTTCGGGGCAGTGGGAACCATGGGAGAGAAGGTAGACAAGGCCACGTGTCATTTGAAGACCTGACTTTTCACCATCTCAGGTGGTCCGGTGGCCTGCAGGACCGTGGTTCTGTTTGCCCACAGCGTGTGGGTTCTACGTGCGATCCTGTATTTCTCTGCCACAGCTGACTAAGGGGACACTTAGGTCTGCACGTGCAGTTAAATGGCTGCTTTTGTGGAAGGTGCCAGTTCCCGGGAGCTGGGAACTTGGAAACAGGATGGAGCAGGCTCCCAAGCTTGACCATGCATGGTTTGCACCTGGGGGATGCACCCGGGGGTGCTTGACCATGCATGGTTTGCACCTGGGGGATGCACGGGGGTGGGGTGGGGGGGGGGGGTGTGCTTGACCATGCATGGTTTGCACCTGGGGGATGTTTTACACTAAGGGCTCAGTCCCTCTGAGGGAGGAACGTGTGGATTGAAATCTGCAGAGTTCTTGAGCGACACCAGTCTGATCTTTAGGACTCATTTGCAGCGGGAATGGAGCAGAAATTGTTGTGTGTGGAGCCTGGGGCCACTCCTGACTCTTCCAGTCACAGCTGCCCCCAAAAGTGACCTCTGGGCACCTACTCAGACCTGGCTGCTCAGTGCCAAGCGCTGGGTGTTCAGAGGTGGCCAGGGGACTCCCTCGTGCTGCCCATGGTGTCTGGTCTCACTGGTCCTCACAGTTGCCCCGTCCCCATTTTCAGATGAGGAGGCTGAGGTGCAGAGCGGGATGTGGGCTGCTCAGGACCACACAGCTGGTGGGCACAGAGCCAGGAGTACAGCGCTGCGGCAGCTTGGGGCTGGGAGCGAGACTCTCTGTTACCAGCCTCTCCCTGCTCTGTGCCTCAGAGGATGGCTGTGGCCCTGAGCTTGGGAGGGTCATTTGGGAATCTGAGGAAAAGTTTCCACAGCCTCACACAGCAGCAGGTTCAAGGTCCAGCAGTGCCAGGGGTTTGCATCCCACCCCTAACGCCGCTCATCCAGGGCCCATCCGGGTCCGGGGCTCGGGATCCTGCAGCGCTTTCAGCTCTGTGTCTGTGGCCGGTGGTTGTCCTTCATTACAGGGATGGTGGTGTTTTTCCATGTTGCTAAGCAGCATGTGAGGGCCTCTGTTGAATAAAATAAAGCCCTTGCTCCGGCGTGACACGGGTCACGGGATCTCTGCTCACTCTAGTCTCTTCTGATGCCCCCACCGCACTGTTTGCCTTAGTTTGCTTTTTACTCTCTGTGTTGGTTTCTGGGGCATCAGTCCTCTGACTTCGGTGCTGTGGCTTGGGCCTGGGGTGGGGGCTGTGGAGCGGCAGATCTGGGTATGAATCCCAGCTCCACCCATTTGGCTCCCTCTCTTCTCTCCCCTGCCCTCTTCTCCCCTCCCCAGCTCCCTTCCCCTCTCATATTTACTTAACTTTACTCAGTACCAGCGTATTAGTTTTCTAGGGCTTCCGTAAGAAACTACTGGAAACTTGGTGGCTTAAAACAACAGAGGTTTGTTCTCTGATGGTTCTGGAGGCAGAAGTCTGAAGTCAAGGTGTGGGCAGGGTGGGTCCCTCCTGGAGGCTCTGAGGGAGGCTCAGTTCCTCGCCTCTGTCCAGCTTCTGGCAGTGGCCAGTGGTCCTCCTGCTCCTTGGCCACTGTCACCCGTCTCCGCATGGCTCTGTTACACTTCTCTTCCTATAGGCCATCAGCTCTTGGAGCCAGGGCTTCCCTACTCCAGGCTGATCTCATTTCAAGATCCTTAAATACATCTTCAAAGACCTGTTTTTCCAAATAAGGGCACATTCACAGACATTGGTGGGCACATGATGTGGGGCCCAATTCAGCCCCCTGCAGCCAGGCTCCACATGGGTGGGCTCTGGGTGTTGCTATCATCATCCCCGTTTCTTGGATGAGGGAAGGCCAGGGTTGTGTGGCTCATGCCCAGTGAGGCAGGGACTCCAGGCCTCGGCATGTGCAGGTCTGAGATTGTAAGTGCCATGCCATCTGTAGAGTCACGTGGGTGAGTGTCCTCCCATGGTTTCCTCCCTGGAAGCGGTGCTGGCCCATGGGGACTGTACTGAGTGTCAGCGAGATCCTGTATGGAGTGTCTGGCAGCTCCCACCTGCCTCCCTCTGCTTTTCTGTCTCCAGCAGACACTAAGTGCCAGAGCGGGCTCTGCCGGTGCTGGATGTGCCTGACCTTGACTTTTCTTCCAGGCAGGATGGACTCCAACACTGCTCCGCTGGGCCCCTCCTGCCCACAGCCCCCGCCAGCACCGCAGCCCCAGGCGCGTTCCCGACTCAATGCCACAGCCTCGTTGGAGCAGGAGAGGAGCGAAAGGCCCCGAGCACCCGGACCCCAGGCTGGCCCTGGCCCTGGTGTTAGAGACGCAGCGGCCCCCGCTGAACCCCAGGCCCAGCATACCAGGAGCCGGGAAAGAGCAGACGGCACCGGTAAGGGAGCAGGCTGGGAAGCCCAGGCTGGGGATGTTCAGGGATAGCTGGGTGGGAACGGGGTTCAGCCACCCCTGGAGGGTCCCCCCGCCAGGTCCTCTGCAGTTCAGCATTGTGCAGCTCCCATGCTGTGCACAGGCGTCCATCCAGTGGGGCTACCCACCTCCTCAGAGCCTTGCACCTGTCACCTTTGTGGCACCCACTCGAGGTGGTGCTGGTGCCCCCACTCCTCTGCAGTCCTTCTCTTCCCAGGGCCTCTGCAGCACTTCACAGCTTCCATTTGCAACAGCGTCCAAACATGTGGAGTAAATTCACGGGCCCTCTGTAACCAACTAGGGTGGCAGGCCAGAGGTGACAGCCACACTCTCGGGAGTGAGGCCACATGCGGGCGAAGCCCTTGGTGCTGAGTTTCCCCTCTCCCTGAGGGAGACTTGTGAGGGACGGGCGTCCTTCACCTCCATCCTGAGGCGGGATGCTGGGGCCCTGGGTGTTCACAGGCAGAGCTGACTGAGGCCCTTGGTCTTCACAGGCCGAGCTGACTGAGGCCCTGGGTGTTCAAAGCAGAGCTGAGGCCCTTGGTGTTCACAGGCAGAGCTGACAGGCTTGTTGGTTCCTGGGTGGTGATGTGAGGGTGGTGGGTGTGAGCCAGGGGAGTCCGGCCCCTGGGCACCTTCTCCAGCTGACTCAGGCCTCGGTCAGCCTTCACTTTTGCTAGAGAGGCCGCTGCCAGGGAGGCTCAGTCCCAGCTCATCACTGCCCCTCCTGCCCATGCAGAAGCCCCAGACCCATGGTGAGTGCCTGCTGTGTACACCAGCCTTTTCCATGTGCCTGCAGGACTCCTCATGGCAGTCCTGAGAGGGGAAACTGAGACACCGAGTCTAGGTGACTTGCCCAAGAGACCCAGCGGGTGAGAGACGAGGTGCTCGAGTGGTCCAGGTTTCCTTCTTGTCCCAGTCACCCCACTGGCAGGGCCGTGGGGCCTCCCTGCTGTGGTCGCAGCGCGCTGAGGCTCCCATGTACCACTTATGCTGGGCGTGCCCTTGGAAACTCACTGCAGCCCTGGGCCCTGTTTGTCTTTGCATCTCCTTAAAAGATCACTGTGCTCCTCTGCTTTGTTTTGGAGGCCTCTGGGCGGATGAGGGCCTGACCCCGGGATTTGGGCCCAGCCTCACGGCTTCAGGGGAACAGATACCAGGGCTCGGAAGCTTGGTTTCAATCTGGGTAATGAGAACAGCCCGCAAAGGACAGAGTCCAAGACTGTGTGTTTCAGATAAGAAGAGTCAGGAAGCAGCTGTGGTTTGTTTGGCTTCGGTCTCCAATGTGGGGGTGGTGAAGAGCAAGCCCTGGGCGCCGCCTGACAGCCCAGTCCCCACCACTGGGCCTGCAGCTGGGGGCAGTGGGCATCCCGTCTCCCAGTCACTGGTCACTGATGTGGCCAAAGCAGGCCTGGCCCTGCATGCCCAGTGGCCGCAGGGAGGGCAGGGCCCAGGGTCCCTGCCAGTAGCAGCTGCTGCGAGAATCTGTTATTTAGCTCCCCCATCCAGCCAACATAGGTGGGTGAGCATCAGTTGAAATACCAATAGGTAACAACAAGGGTAGCTATTTAACTGACACTTCCCCGAGCTAGGCATCTTTTTAGGGCATTAGCCCACTTGCCTCTTTAACAGCCCTGGGAGGCAGGCTCTGCTGCTGCCCTGTTTTTCAGATGGGAAACCGAGGGATAGAGGGCTTAAGTAGATGACCCAGCGTCCCGTGGTTGGTGAAGGGTGGAGGGGAGATTTAAACATACCGTGGAGCCTGTGCTCACTATGGGCCTCAGGTCATCTGCGCCCAGGGATCCCCATGTCCCAGGCTCAGAGAAGTGCACAGAGCAGGTTGGCCTGTCCCTAGATCAGTGCCTGGCCAGGCCCTGGTGACAGGAGTGAAGGCTCAGTCCTGCCCTCCGGGAGCCCTGAGCAATATGGGAGACAGGAGTGAACAAGGAACTACATTCTGGGGCTCATGTAGCGCGGGGGACAACCCACATTGCAGTCCCCTAGGGGCACCCCAGGAGGGCCTGGTCACTCTTCAGGGCATCAGGAAGACTGCCTGGAGGAGGCATCGTCGGAGCCCCATCTGAGCTGCTCCTTGGCCTGTACACTTGGGAAACAGGAGAAGAGCAGCCTTGGGGTTGCCCTTCTCTGGTTGCCTCCCTGAGGAACTGACCCCCTTTTCAGCCCTTCATTCAGCAAGGCTGGGGAGGGGCTGCTTCAGAAACGTCACTGGGCTGGAGCCCCACACTTCCTTCCCATCCTGGCTCTGTGGCCTTGGCAAGTCACCTGCCACCTGGGGAACCACTGCCAACGGGTCGGGGCTTGGAAGCTCAGGGGCTCCTGGGCCCAGACAGGTAAAGGAAACAGTGACTCCGGCTAGAAAGGAGACTGCAGGGAGTTGTGAGGCTCTTGGGCGTCCCTGTGCCAGGGCGGGACTCCTCATGGCAGCCCTGAGAGGGGAAACTGTGTCCTGTGTGGAGCGTGGATGCCCACGTGCTGAGAGGTGTTGTCTGTCCTGATTTTTGACAGCAGCCCAAGTGATGTGCCAGTGGGCCAGGGCCGGCACCTGCCTGTCGGTGGCTGCCCCAGGGCTGATGGGCAGGGGCCGTTTCTTCACAGGCAGCTGTGGTGAGTCCTGTGATCACCTCAGTGTTGTCTCCAGCCCTGGGGGGATCTGTTGTTCTGCTCAACAAGAGAATAAAGCTGGGCTTGTCACACCTGGTCCCAGGTGACCCAGCAGGCACAGAGAGGTAGAGTTGACACCAAGCCTCACTCAGCCACCGTGACACGGCTGTGCGAGTCCACGCCCTGGCAGAGAGCCTGTTCTGGGCCTGTTCTGTTTAGCCCTGGGGCTAAAGGGCGGGCTCAGATGCACAGAGGGACAGGCCTGGTGCAGGTGGGAGGAAGGAAAGCAGACTGTGTCATCGTCTCAGCTTCAGGCTGGGCATGCTGTGGCTATCATGTGCTTGGCCTGTGCTAAGTGTGTGCTAAGCATGTGGCCCTGGTGGGCACTCAGGCCTCCTGGGTACCAGCCGAGGCCCCACCCCTTCCCACTATGCGGCCCTGAGCTCTCCTGCTGTCTCTGTCATTCACGGGTCTACCAGTAGGACAAGGCCTGGGGTTGGTGGAGGAGGGAAGGAGGTGAGATTCGGGAGCTTTCCGAGTCGTACCCGCCACTCCGTCTCCGAGCAGCAGCACTCTCATCTCTACAAGTCTCTACAGCAGTGCTGCCACCGCCTTGACCAGGGAATCACCCTACTGTGAGGTGGCCCAGCTCACTGTGAGACTCTGGGGCAGTCATATGCCCTTTCTGTTGACCCCAGTGGGTGGCCAGCCCACACGACTGCTGAATCTGCCAGGCCTCCCAGCCATTGGGGGTAGGGGGATTGCTTTGGCAGCCACAGGGACACAGATGCGGACAGGAGCAGGAGCCCTGGGGAGGAGGTGCACCCCACCAGGAAGCACCCACCAATGCTGACTGAGGCTGCACTGCCAGTTAGAGCCGCTGGGCGAGGGACAAAGAAGGGCCTTCGGGTGTGGGGAAAGCAGGCACCCCAGCTCCTACACTAAGGGCACCCTGGGCAGAGAGGGAGCCCAGTGGGGGGCACCCAAGACCCATGAGGAATTGGCTGTGGTGTCAAGAGGTCAGCCAGGCCAAGCAGGGCCCTGAGGGTCAGGGAAAGGAGAGGGCATTGTCGTGAGTGGGGCTCAGCTGTTAGATGGATTGTTTACATTAAAGGCCAGCCAGGAGGCGGAGCAGAGAGAGGAGTAGCCAGGCCACAAGAAGGCTGAGGGACAGGTAGACATGGAGGGGAGAAAGCCAGGGTGGCCTCCAGGTTTCTGGCTGGGGCTGCCAGGTGGACGGTGGTGGCACAGCCTGAGGTAGGGTCCTGGGGGTGGTTCCCGGCGGGGTCCGAGCTTAGTCTTAGAGGGTACAAGGGGGCCCAGGAGGGACTGGGGCTCTGATGCAGATGTGGGAGTGCGCTGAGCCCCTGCTGCCCTGGGGACAGGCACAGCAGGAGGTGCTACTCAGGGCACCCACCGTTGATTATTTAGGAAGCAGCTGTCACGCCTGTTCTTTATCCTGACCTGGCCCATCTGATTGCTGATGTGCTCCTGCTGAGCCCCCCACACCACACTGAGGACTGGCCACAGGATCTGGTGGCACTCAGTCTTCTGGGAACTTGGCAGTGTGCCTGTCCTACTTTGCGCTCCAAGCCTCGGACGTCACCTCCAGGAACCCTCCCACTGTGGGTGATGTCTACAGTCACCTACACAGCCCCAACTCTCATGGGTGGACGTGCTCGTTCTTGCCTGGCCCAGGGCAGGCCGTGGTGAGCTCAGGGGTCCTGCCTGTCAGTTTGGTGCCCTCGGCTACGCAGGGCCTGTTAGAAGGGTGCCCTCCCTGCCAGGGCCTCCAGCCACTGTCTGTCCTGTTCCCGCCTCAGAGTTCAGCCAGCATAGAAAGAGAGGGCTGAGGACCATTCAGCCTGTCCATTCACGAGAATCATTGTCAGTGTCACAGAGGCTGATGGGATGCCTGTGGTGCAGGGTGACCCCAGCTTCCCCATGTGGGGGATGCGCCGGTGGTGCAAGGCCACCACCCTGTGCCCTGTCTCTGGCACAGGGATGATGACAGCACACAGCACATCCTCTTTTCTTTCTACCTTTCCCTTTGGCACAGCCCCTTGTTGTGGGCGTCACGAGAGGCGCAGAGAGATCGTGGAGGTCAAGGGCTTGCCCAGGACCAGTGAGGGAGGGAGGGAGAGGGCAGCAGCACCCTTGGAGACGGGAGGATTACATCATATTTATTTACCACATGCCTAAGATCGCACTCTTAAGAGCATTTGACATACATCCAAAAATTTTTAAACACTATGGAAGTATGTCTGGATGCATCAGTAATATGAAAGTGGAAGCCAGCTGCCCTGCTCCCAGCCCACTTTGGGAAAATTTTGTGCATGTTTTGAGCCAGCTGTTTGGGAAGGGAGGCCCCAGCCACTGCCCCTTGGGTGGGTTTGATGTTCATTGTGTGGGAAGAAGCCTTCCCTCCATCCTTTTCTATTTCTGCAGAATATCTGCTCAATCAGGGAGTTGAGCTTGGCAGTTCAGCTGCTCAGCCAGGGAGGTGCTGTGTCCTGGACTATGCTAGGATTTCAGAAGGAGAGAGGGCAGCTGCAGGCCCTATTTGCAGTGGCTTCCTCCTGGAATCCCCGTCTGCTCCCTGTGTACTGTCCAGCGTCGTAGTGGAAGCTGGTGGCGAGACGGGTGAGACCCACGGACATAGATGGCATCCACGAAGGCTGGCGGAGCCTGTGATAGACGATGGACGATGACCCAGGTTCCAGCAAGATATGGCAGTGGGCTGTGCCGGGAAGGGGCGCATCCTGGAGGATGCCCTAGGTAGTGCCTGAGAAAGTGAGGGTCATTGACTGATTCCACGTGGCATCCATGAATCTCTCAAATCCATAGGGCCCGTGCATGACAAATAATTAAAAAGATGTAGGGTGTTCTCCATAGAACCTCACAGAGGGAAGGAGACCTGCCCATGGTATCCAGCTCTGATCACACTGCTATTTTGTGATTGATAGGCAGACTTTCAAAGAATGAGTTAGATTCAGGACCCTTTTAGTTGTAAGTGACAAAATCTCAATATAAATTGACACAAGCCAAAAAAGTAGAGGGGCAAGGGATTGATGAGTCCATAGATCTGTAGAGCCTAGAGTAGTTTGCTTCAGGCACGGCTGGATCCAGGGGCTCAGATGATGTCATCAGGAAGTACTCCCCCGCCCCCATTCCACTCTGCTTTCCTGTGCTGCCTGTGTCTCAGGGGCTCTGCCCACAGGGTGACCTTCCACAGTTCAAGCTGGCATCCACGTGCCAAGATGAGCAGAAGGTGAAAGCCCATTTCCCAGCAGTTCTAGCACAAACTCCGCTGGGCTGTGTCCATCCCTGAACCAGGTGCTGTAGTCAGGGAGATGACCTGGCAACTCTGATTGGCCAGGTGGGGGTGCGGGCCTTCTGTGCAGCGCAGGGGAGGGGGCAGTGCCACCCAGACCATGAGGACTGAGAGTGGCGGGGTTCCCCAAAAGGGACATCAAGGTGCAGTCATCAGAAAAAGCAAGGAACGGAGGTCGAGCACACAGAAAACACGTGTGTTTGATGGTTCTTGGTGGTCCACACTGATGCAGCCGGCTTCTGGGGGTGATCTTTCTGGCACTGAGCAGTGAGCATGCTGGGATTTGCCTTTGAGCCCACGAAGGCTCCTACTTCATGGACTGAGCTAACTGGTCTGCAGGACGAGCCCACCACTGCCATATGGAAGCTGGAATAATGAAGAGGGTGTGTGTCCATCTCAAAGAGATTCTGGGCTGGGCGCAGTGGCTCAGACCTGTAATCCCAGCACTTTGGGAGGCTGAGGCAGCAGATCACCTGAGGTCAGGGGTTCGAGACCAGCCTGGCCAACATGGTGAAACCCTGTCTCTACTAAAAATACAAAAAAACTTAGCTGGGCATGGTGGCGGCCGCCTGTATTCCCAGCTACTCAGGAGGCTGAGGCAGAAGAATCGCTTGAACCCGAGAGGCAGAGGTTGTGGCGAGCCGAGATTTTGTCATTGCATTCCAGCCTGGGCGATGAGAGTGAAACTCTGTCTCAAAAAATAATAATAAAAAAGAGAGAGAGATTCTGTATATCGGGGAGATGTCTTGAAATGTCAGGCTGTGAATAACTTCTGTGAAAAATTAATTATGGACTGGAAGAATCTTTTTAGACCACCATATAGACTTGGACCTTCCATGTTTTGATTTTTTTAAAAAAGGGAAGAATAATATGACTTGTGAACTTAGGTCAAGTAAGGAGACTTGAATTCACTAGAGGTGCTGGCGTTGTGGTGGGAAGTACAGCAACAGCCCTGGGGTCTCCTGGGGAAGTGGGGGAGGGAAGAGAAAGCCTCCTCTTGTGAACAGCAACTTTGGACCACTCACTACAAAGCATCTCTTTTCATCATAAACCATCCTATCAGATTGATGTTAACGATCAGATTGAAGCTGCTTCGGAGCAGTGATGTGGCCTGCACCAGGTCGCACAGCACCTTACTGTGGAGCATGGATCCACACGTGCGTCTGTGTCATTGTGATCGCTCACGCTGCTCTGTGGGCCCATGGCCTTGGTGCCTGCAGGCTCTGTGTCTGCAGTTCCTCTAGGGATAGTGAGTCTGCTGCTGAGCCCGCAGCCAGAAACCACGCTGGGGGGCTGGCAGGGTGACGGCAGCAAGGAAGGAGAACTGTCCTTGATGGATTCAGGGAGCACCAAGGTCTGGGGGCTCTGGGGAGGGTGGGTGTCCAAAAGGGCTGCCCTGCGGGACCTGATGCCATCTCTGAGCAGCGTCCTTGAGGACCCCGGCAAGGAAGCTGAGCCCGAAACTCTGTGCAAGAGTTGCGTCCAGGGAGAGTTACATCCAGGGAGAGTTACGTCCAGGGAGAGGGGCGTCCAGGAAGAGGGGCATTCAGGGAGAGGGACATTCAGGGAGGAGTCTTCCAGGGACGGGGACATCCAGGGAGAGGGGCGTCCAGCGAGAGGAGCCTCTAGGGAGGGGTACATCCAGGGAGGTGGCCTGTCAGGGAGGGTGGTGTCCAGGGAAAGCAGCATCAAGGGAGAGGGGTGTCCAGGGATGGGGGCATCCAGGGAGGGGGGCTTCCAGGGAGAGGGGCCTTTGTGTTGGCGAGTTGTCCATCCACAGGGCTGGAGTGCGTGTGCCTGACCACGAGAGCTTGTGAAGAATCCATCTGATTCTTTCCTTCTCCAAACACATGCCTCACCCACACAGCCTTACCTGTGAGGGCCTCACCTGCCACCTGCGACTTTTGAGTTGTCCCAGCCTCCCTCTGCCCTCTCCAAACTGGGTGTGACCCTTCCTCTCTGCCTTTGCACCTGGCCACATCCCATGGTCTCCCACTGGAGTCCTGTCTCCTGTACACCTGGGTCATCTGAAGGCAGTGGCCAGGCAGCACTTGGTGCTGCAGAGCCGGTTCAGAGCCTGGCACGGTATGGTTCTGGGAAAGCCCTGGGTGAGTTGGACCAGAAAGGCTGGTCCTCAGTGTGGTGTTACTGGGAACCATGCAGCCTGTCCCGTTGTCAGCCAGCCTTGGGTGAAATGGGTAAGACTGCATGATGCTTTTGTAAATTCAGGTAACTTCTTAGGAAGTAAAATGCAGCACAAACTGTAGTTGATGTTTTGACCCTTGGTCTAATAATTCAACTGGAGAACCTGTGCTAGGAAAATGACTTCCCAAAAGAAAAGAAACGGTTCATGGCACCACCGTAGAAAACAAGAGGTTATTGGAAGCAACCTACAGACCTGATGGAGAGGAGGGGAGGGTCAGTAACCTGACTCTGTCTCCTTGATGGATCTAGGAGCCACCAAAATGGTGAGCTGACTGCAGCGCATCGTGGGAAGCCAGAGAACAATCCACTGCTGTGGACTGAAAGTTTGTGTCTCTCCCAGATTCATTTGCTGAGGTCTTCACCCCCAGTCCCATGGTGTTAGGAGGTGGGGCCTTTGGAGGTGATGAATCATGAGCGATGGCTTTACGGTGGAATTAGTGCCCCTATAAAAGAAACCTCAGGGAGCTCCCTTGCCCCTTCCACCCTGTGAGGACACAGCCAGAAGACCTGAAACAAAAAGCAGGCCCTCAGTAGACACGGAGTCTGCAACACTATGATCTTGGACTTCCCAGTCTCCAGAATCGAAAGAAATACATTTCTGATGTTTGTAAGCCACCAGCTTGGTCTATGGTATTAATATTTTTGTTATAACAGCTCGAACAGACTAAGGCATTCACTCTTAAGAAGGAAAAGGTAATATCAAGATGTATATACACTGATTATAATATCCAAAAAATGTGGTTTTTGTTGGTACAATCATGGAAAACATGAACTTGATTTGTTGGGGTTCTGGGCTTCGGGTACAGGTGCTTTGTATTATTTAGGTCATGGGCTGTCAAACTTGAGTCCTTGGATCTTTCTAGAGCCCCAGCTAGAGCAGGCCTAGGCCAAGGGGTGTGATGGTGGGACTTGGCTCTGTGCTCGCCTCCTTCCCATGCCTCCCACCCCGAGCGCTTTGAGTTGCTGTTGAACCACCTCACCCGCATAGAGTTTGCTCATCTTGCTCTGGCGCTGCTTGTGACCGGAAGGCAAACAGTGGCTTTCTGGGCATCTTCCCTGTCTGTGTCTGTGTCTCTCTGTACTCCTGGCCTGGATTTGAAAGTGACAAGCAGCAGCAGATCTGAAGACCCTCATGCCTTGTCCCCTCCATCCTGACAAGTGACAAAGTCTGGCTTTGTGACATGTGTGTTTGTTTCTTCTGTGTTAAAGGGCCTACAAAGGGAGACATGGAAATCCCCTTTGAAGAAGTCCTGGAGAGGGCCAAGGCCGGGGACCCCAAGGCACAGACTGAGGTGAGGACTGCGGTGCCGGCAGGGACTTCGGGACGCGGCCCCCGGCACAACAGGCCTGGCCACGAGCTCCACAGCCCACAGAGAAGTGTCGGTGCCTGAGATCGGGGTCAGGAGCCAGCGTGGTGCACCCTACCCCACTTGAGCCCCATGTTGGTAGGGTGCCCATGTTCACTGTGCCAGTTTTCCTCCTGGCACTCCTCTGGGGAGCAGCGCTCATCCCCCTTTTGTCCAACTCACACCTCATCTTGGGCATCACCTCCTCCAGGATGACCTCCTGGCTTCCTGCAGCTGCCTGCTCAGTGCCACCCCTCAACATACACTGTGTATGCTGCCCACTCTTGTCTCCCTGACTGGCCTTTCACCTGGCTGTTAGCTGTGTGCACGGGGCCCTCAGAGCGGTGACCATTCACTTGGGCATCAGCCAAGGGCTGGGCTTTGTGCCAGTGCTGGGGACATGATGTGGCCCTCTCTTCATGGGTGACAGGTTAGTGGAAGAAGCAGACCCAAAAAACCCAAGTAGACAAGACACAGAAATACAGTGATTTTGAATTCTGGTGAGGGGAGAAGCCAGCAGAACGCTGAGACGGGAGGTGGCAGGGGGTCCTGTGTCCTCTGTGGAGGCAAGTTCTCACCACCTCACTCTGTCCCCTTGCACAGGGCTCAAGCAAGTGACCACAGTTATCCTGAGCAGTTTCCTGCCCCCTCTTCTCCCTAAAGAGGAGAAAAGCTTCCACGCGAAACCATAAATTAAGAATTTCTGGCTGGGAGCGGTGGCTCACGCCTGTAATCCCAGCACTTTGGGAGGCTGAGGCGGGTGGATCACCTGAGGTCAGGAGTTCGTGACCAGCCTGGCCAACATGATGAAACCGTGTCTCCACTACAAATAGAAAAATTAGCCAGACATGGTGGTGCATGCCTGTAATCCCAGCTACTTGGGAGGCTGAGACAGGAAAATCACTTGAACCCAGGAAGTGGAGGTTGCAGTGAGCCGAGATCGCACCACCACGCTCCCAACTGAGCAACAGAGCAAGACTCTGTCTCAAAAAAAAAAAAAAAAAAATTTCTTTCCTGACCTCACAGCCATATTGTACTTTAAAGTTCCTCCCACATCCTTTTGCCCAGGCATTTGGAGGCGGGGGGAGCATAGTAAGCCCTTTTATGGGCTCTCTGTGCCCTGGGCCTCACTTTTTCCATCTGTAGAATGAGAAGACTGGACCATTTCAGCAGGGATTCTTTTTGCAAAGGGCCAGATAGTGAATATTCTGGACTCTGCGCAATCTCTGCCGTGTTGCTCAGCTTTGCTGTGGAGCACGTAAAAGCAGCATGGACAACATGTAAATGAATGGTTATGGTTGTATTTCAATAAAACTTTATTTGCAAAAACAGGCAGTGGGCCAGTGCTAACCCTTGGTTAGCTGGCGTCTCTCCAGCCCTGGCTTTCTATGGTCCCCTGACTGTTTTGAGAGGTGTAAAGGACCCAGTCATGGTTCTGATTTCCATGCATTGATGGTGAGCCTTGGCAGGCAGGAGCAACTCAAGGAAGAGAACCTGTACCAGTACCAGTCGGAGCCCGTGTCTCCCTCGCCGTGTGGATGGGGTGGCCACACCTTCCTCACCGTGTTTTGAGGAGCGAGTGGCCGGAGGCTCAGTAGGGCCTAGCCTAGTGGACATGCCTGGTGTGACCCCATTTCTGCCCCTTCCTTCCTGGCCTGGGTGACAAAGGGAAGTGGGTGAAAGGAGGTGGGCTGGCAGGGAGCATGGGGTGGGAGAGGGTCGGAGAATCTGGAGGCTGACTGGTGTCTGGCTTGCAGGTGGGGAAGCACTACCTGCAGTTGGCCGGCGACACGGATGAAGAACTCAACAGCTGCACCGCTGTGGACTGGCTGGTCCTCGCCGCGAAGCAGGGCCGTCGCGAGGCTGTGAAGCTGCTTCGCCGGTGCTTGGCGGACAGAAGAGGTGGGTCTGTGTGAGGCTTAGAACAGCCTCTGGAGGGTTGAGCAGCTTGTAATGCTGCTTGCTAACTGAACAACTAAAATCTTACCAAACCTAACGCTGGTGATGCTGTTGGGAAATTTCAGTTTCTGTTTTGCTGGTGGCCTTCTCATTTTAGACACTGTTTCTGGACTTAACATGGGATATTTAACAGACCAAGCCATTTTCATTCTCTTTGGCTTGTGTTGGTATCTCCAAGTGGTAACTATACATCCTGCTTCCCTGCTGGGTTCTGATCCAAACTGAGACATCGATCCTGGGTTCAGCTGAGAGGCAGTTTCCCTGAGGCAAAGCTGGAGACTGTAATGTGGCCTGCAGTCAGAGTGGCCCATGCCCCTGAGCTGATGTCCGTCGAGTCTGGGCAGACCAGCTGAGGGGCTGTGGGCCCACACAGACCTGGACAAGCATGTTCACTTTGGGAGGAGGCAGGCTGACCCTTCATAGATAATCTCTTTCAAACAGAGAGGCAGGGGAGGAAAGGGACGCAGCTCAGGCCAGGGGTGGTGAGTTAGGACGTTGTCCTGCGCAAGGGAAGTGGCTGTCCCTGGTGCCGTGGGGCAGTGTGCTTCCTGAAGGTTCCACGCCTCAGGGAAAGATGAAAGTGGGTGTCACAAAGGTGTTTTTTCTAATGATACCTTTTTTTTCAGATTGTAAGAGTATTTTATGCTTATCATAGAAAACTTGGACTATGTAGAAAACATAAAGATACAAATTACTCATAACCTTGAAGCCCAGAAGCAACTCCCCATATTTTGGTGTATTTCCTTCTGTGTTTGTTGTTGTTGTTTTGAGATGGAGTCTCACTCTGTCGCCCAGGCTAGAGTGCAGGGGTGCGATCTCAAGTCACTGTAACCTCCACCTCCCTGGTTCAAGCAATTCTCCTGCCTCAGCCTTTTGAGTAGCTGAGATTACAGGCGTGCATTACCACACCTAGCTAATTTTTGTATTTTTAGCAGAGACAGGGTTTCATCAGGTTGGCCAGGCTGGTCACAAACTCCTGACCTCAGGGGATCCACCCTCCTTGGCCTCCCAAAGTGATGAGAGTACAGGCGTGAGCCACCATGCCCAGCTTGTATCATATTTTAAGAGTTACATTTATTATACAGAGTCTTCTCTTTGAAAATTAAACTGATGATTTTGAAAAACTAACAGTGGCATTGTTAGCCAGAATTTCTCACCAACCCAGCCTGCTGATTCCAGAGCAGTTGGAATGACCTGGAGGGGGCTCAGGCGGCCCACACGGCTCATTGTTGGGTGCCAGGGATAGCCCAGAGGCTGCTGGGGCAGAGCGTGCAAGGGAGGAGGCCGGTTGGCCCCGTGTTCCCCCAGCTGCACACACCTTCTGATGTGCAGTTGTGCTTTCTGATTTGAAAAGAAATACATGCTCATGTGGAAAATTTTGGAAATGTTCAAAAGGAGAAAAACATCCAGACCCCCGTGCCAGTCCTCCTGCCCTCTGCTTGGTTGTGCCAGTGTCCCAGGCCGTTGGGGGTAAAGGGAGGAAGGCAGCTGCTGACCAGCGGTAAAACCTGCTCTCCCTCTCCCCGCTGTCCAAGCCTTCCTTAGAAAGGGCTGGGCTGTGTGTGAGACAGAGGAAAGCTCTGTAGACACAGGGGTGGCCCTGCCAGTGCACCCAGGCTGGTGACTGCAGTGAGTCCACCCTGGGTTCAAGACAGCTCTGCCTCTTTCTGACTGTGTGACCTTGAGTGAGCCAGAACACAGGCCTGTGCCTCCGGGTCTGCACCTCTGAGAGAGGGGAGGAACAGGAAGAGGCTGCCTTCTTCCCGCCAGCATGTAGGGGGCACTTGGGGGCGTCTGGTGGGAGACCAGTCTGGCCTCCCAGCTGGAGAGTGGGCGTGGCGCGATGTCCTCTTGAGTCAGATGTCCATGCATCCTTCCCTGGTAACCAAGTCCTGACACCTTCTATGAGTCTCGCTCGAAAGCCTTCCAGGCAGAGTTGGCAGGGTCAGAGTGGCACCGAAAGCCTAGGCAGGGCACACAAGGCCTTTGACCACATCCTATCCCTCAGGCATCACGTCCGAGAACGAACGGGAGGTGAGGCAGCTCTCCTCCGAGACCGACCTGGAGAGGGCCGTGCGCAAGGCAGCCCTGGTCATGTACTGGAAGCTCAACCCCAAGAAGAAGAAGCAGGTGGCCGTGGCGGAGCTGCTGGAGAATGTCGGCCAGGTCAACGAGCACGGTGCGAGGATTCACCCTGGGCACCAGCCTTCCCTGGGCGCCAGCCTTCCCACAGGAGCCAGGACCTTCCCATAGGGGCTGGGACCTTCCCTCAGGGGCTGGGTCTTCCCACAGGAGCCGGGACCTTCCCTGTGAGGACAGGGCCCTTCCTTGTGGGGACCAGGGGACCAGAACCTTCCTGTAGAGACCGTGCCCTAGTGGTGAGGTGTGTGGGTGGCATTTTGACAGCATCTGCCCTGGCTCAAGTGCTCACTCATTGAATAAACCAGAGGGTATTCTGCCCAGTGCTCTGTGACCACGTCTACCAATGGGACGGACTGTGTCCATCACCAAGTGGGAGCACGCTACGTGGTGCTGAGTCCACCCCAGCTACTGGAGGTACAGAGGTGTGGCCCCTGCTCTGCCTGCCCTGGGGGCCCTATGATCCCCAGAACGTAGGATGCCCCTGGAACTGGCGTGCCCTAGGAACAGTGCGCCAGTTTCTGGTGGGCTGCAGGGCACGAGGAGATAGTCAACTTGTCTGACTGTTAATCCACCCTGTCCCCTGCAGATGGAGGGGCGCAGCCAGGCCCCGTGCCCAAGTCCCTGCAGAAGCAGAGGCGCATGCTGGAGCGCCTGGTCAGCAGCGAGTGTGAGTGCAGCCCCTGCCCCGTCTCACCCATGCCTCCCAGCCTGCACCTGCAGGGCGACCTCTCCTTCCTGTGCGACTCCATCCTGGCCTGCCCTATCTCACCCGTGCCTCCCAGCCTGCGCCTGCAGGGCGACCTCTCCTTCCTGTGCGACCCCATCCTGGCCCTGCTAGGATCTCAGGCGGTCCGTTTGGGGCTCAGTGTTCTGGACGCTGGGAGTAGACCCTGCCCACCTGGAGCGCACGCACTGGAGGGAAGGCAGACCCAGGACAGAAACCATGATGTGCCAGTCCCTCTTGGACAAGGAAATACTGGGGGTGGGGACTGGCGGGGGGGTCCTGAGTGGGGAAGGATGAGGAGGGCATTAGGGGAAGGGGCTCCGGGCAGAGGGAACAGCATGAGCAAAGGCCCAGGAGACCCAGCAGGGTGTGGAAGGGGCTCTGCCCCAGCGTAGGCCCTTTGTAGGTAGGCAGGGAACAGAGTGGGCAGAGCCTAGGTTGGGGGATAGAGTCTCTGGGGCACACTGAGCTGGGGGTGCCTCTGGGATGTTTGTGGTCAAAGACTGAGAAGAGACGTCACATCCTCCACGTGCAGCTGGCCAGCCTCACTGTCTTCCATCCACGTGGGGTAGACTCTGCAGTCTGAGGCACTGGGAGCTCCTGTCCTGGAGAAGATAGACAGGCAGGAGGCTTGGGGGCTCAGTATCAATGGGGGGATGGGCCAAGACCCAGGTCTGCCACAGACTCTTCTTGTGACATGGGCAGGTCTCATTTTTCTTTCTGGGTGTCAGTTTCCCCTTCTGAACAGTGAGATGATCAGACAAGGGGACTGAAGGACCTCGCCCATCCTAGAAGCCTCTGTGGCATGTAGGGCAGAGTACAGGTGGGAGCACAGATCCCACCTTCCCACTGGGCCCGTGAGGAAACCGTCCATAGGGTGTGGTCAGAGCCCTCGCCTCTGCGTGGGCGGACATGGGTGCTTGCGCTGCTGTTTTCCTGCTCCATTTGGGGGAGACAAAGAAACACCTCACATGGAAGTGGGAAGAAATCTGTGACTCTAGGAAGCCCGAGGACCAGAGAGGCTGTGACAGTGTCCTGCCACCGAGGTGGCATGGTGCCTGCTGTCCTGAAGTGAGGTGCCTCTGGGCAGGAGCAGCCCAGCCTGGGTCTCCATCCTGGGGGGCACTGCAGGCAGAGTCTGGACCCCAACCTCACTTCCCAGTCCCACAGGGGTTTGTGATGAGCCGGGCACACCTGCTGCTGGGCCCTGTCGCTGTTGCTGGGGGCGAGTTAGGAGTCAGCGCTGCCAGCCTGTGGTCCCCTCCGCCAGGCCCTCAGGGACAGGGCCCCAGCACCCCCATTGTTTCCCCTCTATCAGAACGTTCCCATCAGGCATCATCTGTTTCTCTGCCAGCTTTTCCAACAGAACTCCCAGAAAGGGGCGTCTGTCATCCCCTTCTCTCGTCCTCCGTCCTTTGCTCTCAGGCCTCTGCCATGTTATTCCACCAAAGCGGCTCGTCTAGGCCATCAGTGACCCCCCTTGCTCAGTCACTTCTTGTCCTTGTCTGACTTGATCTGTCAGCAGCGTGGGCAGAGATGACTGCTCTTCTCCTTAGAGCCCTCTCCCCCACCAGGCCCGGGGCCCTTGCTGCCACACTGGCTGCTCCTTCTTGGGGTCCCTAGACTGATGTCCTGTCTCTCAGGACAGGACATCCTGCCCAAGGTATTCATCCCTATGAGGACAGGGGCCTTCCTTGTGGGGACCAGGGTCTTCCCGTAGGGACTGTGCTCTGGTAGGGAGATGTGTGGGTGGCATTGGTGACCACTCTCGTGTGTCAGACGCCGTCCTGAACCCGCAAGCCCCCAGCCCGCCCAGGCTGCATCCAGCCCGTGCTCCTTCCACATCTCCTGTACCTGGCTGTCCCATGGTCACCTCACAGCTCAGTCTACAGTGAGCTACTGAGGCCTGTGCTACCTGCCACTTGTGTGGGCCCCCCCAAGGCTGCCTCATCTCTTTGCTGCAGCTACACCTGGGTGCTGCCCCGACTCCTCTCCTCTTGCACACACAGCTGATCCATTAGGAGGTCTGTCAGCGCCCACTATCACGGCTGCCATCTTGGATGCAGCCTGCCTCCTCCCTAGGGTTTCTGCAGCACCCTGGCTTGTCTCCCTCTGCCCTGCCCCAGCATGGTCCTTTCTTTCCCATCCTTCCCCTGGAGGCCCTCCTGGTCACCATCTCACCACGGCAACTGGGGTCCTTCAGGGGCCTCATTCCCTCCTAGGGGATCATGTTGGATAGAGGGGTCAGTGGGCACGTAGCTCTCGCGGATCACGTTGGATGGAGGGATCAGTGGGCACGTAGCAGGCTCTTGGTGGAAGATGTTGGATGGAGGGGTAAGTCGGCCCATGGCAGGACGCATGTTGAATGGACGGGTTAGCAGGCATGTAGTAGGCCCATGGCAGACACTTGTTGGATGGAGGTGTCAGCAGGCACATAGTAGGTGTGTGGCAGATCATGTTGGATGGAGCGGTTTAGCAGGTGCACAGTAGGCCCTGGGTGGATCACGTTGAATGGAGGGGTTGGGGGCGCAGATCATGTTCGATGGAGCGGTTGGCAGGGTACTGCCCTACAGGGCGGCTTGTCACCCGTGCTGTGAGAAGCCCCACGCTGGCTGAAGAGGAGGGTGTCAGCATGCACTGGAGGTGCATGTTGTAAGGCTTGGCAGGTGAACTGGGTGAAAGGTGTGGGTGAGTGGCCCCAGGCATAAGGAGCTAGGCAGAGAGGGACACTTGGGGTGGGGGACAGCACACCCAGGGGCCGGGGGCCAGGAGTGGAGGCTGGCACTTGGCAAACCTGCCCCCTTCCTCCTCACCCAGCCTGGTCCTCAACCCTCAGGCCGCCCAGGGAAGGGTTTCCTCCACCTGAACCCACTCAGCTCCTTTCTTAGCTTGGCCCCACGCCACCGTCCCCAGCCCATTGCTCTGTGTGAGGGTGGCAGTGGGGCTGCAGTGTGGGGCGCCCATGCTGTTTTCTCTCATGCTTCAGCCAAGAACTACATCGCGCTGGATGACTTTGTGGAGATCACTAAGAAGTACGCCAAGGGCGTCATCCCCAGCAGCCTGTTCCTGCAGGACGACGAAGATGATGACGAGCTGGCGGGGAAGAGCCCTGAGGACCTGCCACTGCGTCTGAAGGTGAGTGACCAAGACCCCGGTCAGGCCGGAGCCTGCCTCCCAAGGACTCGCGCACCTCAGGCAGGGCACCTTCCAGGAAGCTGCAGGTGGGGAGGTTCGCGCCTAACAAAGAGTGTCTTACAGCCGTGCCGCTGGTACCTTTGGGTCATCATCTATCGTCATAAGGATGTGTCCTCGGGAGAGAGGCCTTTCTTTTCTGCGCCGTCAGGCTCAGAAACCAGGGGCGGTGTTGGGCAGGAGTGCTAGGATGGCAAGCAAGGGGCCCCTGGGTCTTTCTGTGCAGTGTAGGGGGCAGTGGGGCGGGCTGGACGCAGACTTTCATCTAGACTTCATCACTTAGCAGATTTCTCCATGTATGGTCCAGAGTGGAGGCCAGTGCCTTGAAGATGCCTTCCCCGAAAACAAAGTGCCGTGTCCGTCAGGCCAGGGAGGACGTGCAGAGGCGCCTACTGCCCCTGGATCTGCAAGGGCTCAGGGAGCGAGGCCAGTGTGGGAGCGTGGTGGGTGACACTTGTGCAGGGTGCCATTGGGCACACCTGGAGGACATGAGCAGCTTTGGCGGCAGGAGGAAAGCGGGGAGCGGGGAGCGGGAAGCCCAGCAGTGCGGGCCCTACTCCTGGCCTGACAGCTTGTTTTCTTGGCCATGTGGCCCTATGGCCTCTCACAGAGTTGCTCACAGTTCAGCTCGCATGGTTGAATTAGATGTGTGCCTGTCTCACTCTGCAGAGAACACCAGGATTTCCAGAAGCTTGGCCTCCTGACCCAGGATCCCCAAGCTGAGGCCAGCACAGGGGGCCCCAGCAGATGATTGTCACAGAGGCTGCGGGCAGTATCATGCAGGCACCCTGGGGTTCTGTCTTCTGAACTGACTGAGAACCTGGAGGAACTGCCATCATTGTATTCAGATGGGCGCGTGAGTCAGGGCCAGGACCAGGAGATGGTTGGGCCACCAACTGTCAGGCAGGCAGCAGGCTGAAAGGTCACCGTCCTCGAGCCAGGGAGAAGGTCAGAGTAGGCCCGCCCTCCGGTGGGGGGGAAGAGCAGGAACCCAGGTGCTGCAGGAGCAGCTTCAGCCCAAAGAGCAGCAGGCACAGCAGCCCTGCTGCAGGGACTCGGAGCCAGACAGGTCTGAGTGTGAGCCCCCCGAGTGCCCAGAGCTGCGAGTCCTTTAGGGTGGCAGGTGGAAGGCTCTGCTCCTCCCACTTGGGACAGGCTGTATGTCCAGGGTATGACACCGACCGGTCTGCAGAGGTTCTGAGACATGGGCCAGGATGGCCAAGAACTTGAACCAAGGGAGCACATGGTTTTTACTGATGGTCTGCTCAGAGCTGGCCCTAGGCAAGCATATTCACAGATTGGGTGCCATCATCTCCTTACTAATGGGAGATGAGGAAGCTGGGGTGCTGGCATGGTTTTGGCAAAGACACTCCCGAAATGAGAGTGAGGGTCACAGGTGAACGGGTTAACTTGGAGAAGACCCTTGGGCCAGGCGGCCATGGCCCAGGTGTCCCAGTTTATGCCATCTGGTGTAAGTACTATTATAATAATGCCTCCTTGCATATGCGTCCTGTTCGGAAAATTATGTCACCTAGTTATGGATGGTGAGTCTAGTGTTGTGTAGCATCTGAAAATCCTATTTATTTATGTTACTTAATGACAGGGTCTCGTTCTGTTGCACAGGCTGGAGTGCAGTGGCACGGTCACAGCTCACTGCAGCCTCAACGTGCCAAACTCAAGTGATCCTCCCACCTCAGCCTCCCAAATAGCTGGACTACAGGCATGTGCCACCACACCCAGCTGATTTTTTTGAAAACATTTTGTAGCGATGGGGGTCTCACTATTGTTATCTACGCTGGTCTCAAACTCCTGGGTCAAGCGAGCCTCCCACTTTGGCCTCCCACACTGCTGGGATTCAGGCGTGAGACACTGTATCCAGCCTGAAAGTCCTTTTTAGAAGGGAGAGATTTAAGCTGTTTTGACAAGAAGTAAACAAGACTCTGTTTCCCTTTAGTTTTGGATGCTGTCAGAGCACTTCGATTCCTTTGCAGTTTGTCTTCTTAGAAGTCTCTTGTGAGGGAGGCAATGAATCGTCACAAGCGTCTCCCAGGGCTGAGAGCTGTCCCACCTTTTAGTAGCCTTTTGTAGAACAAGGAGAGGTCTTCACTCAAAGTGAAAATGACAGACACCTCTTTGTGAGCCACCCTTACTCCCACAAAGAATGTTCCAGACTCCACACAGTTCTCTTCTGGAGCCTGGAGGTGCAAGCTGTCATCGTAGATAGAATCCTCTGAAAACAAACTTAATATCTTAAAATCGTAACATTTTTAACATTACATAATTGGAAGATCCGACACGGGAACATTTTTGCCCACAGGTTTGAGCAGAATCTCGTCTCGGCTCCCTTCCCCAGCCTGCCTTCTTCACGGGTCCGCTGGGCCATCGGTGTGGTGACGCTGCTTCCTGGTTTCTCGTGGCAGCAGAAGGGCCGATCACCACAGGCCCAGACAGAGAGCTCTGCAGTGTTCTATTCATAGAGGCAGACTCCTCATAGTTTTTAAGTTTCGTTCTTTTTCCATCTCAGGAGTTGAATTTGTTTGGACCTTCTTTGCAGAAAAGGAGACTGAACTTTTTAATCCCATGTCAGAGGAAGGTCTTGGGTGTACATTGCAGGGAGCAGAAATTGGGGCTTTAAAAAGGGGATCGTTCCCTGGTCATCGAGTTCAGGTGGGGGACCAGCCCCTCCACACTGTCCAAGCAGAGGCTAGACGCCATCCAACGTAATGTTCTAGAATATTCCTTGTCTTTTAAAGGCCCTCTCAACCAGGTGGTTGTGTGTGTTCTAGGCAAAAGAATGTGCATGGCTTTGAGTAAGACAGGATTTCAGATTTATTTTTACCAAGGCCACCCCCTTGCTACCGTGGCGGTCGTGCGTGAAACTGGTGGTGAGCAGTGGCGGGCCAGGCCACCTTTAGTTGTCCTGCTGTTCGCAAGGCCCCCATACGGGGATTAACTGAGCAGCCTGCCGGCTGACGCACATGTTGACTCGTGTAGCTGTTGATTTTAGCCAGCTGGCCTGGCGTCATACTACAGGGGCTTGCCCCAAACAAACCCTGGAGTAGGTTGGTTTTCATAAATGCCCTCTGGCTCTCTGGCAAGCGTTGGAAATGCCCTCAAACCCTGTAGTGCCTGGTCTTCCCTGGCCATCTCCTGGCAGTGTGAGCGCCTCTCTGCTCATGTAGAAGGTTGTTGACCCCAGAGAGAGCTAGGGGAGCTGTTAGCTGCTTTAATCGTTTATTTGCTTGTTATAAAACAGAGATTAAGTGGACTGTCACAAATATACATGAAGCAGCAGAGCTGTTCCCCCACGTGTAGACGTGCATGCACACACTCCTAAACACTTCCGTTTCTTCCATGAGCCTGTCCTTCTCATCTGTGGAAGGCTCAGTCTGTGTAGACATGCATGCACACACTCATAACACTTCCGTTTCCTCCATGAGCCTGCCCCTCTCCTCTCATCTGTGGAAGACTCAGTCTTCTGGTTGTTTCCAGGTGTCCTGGTCCTCCAGAGCTGATAGCCAGGCTGTTGGCAGGTGAGGGCCACATTCTGGTGTTGTCACCTAGTTGCCATTCACCTGGGATCCCTCCTTGGCCTTCTGGTGGGCCTGGTGGAGAGAACCTGCCCCAGGGGATTTGTGGGGTCTGGTGCTTCCCCGAGGCCCGGAGCTGATGGGGGGCTCCAGCCTGGATGTGTCATGTAGCCCCTCAGTGGGCCCTGGACATGCAGCCAGGCTTCCCTACCCCCATGTGGGGCCGCCCCCTAGGCGTCCACTTCCTGGTGTTGGTCCAGGCCCCTGGCACTTCTGAAGATGCACAGAACCTGCTTTGTATGCCACGCCATGCTGTGTGAGCACTGGCACCATGGCCACTTTGTCCCCCATCCCCTCCAGTCCCTCTGCCTGGCTGCCCTGTGTTCTGGCAGGGCTCAGGGCCTCTGAGTTCTGCACAGACCAGGAAGGCATGAGGGCTGGCCCTGGGTGGCAGCGCTGCTTCACCCCATCCTGAGGCTGCTCCCAGCATGCCTCCCTCAGCCCTCTGCTCCTCTTGGCTGTGGTGAAGGCCAAGAGCTCTTTCTGACCTTAGCGCTGCATGCAGAGCAGGGGAGCAGGACCCACAGGTCGGGGGAAGGCAGCCTTTGGCCTTGACTATGGGGAGGTAGGGGTGCGCTGGTGTGTATGTGTAGGTGCACACGTGTAGGGGTGGGTGTGCATGTGTGAGGGTGCACGTGTGGGGGTGGGTGTGCACGTGTGTGTAGGGGTGGGTTGCGTGTGTGTGAATGTGTATAGGGGTGGGTTGTGTGAATGTGTGTGTAGGGGTGGGTTGCGTGTGTGTGAATGTGTGTGTAGGGGTGGGTTTGAATGCAGGTAGGTTGCGTGTGTGTGTAGGGGTGGGTTGCGTGTGTGTGAATGTGTGTGTAGGGGTGGGTTGTTTGCGGGTAGGTTGCGTGTGTGTGAATGTGTGTGTAGGGGTGGGTTGTGTGAATGCGGGTAGGTTGCGTGTGTGTGTGTAGGGGTGGGTTGCGTGTGTGTGAATGTGTGTGTAGGGGTGGGTTGTTTGAATGCGGGTAGGTTGCGTGTGTGTGAATGTGTATAGGGGTGGGTTGTGTGAATGCGTGTGTGTAGGGGTGGGCTGCATGTGTGTGTGTAGGGGTGGGTTGTGTGTGTGTGTATGGGGTGGGTTTGTGTGAATGCGTGTGTGTAGGGGTGGGTTGCGTGTGTGTGTGTGCACGTGTGTGTACGGGCAGAAGGTGGCCTGGCAGCTGCTTCTCAGGGTCTCCGGCCATAGGGAGGGCAGCTCACCCGGCAGCCCCGTGCAGCTGAACGGTATTTTTGCTGGGAGAGTGGTGCTGGGCCCTCTGCCTGTGTCTGCACTGAACTCCCTTTCCCTAATGCTTGCTCTGCCACCCCTCCGGGGACTGCCTGCGGCTTCTCCTCCTCGTAAGGATCGCCATTTCCCTTCATGGAGGCTCAGGGAGGTGACATCCTTGCTGTAGTGCAGAGCTGGGTCACAAAACCAGCTCCCAGACAGGCATCTCAGGGCTCCGTCATCTCTTCATGTGGGTGACCCTGAGGGGAGGGAAGTGGGGAGCCCGTGGGTCCCTCCAGTGCTGGAGGTCTTGCAGGGAGAGAAGCACACATGCATCTAGTCACGCTGGTAGAAGGTGGGGAGCCAGGCACGGGGCAGAGGGGGGCTCCAGGCCCAGAAGAGGGAGGGCTCACAGGGACCGCGAGCATGGGGAGGGCCACCTGGAGAAGGGGGGAGGGAGGACCACTAGGATGGGGCTGGTGATGGGAAAACGCAAGGGTGCGGGTTCCTTTTGCCCAGAGGCAGGGTGGTCAGAGGGAGGCGTGAGATGGGAGCAGTGGGGGTCCTGTCCCAGCCTCGTTCCCACGTACCATCTTTCCCCCAGGTGGTCAAGTACCCCCTGCACGCCATCATGGAGATCAAGGAGTACCTGATTGACATGGCCTCCAGGGCAGGCATGCACTGGCTGTCCACCATCATCCCCACGCACCACATCAACGCGCTCATCTTCTTCTTCATCGTCAGCAACCTCACCATCGACTTCTTCGCCTTCTTCATCCCGCTGGTCATCTTCTACCTGTCCTTCATCTCCATGGTGATCTGCACCCTCAAGGTGTTCCAGGACAGCAAGGCCTGGGAGAACTTCCGCACCCTCACCGACCTGCTGCTGCGCTTCGAGCCCAACCTGGATGTGGAGCAGGCCGAGGTCAACTTCGGCTGGAACCACCTGGAGCCCTATGCCCATTTCCTGCTCTCTGTCTTCTTCGTCATCTTCTCCTTCCCCATCGCCAGCAAGGACTGCATCCCCTGCTCGGAGCTGGCTGTCATCACCGGCTTCTTTACCGTGACCAGCTACCTGAGCCTGAGCACCCATGCAGAGCCCTACACGCGCAGGGCCCTGGCCACCGAGGTCACCGCCGGCCTGCTATCGCTGCTGCCCTCCATGCCCTTGAATTGGCCCTACCTGAAGGTCCTTGGCCAGACCTTCATCACCGTGCCTGTCGGCCACCTGGTCGTCCTCAACGTCAGCGTCCCGTGCCTGCTCTATGTCTACCTGCTCTATCTCTTCTTCCGCATGGCACAGCTGAGGAATTTCAAGGGCACCTACTGCTACCTTGTGCCCTACCTGGTGTGCTTCATGTGGTGTGAGCTCTCCGTGGTCATCCTGCTGGAGTCCACCGGCCTGGGGCTGCTCCGCGCCTCCATCGGCTACTTCCTCTTCCTCTTTGCCCTCCCCATCCTGGTGGCCGGCCTGGCCCTGGTGGGCGTGCTGCAGTTCGCCCGGTGGTTCACGTCTCTGGAGCTCACCAAGATCGCAGTCACCGTGGCGGTCTGTAGTGTGCCCCTGCTGTTGCGCTGGTGGACCAAGGCCAGCTTCTCTGTGGTGGGGATGGTGAAGTCCCTGACGCGGAGCTCCATGGTCAAGCTCATCCTGGTGTGGCTCACGGCCATCGTGCTGTTCTGCTGGTTCTATGTGTACCGCTCAGAGGGCATGAAGGTCTACAACTCCACACTGACCTGGCAGCAGTATGGTGCGCTGTGCGGGCCACGCGCCTGGAAGGAGACCAACATGGCGCGCACCCAGATCCTCTGCAGCCACCTGGAGGGCCACAGGGTCACGTGGACCGGCCGCTTCAAGTACGTCCGCGTGACTGACATCGACAACAGCGCCGAGTCTGCCATCAACATGCTCCCGTTCTTCATCGGCGACTGGATGCGCTGCCTCTACGGCGAGGCCTACCCTGCCTGCAGCCCTGGCAACACCTCCACGGCCGAGGAGGAGCTCTGTCGCCTTAAGCTGCTGGCCAAGCACCCCTGCCACATCAAGAAGTTCGACCGCTACAAGTTTGAGATTACCGTGGGCATGCCATTCAGCAGCGGCGCTGACGGCTCGCGCAGCCGCGAGGAGGACGACGTCACCAAGGACATCGTGCTGCGGGCCAGCAGCGAGTTCAAGAGCGTGCTGCTCAGCCTGCGCCAGGGCAGCCTCATCGAGTTCAGCACCATCCTGGAGGGCCGCCTGGGCAGCAAGTGGCCTGTCTTCGAGCTCAAGGCCATCAGCTGCCTCAACTGCATGGCCCAGCTCTCACCCACCAGGCGGCACGTGAAGATCGAGCACGACTGGCGCAGCACCGTGCATGGCGCCGTGAAGTTCGCCTTCGACTTCTTTTTCTTCCCATTCCTGTCGGCGGCCTGAGGATGGTCCGCCACGAGGAGCTTCCAGTGCATGTTGCCATGAGGCCTTTCCCCAGTGTGGCCCCAGCCCGACAGGCATGCACCAGTGCCGCCTGTGCCCACGTGTGCAGACTGTGGCTGCAGAGACCTTGCGACCATGTGTAGATTGCGTGGACCCCGACAAAGGGAAGGCTGCTGTGTAGCTCTGTCCACTCTGAATACCAAGTGTGTTGGGAATTGCATGCCATCTCCACCCTGAGCCTGACCTTTCTGAGTGACATGGGTGTGCCAGGCTAGACTAGGAGGTTCCGGTGTCTGGAAAAGCACTTTACAGATGAGATTCCCTCTCCTCCCCCACCTTCAAGCACCCTGTTCCCTCTTTCTTTCTTTTGTGTTGGATTTGTTTAAAAACCAAATAAGCATCTGTGTAACCTCCACAGTAGCATTTCTTATTTGTTTGGTCACTGCTACACCTTAGCAGCTCTTCCCCTTTCCTGGGGGATGTGCACGGCAGCTTGAGCCTGTCACGTGGTCAAGGCCCGGCCCCATCAGAGGCTGGGGGAGGCGGCACATTGGCAGTGTGTCACACTGAGCTGGGCACCACAGGCTGCCTCATGACCCTCCTGTCCAGCAGGTAGTGGGTGAATGTGTGAAGGTCTTGCCTGAATCCATCAGGACTTGGGAAACAGAGAACCCTGTGGGGGCGGCTGTGGGGGAGGTCCCTGCCAGTGTTTAGAAGAGCCTGACTGTGTTCAGTGCCTTGGAGCAGAAAGCCAGGGTCCTGAGTGGCTGAAATAAAAGCCTCTGGTGGAACCTGCAGCGCTTTCCTTCCTTTCTTTACCGAAAAGAAGTCTTTCTTGTACGTGCGTGAGAATCAGCAGAGCCTGCACTCCTGTTGAATGAAATGCAAGTGCAATTTGAGTTATAAAAGAGCAAGGTTGATGTTTCACAGTTGATGGCTTCCTGCCACAGCGAGACCCTGGCTTCATCTCCAGCTGGAGGGGCCCCTGGGGCATCTGCCGTAACTGTGGGGTGGCCTGGGCATGGGCTGCCTGTGCAGAGAGACCTGTGCTGAAGGTGACCATGGAGTGTCAGCCCAGCCATCTTCAGATCTTACTGAGCGGAAAGTGCACGGTCATAATTATCTTTGAATTCCAGTTACCCATGAAGTGGAGCCTACAGGGTGATTGATGGCGTGGGGGCTGCTGTCCATGCGGGAGTGTGTTGTGAAACCACCTCCTGTGTTCCCTAACCTGCAGTGATGACCCCATGGGATTATAATCAGAACTTAGTCATTTGGGGGCACCCGAGCAGCTGCAGGCCCCTCAGCAAACCTCACCCCTCTTGGGCAGCCTGTCTGTCCCAGCCCCTTGGGTCTTTGGTGTCTTCCCTGAGGTTGAGGACGTGGCCTGTACCTGCTCCTGTCCCCCGTAGGCTGGGCTGCTCTCTGCTGGGCACCAGGCCTCACCTCTTTGCTGTGGGTGGGAAGCGTCGAGTGGTCACACGATCTGGCTTGGCCACCTGGTGTTGCCATGCAGGATGTGGTTGCTCCATTTTCCTTGGACGACACTGGGTGGTGGCAGCTACACCCGACACTGTCCTCTCATCCTGGTTTGTCCTGCCTGGAGGGGCTGCGTGAAACCACACGAGAGGCTCAGGTGGTGTCATCACTCCGAGCCACGGGTGGTGGAAGCTGCACCCCCACACTGTCCTCTGCGTGAAACCACACGAGAGGCTCAGGAGGTGTCATCACTCCGAGCCACATGCTCGCCCCTGGGTTTCTTTCCCAGGCAATGAGATGAGGTTGGGGTTCAGCCTCATTTCCTCTCCCCATTCTGTGGATTTGTGAAGCCATGGAAGGCCCTCGCCCTGTGACTCTGCCCCCAGGATCCCCACTGACTGCAGAGGAGGGAAGTCGCCTGATGCTTTCCAAGTGAACAAAGATGACAACACAGCATCTCCCTCACAACCCCTGGATGAGGAAGATGCTCCAACATCCCCCATCTACAGAAGACGGCACCGAGGTTCAGAGTGGAGGCCATAGCACATTAGCACGTTATCACATGGCACATAGCAGAGCAGGAAGGACAGAGCTCTGCCTGTCCCCTTCCCCTGGGCCACCACACTGCCACTCAGCATCCACAATTAGTTTCTAACCAACCGGCAGAGGCACAGGTTGGAGGAGAAGTGGTGCTGTCTTTTGGGCAGAGTCCAGAATGGGCATGGTCCCGGGTTCCACTCATTCTGCCACAAACCCCTGTGCCACCCGGCACCATTTAACACCTGTCCCCAGGCCTCAGTGTCCCAATCTGTAAAACGGAAAGCCTGGGCTAAGTTAGTGGTTTTCAAAACTTCTTAGCAACACCGTTTTTGTTTGTTTGTTTGTTTGAAATAGGGTCTCACTTTGTCACCCAGGCTGGAGTGTAGTGCTATCTCGGCTCACTGCAGCCTCCACATTTGTTCTGGGTTTTACAGAGAGGCTCCCCGGGCCCCGCCGACCACCCCACCCAGGAAAGAACCTGCCGTCTGCAGGAACAGCCATTATTTAACACCCCGTCCCGGCCACCTGCTCTGGTCTGCCCCTTCACCGTATGGAGCTGTAGGACACCCAGGGAGGGACCGGGGGCAGGGTCTCACTTTGCTTCTACGAAGTAGTAGCATTTGAGAGAATGAGTCAGGAAAGACCGAATTGGGTGGTGCCATCTCAAGTGCCAAGAGAGGGTTTGGCGCCAGAGTTTCCAAGCCCTCTGGAAGCCCAGCTCCCTAGGGGCATTCTTTCAGGGGGCCTTCACTGTCCATTCTTGGGTAGCGAAGCCATCAGAAAGACCTCTCTGCCTCCTTTGGACATGCTGTTAAAGACCAGTCATTCAAAGCTCAATCATTCAAGTGCTCTCTTCCTTTTTTTTGATCCTACATCATGCAAGTACACTCCCAAGTGAGGTGACAAAAACGCACATTTCTGCAGATGCCCATGAACCAGGACCTGTCTCTCAAGTCTGCCACCTGAGGACAGAATCCTGTAACCACCCCAGCTCCCAATCAGCAGGATGGGGTGTCAGGGCTATTAAACAAACAGCCACGTGGCCCAACACGTCTCATCCGGCAGCTCGGGGAAAGCACACTTTGACAGCCAGGACCCTATCCGATAAATGGTGCTTCCTCTTCATGACAAAGAAAATGAACACTCATTCACTCAAAATATTCAGCACCTGCTGTGTGCTTCACTCTTCCTGGCACAGGGGATGCAGAATGAACAGAGAGCCCCTGCCCCACTGGGAGGGGTGTTTGTGGGGAGATGGACCAGGTACCAGTCAGTGAATATAGCACAATGGCAGGTAGAGAAAAGTGCTACAGTCATCTACCGTGAGCGCTGTGATGCTCTGCCCAGTTTCACCACATTAATGGAGCACCCACTATATGCTGGACACATACCATGCATTTTCTCATCCTAGCGGCTGTTGCAAAATAGACACGTCCATTGTGAAGACTGCGGGCGGTAGAATCGCAGCCCCCAAAGGTGTCCAGGTCCTAATCCCCAAATCCTGTTTGTGTGTTCCCTTGCATGGCAGGAGGGATGTTGCAGATGGGATTCAGTTAAAGATCTTGATACCGGGGAGATGATTCTGGACTTTCCTATCCAGAAGGGCCCAAAGTAATTTCAAGTGTCCTTGTAAGAGGGAGGCTGGAGGGTCAGGGTGTGAGATTGGAAGATGCCACCCTGCAAGCTTCAAGATGGGGGAAGGGGCCATGAGCCAAGGAATGTGGGTGTCTCTCACGCTGGAAAAGGTGAGGAGATGGTTCTCGCCTGCAGCCTCCAGAGAGACACAGCTGACAGAGTCAGACTGGGCCACTGACAGGGCTCTAGCGTCCCAGATTCCCATGCCCCCACCCCTCTGCATGGCTCCTGAGCCCCTCTCTGAGGTGTCTCCTGGAAAACCTTTGGGCTCCTGCTCCCTGCCTGTTATCCCTGAATGTTGCTGCCTTTTGCAGCTTGTCTGTCCCTCTCTGAGGCTCATGATGTCATCTGCGTGGGCCCCCCGCGTAATTCTAACAGCACCCAGGTAAAGATAAAGGTGCTTTGTTGTTTTTCTAAAAAGGACTTCGCTGTTGCTTGAGTCACTCATAACTTGATCAATTATTTGGAGCTCTAAAAGCTTCCCAGTTGCTAGGAAACCACACCTTGGAGGCTGGCAAACCATTGTTAAAGTTGTTCCTAAAGTGCTGAACTTCTACAGTGACTTTGGAAAGTAGCTTGGGGAACAAAACAAAGCAAACAAAACAGAAAAGACTCGGGTTCCCTTTTCTTTCCGTCCAGAAGTGATCAAATCAGCTAAACTCACTGTTTCAAGCTTTCCTCTAACTAGATGTGTTTTTTTCTGCCGTTAGCCAGAAAGGCCCTTTCCTTCCTATTTTAGTCACAGAATAACCTGTCTCTTTAGGACAGTGGGGTCCTGTGCTGAATCCCACCCCCAAAGATGGGAAGAACTCGGGTGCTGCGTTTTGGGAAGCCCCGGCTGAGATGAGTGTATAACTGGGGCTGAGAGCCGAGAGCCTGGCCCAGCAAGCCAGGCAGTGAGGTGACCCGGTATCCCGCTCCCCATTTCTGCTGGAGCTGGAAGAGCCCCAAGGACACCAGCCCCATCAGAGGGAGCTGGGCCCAGAGCTGGGTGGGGCAGCCGACTACTCCCTGCAGAACACCTACCGCCTGCCTGACACTGGTGGCTGCTTTGTGGACATGCTTTTGAAAACCTCGTGAGGGTGATGTTATTGTCCCCACTTTATCCAGGGGTACCTGGGCACGGAGCAGGGCGGTAACTCACCTTGGATGTCTGTGGCAGCCTCCAAGATGGTCCCAGCAATCCCCACCACCTTCCTGCTGCTCCTTCCATGTAGCAGGATAGGTCTGTGCGACCAGTAGAATATGGCAGATGTGACGAGATGTCACTTCTGAGGTTTGCTTACAAAAGGCTGTGGCTTTCAGTTTGGCTGCTCTCTCTCGGATCCATCACTCTGGGTGAGGAAGCCATGCCGCGAGCAGCCCCGTGGGGAAGCCTGCACCTCAAGGACCTGGAGCCTCAAGCCAACTGCCACATGGTGCACTTGGAAACAGGGATGGCTGCCACGGCCCACACTCGCCTGCGGCTCCGGGGAGACACCCAGCCAGAACCTCCTGGTGAATCCACTCCTGGATTCCCTACCCCCACAGAGTATAAGATGACGAATGTGGCTTTAGGCTGTTAAATTCGGGATAACCGATACAGTGCCAACACTGGTAAGTGACGAGGCTGCAATGAATCCCAGGTATCCTGTGGCTGCATCTCCACCTGCATGGGCCATCCTGTACCTGGCAGGCCCCATCCTTAGCCTCTTTAAAAGTCCAGGAACCTTGGAATGTTTTTCTGACATCTCCTAGGCTGCTGGATTTACCAGGAAAAGGGACGGACCCACACCTTTTCCCTGTTTGAATCCATTGCATTTCTTCCAGGTGTTTCAATCCCTTCTGACTCGATTTGCTTTAATGAAGCTTGAGGCAAGTGCAATTTTCTGCCCATGGGGCTGTAACACTGTTCAAAGTCATCCTGGAGCTAAGCTAAGTGGAAAAAACCATATGGCATTGTCGCCTTCTCAGCCTGACCTGGCATGCACTCTCACCCTCATCTGTCATGCCTCCTGCTTTTCCACCTGGGGGGCTGAGAAGTCCGGCCATCGAAACCTTGGTTCCTGCCAGCCACGGGAGTTTGGAAGCTTTATCAGATTCCTGAAGCCTCGTTTCCTCATGGGAACAGTGCAGGTGAAAGCACCTTCCTCTCGGAACCGGGGGGAAGATGAGAGGAAATTAAATAGATGTATGGCCCCGCAGCAGGACTGGCGCTCTCCATTGTGTCTGAAATTGGCAGGTTCTTGGTCTCACTTACTTCAAGAATGAAACCACGGACCCTCGCGGTGACTGTTACAGTTCTTAAAGGCGGCGTGTCTGGAGTTTGTTCCTTCTGATATTCAGATGTGTTCCGCGTTTTCCTCCTTCTGGTGGGTTCCTCCTCTCGCTGGTTCAGGAGTGAAGCTGCAGACCTTCACGGCGAGTGTCACAGCTCATAAACGCAGTACAGACCCAAAGAGTGAGCAGCAATTAGATCTATCACAAAGAACAAAAGAACAAAGCCTCCACACCACAGAAGACAACCCGAGGGTGTCAACATTACTGGCTCCAGCAGCCTGCTTTTATTCCCTTATCTGGCCCCACCCACATCTTGCTGATTGGTCCATTTTGCAGAGAGCTGATTGGTCTGTTTTACAGAGAGCTGATTGGTCCGTTTTGCAGGGTGCTGATTGGTGCGTTTACAATCCCTGAGCTAGACACAAAAGTTCTCCAAGTCCCCACTAGATTAGCTAGACACAGAGCACTGATTGGTGCCTTTACAAACCTTGAGCCAGACACAGAGTGCTGATTGGTGTATTTACAGTCCCTTAGCTAGACACAAAGGTTCTCCAAATCCCCACTAGACTCAGGAGCCCAGCTGGCTTCACCTAGTGGATCCCCCAACCGGGCTGCAGGTGGAGCTGCCCGCCAGTCCCGCGCCCTGCGCCCTCACTCCTCAGCCCTTGGGCGGTCGATGGGACCCGGCGTGCCGCGGAGCAGGGGGCGGCGCTTGTCGGGGAGGCTGGGCCGCGCAGGAGCCCACGGCCAGGGGGAGGCTCGGGCATGGTGGGCTGCAGGTCCCCAGCCCTGCCCTACGGGGAGGCAGCTGACGCCCGGCGAGAATTCGAGCGCAGTGCTGGCACTGCTGGGGGACCCGGCGAACCCTCCACAGCTGCTGGCCCGGGTGCTAAGCCCCTCACCGCCCGTGGCGGGCGGCGCCGACCGGCTTTTCCGAGAGCGAGGCCAGCTGAGCCCCCGCCCACCCGGAACTCTCGCTGGCCCGCAAGCGCAGCGCGCAGCCCCGTTCCCGCCCGCGCCTCTCCCTGCACACCTCCCCACAAGCCGAGGGATCCGGCTCCGGCCTCGGCCAGCCCAGAGGGATCCGGCTCCGGCCTCGGCCAGCCCAGAGAGGGGGCTCCCACGGTGCAGCGGCGGGCTGAAGGGCCCCTGAAGCGCGGCCAGAGGGGGCGCCGAGAGCGAGCGGGGCTGCCAGTACGCTGTCACCTCTCACCATCACTGCCCTTGCTTGCTCTACGGCTGCTCAGACCCAAGGGGCAAGTTTCTCCAGGTATTTCCAAACCAGGGAGGGCTTTGTGTTTAGTTTAAGTCAAGGAGGCTGTCCCCTTTTCGAGGCTGTTTGGATTTCTTTCAGCAAAAACTAGCAGAAGTTATTACGCAGGAACTTTTTGTAGCATATAAAGAATGAATCCCGATAGGTACTGTGATGGTTACCGTTAGGTGTCAACTTGATTGGATTGAGAGATGCCTAGAAAGCTAGTGAAGCATTGTTTCTGGGTGTGTCTGTGGGGGTGTTGCCAGAGGAGACTGAAATTTGAGTCAGTGGACTGGGAGAGGAAGACCTCTCCTCCATGTGGGTGGGCACCATCCAATCCGCTGCCAGCGCGCCTCCAACTAAGCAGGCAGAAGAAGGTGGGAGAAGCTGGCTTGCTGAGTCTTCCACCTTCATCTTCCTCACATGCTGGATGCTTCCTTCCACTCCTCCTGCCCTTGGACATCAGACTACAGGTTCTTCGGCCTTTGGACTCTGGGACTTACACCAGTGGTTTGCCGAAATCTGTGCTTTCTGCCACAGATTGAAGGCTGCACTCTTGGCTTCCCTACTTTTGAGGCTTTTGGACTCGGGCTGAGCCACTACTGGCTTCCTTCTTCCCTAGCTTGCAGACAGCCTATCAGGAAACTTTGCTTTGTGATCATGTGAGTCAATTCTCCCTGATAAACCCCCTTTCATAGACACATAGATCCTATAACTTCTGTCACTCCGGAGAACCCTAATATAGTTACCAATAGAAACCTTACAACTTTCCCTAGATTCTGCAGGCTGGGTGGAGTTCACCACCCTTTGCTTTGAGGTATCAGTGGAGGAAGAACAGAGGCACTGGGGTCAGGACAGAATGGGGCCAGACCCCAGCTCCAGAACCTATGACCGCATAGGTTTGAGAGACCTGCGTTCCAGCCTGGCCTCTGCCTTTACTGTGTGGCCCTGGGCAGGTTCCCTAACCTCTGAAGCTCAAGTTCCTTACCTCTAGAACAGGAGCAATAATAGGACCTGCCTCATGGGTTTATGTAGAATACGATAGAGTGCAAAGTGTGCGACACAAGGCCCAGCACACAGTAGGTGTCAATCAGTGGTCACACTTGTCACTATCCTATAGGATGGGCCTTGGGCACACCTCCTAACTTTTCCAGCCTCAGTTGGCTCCTCTGTGAGATCAGGATTATAAAGATCTGCTTTTCAGGGTGGCTATGATTTGTTGAGAAATGAAGTATCTATCACACCATCATTTACACAATCATTCATTCATGGAGCCATTCATTCCTTCAATCATTTATTCAATCATTCATGAATTTATGGATTTAGTCCATCATCCATTCATTCTCCAGTTCTCAAGGCTCCTGTGCTGGGCATGGTCAAGACACGCTCCCTTCCAATGGGCAGATAGGTAAGCGGGGGCCTGAGGAAGTGCAGGGACTGTCATCAGCAAACCCTGCTCCAGAGTGGAGACAGAGCAGAGCATGTTCCACCCAGGAACCCCTTGGTTTGGAGGCATCTCCATCTCCTGCCAGCCCAGCTCAGGTTCTGCCAGTCCCTGAACCCTTCTCACACTCTCCACCCCACCCATCAGGAGTCATATGGCAGGGCTGTCGAGGCGTGTGAACCAGAGCAACTCCATCTTGAATAGGAGATGGGTAAAATGAGGCTGAAACCTACTGGGCTGCATTCCCAGACAGTTAAGGCATCTAAGTTACAGGGTGAGATAGGAGGTTGACACAAAATACAAGCCATACAGACCTTGCTGATAAAACAGTTTGCAGTAAAGAAGCCGGCCAAAATCCACCAAAACCAAGATGGCCATGAGAGTGACCTCTGGTCGTCTTTGCTGCCACACTCCCACCACCGCCATGACAGTTTACAAATGCCATGGCAATGTCAGGAAGTTACCCTATATGGTCTAGAAAGGGGAGGCATGAATAATCCGCCCCTTGTTTAGCATATCATCAGAAATAACCATAAAAATGGGCAACCAGCAGCCCTCGGGCTGCTCTGTCCATGGAGTAGCCATTCTTGTATTCCTTTACTTTCCTAATAAACTTGCTTTCACTTTTCTCCATGGACTTGCCCTGAATTCTTTCTTCCACGAGATCCAAGAGCCCTCTCTTGGGGTCTGGATTGGGACCCCTTTCCGGCAACATCTTTGCTTCCTTTCTCTTTAAATTAAATTAAATGCTCATGGTTTTTAAAGCCCCTATCCCTTTGCTCTCACCCCCAGTTGCCATGCCTCAGAGGAACGGCCTCCACCCCTTTCAGCTGTTTCTTCTGCTAATTACCTTCATGTTTTGGAATAACATGTTCAAATGCTATTTCTGATTTTCCAGTTTGAGATAATATGTGTAGACACCATGAAAGAAAAATCGTCTCTCATATGGCCCCTCTGGCCTCCTTCAACGAGACTTTAATGGACAAGCCACCTTCCCAGTATCACCATCTCACTGGGTCCTGTTAAATCAGTGTCCATCATTTCTGTGCTGTGTAAATAGGATTCACTGCTGGGCCACGGAAGGCACTATGATTATGTTTCTTTCTTTTTTTTTTTTTTTGGAGACTGAGTCTCACTCTGTCACCCAGGCTGGAGTGCAGTAGCATGATCTCAGCTCACTGCAACCTCCGCCTCCCGGGTTCAAGCGATTCTCCTACCTCGGCCTTCCAAGTAGCTGGGATTACAGGCACACACCACCACAGAGACAGGGTTTCATCACGTTAGCCAGTCTGGTCACAAACTCCTGACCTCTGGTGATCCACCCGCCTTGGCCTCCCAAAGTGCTGGGATTACAGGCGTGAGCCACTGCGGCCGGCTTATGATTACTTTTTGTTTATGCTGTGCCTAATAATTATCTAGTTTTTTGTTTGTCTAGTTTTCTCCACATTGACCACTAATTCATTTGTGAAAAATAGAAAATTTTTCTCAATGTGTTAAAACTATCAGATAAGCTCTCAATTTCTGCTTCCCCAGCCCCGTAGATTTGTTGTTTGGAACTTCCCATCTTCCTGTGTCAATCTGGACTGTTCACTCTCTAGGCCCACCACCCAGCTGTCACCCTGGGGACTCCCTCACTGTCACCCGGGTGTTCCTTTTGTGTCTCTCCTCCGTGGTATCCCTGTTTCTGGGATCCCAGATGGATTAACTGGGAAACAGGCTAGGCTGCTATAACAAAGAGACCCCCCAATACAGAAGTTTATGCAAACCAGAATTGTATTTCTCTCTCAGGTCACCATCTGAGTAGGTGGCCTAGGCTAGTGTGCTGGCTCCAGGCAGGTTTCTTCTCTCTTGTCGCTCTCTCTCTTTTGACCCACATTTTCTATCTTGAGATCTAAACTAGTTGCTCCAGGTCCTGAAACCACCTTTACAAAATTATAACTGAGGAAATTATGACAGTGAAAAAAATCAGACCTAACCGACTCCATCTTCCTTCTAACCTTTAAGCTGTCCTTGTTCATTCCTGGACATAGGCCAAACTAACTTTGGAAAGGAATTCAGTTCATGGTTTGACTGAAACAAAATTGATAACAGCCCTTTCCCAAAAAGACCCCCCTTCTTGCCTAGGGTCCAGTCTGCCTTTGCAGGACTAACAAATTAGCTACAAGATTAGAAATCACAGTTTAGAGGTCATGCAGCCTCTGGCTCTAAGAGTCTGAACCTCGGCATATTGCTCCTGGGGATAACATCATTATTGTAAAACCTAAGATCAGTGCTTGAGATATTTTGCAGGCCCTGTGCTCGATGGATTAGCCAACACCACCCAGACCAGTAATCTGGCTCAACCAGTTCTACCATTGCACCTAGGAAGAGAAGACATTAAGAAAACCTCACTTCAACCCACTATGATTCCATCTCCAACCTGACCAATCAGCACTCTCCACTTCCCAAGCCCCTACCCACCAAATTGTCTTCAAAAACTGTGATCCCGGCCGGGCGCAGTAACTCACGCCTGTAATCCCAGCACCTTGGGAGGCCAAGATGAGCAGATCACTTGAGGTCATGAGTTTGAGACCAGCCTGGCCAATGCAGTGAAACCCCATCTCTACTAAAAATACAAAAATTAGCCGGTCATGGTTGTGGGTGCCTGTAATCCCAGCTACTCGGGAGGCTGAAGCAGGAGAATCGCCCGAACCCAGGAGGTGGAGGTTGCAGTGAGCCAAGATCGTGCCACTGCACTCCAGCCTGGGCGACAGAGTGAGACTCTGTCTCCAAATTAATTAATTAATAAAGTTATAATTGAAATTAACACTCTGATCCCCGAATGCTTGGGGAGACTGATTTGAGTAATAATAAAACTCCAGCCTCCCTCACAGCCAGCTCTGCATAAATTACCTTCTCCATTGCAGTTCCCCTGTCTTGATAAATCGGCTCTGTCCAGGCAGTGGGCAAGGTGAACCCACTGGGTGGTTACACTTTCAGCACTGTGTCTACAGTCTGGCCAGCCTTTAGGATGGGAGGGCAGGTGAAAGACAGGCTTCTCCCCTCTTACAGTAGTGCCTGGAGCAGATCACTTCCATTGTCCTCGCTGTTGGCCCCACCTGGCTCTGGGGGACAATCCTGTGTCCAGATAACAACTCCAATGCGACGTACGAAGGGAAGGTCAGATGTCAGGGACAACCAGGAGTCCCTGCCTCATGTGTTTCCTTCTTTCCTGGTTTCGTGTTAGTGGCGCACACCCTCCAGCAACTTCCTGAGAAATTGCCTTTATGTGAACGGGAGCCAGTCTGAAAACTTCCCAACATAGGTCCATACCTTTGGGTCATCTCCCCTCACGGTGACCTGGGCTTGCTCCTGTGACTTGTTTTGGCCCATGAGACGACAGGAAATATGACACAAGCAGAGACTTGAGAGGCAGGTGTGCCTTGGGGCTTATCTTACTGACACTGGGGGCTCCAGTGTCAGAGACATTGGAACCAGAGTGACTCCATCTTGAATAGGGGCTGGGTAAAATGAGGCTGAGACCTGCTGGGCTATATTCCCAGGAGGTTAGGCATTCTTAGTCAACAGGAGATTCACAGATGGGGAACAAGTGAACGATGTTTACCAAACAGACCCCGGACTTAACAGATCCAGGAGATGTCCTGATGTCCCGACACCTTAAGAACAAAAGCATTCTTAGTTCAAAAATAAGTTTGGTGGCTGGGCGTGGTGGCTCACACCTGTAATCCCAGCACTTTGGGAGGCTGAGGTGGGCAGATCACCTGAGGTCAGGGGTTCAAGACCAGCCTAGCCAACATGGTGAAATGCATCTCTATTAAAAATACAAAAAAATAGCAAGGTATGGTGGCTGGCACCTGTAATCCCAGCTACTTGGGAGGCTGAGGCAGGAGAAGTGCTTGAACCTGGGAGGCGGAGGTTGCAGTGAGTGGAGATCGCACCATTGCACTCCAGCACTCCAGCCTGGGCGACAGAGCAAGACTCCGTCTAAAAAAAAAAAAAAAAAAAAAAGGTTTTGCTTTAAAGATTCTTGCAGAAGACAGTAGTTGCACAAAGATGAACAATCCTTAGTCACCAGCCCTAGTAGCAGAGCACACCTCCCCCAGGATTTTGTGCCTTTGTCTTATATATGAACAAGCACTGTACCTAAGGCACATGTGTTCCTCATCTTGCTCTTGGGAACACCGTACGCTGCCTATGGAGTAGCAATTCCTTCTTGCCTTTACTGTCTTAATAAACTTGCTTTCACTTTACTCTGTGGACTCGTCCCGAATTCTTTCTTGTGCAAGAACCAAAAACCCTCTCTTGAGTCTGGATTGAGACCGCTTTCTGGTAACAACTGGGGCGATCACAGGGCTGGCCTGGGAGAGCCCGCTGGGTGAGAGAGATGCCTGCTGATGGCATCTGTGTTGTCCTGAGCCAACCAGCAAACCTGTGAGTGAGGCCGTTCTAAAACATTCATCCTCAGCTCTGCCTCCCAGCCCACACACGGAATTGTAAGAAATAGTCAATGTTTTTACTCTTTTTTTTTTAAGACACTAAATTCTGGGGTGTTTCATTACACACCAAAAGCTAATTGGTACAAAACCTTGCATGGGTAAAAAGCCTTCATTTCCCTCTCACGTGTAATCAATAGTTTGAAGGGGCATAGCCAGCATTCGAGGTCCAAGAATTTCTTCTTAGAGTTTGAAAGCAGCGCTCCCTTCCCTTATTGCTGCTGGGAAGCCTGAAGACATATTCTGATTCTCCTAAGCTATCGTTTACAGTGTTCTCAGTCTCCCTGAGTTCTGATCCTCAAAGGGATGGCCCTGGAAGTGGGTAGGCTTTCCACCATTGCGCCGGGCACTGTAGTTTCTTTTCATCTGCAAAGTTTGATTCTTCAGGTCAGAAACATTTTGAATATTTTATTTCCTCCATTTTCTTTGTTGAACTCCTCATATCTGTGTGCTGAGGCCTCTTTGAGGAGGTTAGCTTTGTTTGTTTGTTTATTTATTTATTTATTTATTTATTTTGAGATGGAGTCTCACTCTGTCACCCAGGCTGGAGTGCAGTGGCATGATCTCTGCTCACTACAAGCTCTGCCTTCCGGGTTCAAGCTATTCTCCTGCCTCAGCCTCCCGAGTAGCTGGGATTACAGGCACGTGCCACCACGCCCGGCTAATTTTTGTATTTTTAGTAGAGACGGGTTTCACCATGTTGGCCAGCTTGGTCTCAAACTCCTGACCTCAAGTGATCAGCCTGCCTTGGCCTCCCAAAGTGCTGGGATTAACAGGTGTGAGCCACCACGCCCAGCCGAGGTTATCTCTTTTTCTCACCTATTTTCTTTGGGATTCTCTTTGATATTTTTTGTTCTACTTCCTGAGAAATTTCCTCAACCGTATCTTCCAATCTTTGCAGAGATCTTTATTTTTGCAATCATGCTTCTAATTTCCATGGTTTCCTTAGAGTCTCCACGTGTTTCCTTGGCTATGTTTTCCATATTCTCTTATCTCTATGCAGATATCCATTATCCGAGTTTTGAAAACGGTATTCCACCTGGCACTGTAGCTAAAGGTTGCAGCTTCTTTTCCTTCCTCTTTGCTTGTTTGCTTGTTTTTGTCTTGGTCTTTTCCACAGCAGGGCTGTCCTTGAGTGTCTGGCATTCTGGGCTGTCTGCTTCTATCTCAGCAGCTGCCTGGAATCTCTGTGTGCCTGTGGCAGAGTGGGGATGCGTGTCAAACTGCCAGCTTCCCAGTTGGATGCTTTGGTGGAGCAGTACCTTTTTTTTTTTTTTTTTTTTGAGATGGAGTCTCACTGTCGCCCAGGCTGGAGTGCAGTGGTGTAATCTTGGCTCACTGCAACTTCCACCTCCCATGTTCAAGCCATTCTCCTCCCTCTCAGCCTCCCGAGTAGCTATGATTCTAGGTGCATGCCACCATGCCTGGATAATTTTTGTGTTTTTAGCAACGACAGGGTTTCGCCGTGTTGGCCAGGCTGGTCTCAAACTCCTGACCACTGGTAATCCGCCCGCCTTGGTCTCCCAAAGTGCTGGGATTACAGGGGTAAGCCACCGTGTCTGGCCGATGGAGCAGTATCTCGAGGGACCTCCAAGTGTCCAAACCTAGGTCTTTTCTCTCCAGCTGGCCAGTTTCCCAGTGAGGGGGCCTTTAACCTTCCCCGGGGTGTGGGTGGGTTGGGTGTGACCTGTTCTCAGTTGGCTGCCTGCCGCCAGGTCTTCCTGGGGTCCCGGTCCCCGCAGCCTCTCGCACAATCCCTGGGGAATGAACCTCCCGCCTTCTGCAGGGCTGGGAGAGGGATGCTTGCTGAGGAAGACATTCAGAAAACCTCAATTTTCTCCCCACCCTCAGAGGTCCCTGGTGCCTCCAGGCCCAGAGCCTTTCTGGGGTTCTATGATGCAAACCAGTTGCCTTGTGGTTGCCCCCACCGCGGGCTTGGGCTCTGCTCTCTCAGTCTCTAAGCTGTTTCCACTCCCCCATGTGCCTTCTTGCTTCCCATCTTCAAGGCCACGGTCCAGCTCCCGTTCTCTTTGTTTTGATCCCTTCTTTGACTCTCGAGCCTGTGGGAGCGAGGGTGTTTGATCTGCAGTGTTGAGCAGGGTTCTCTGGGCTCCTGCAGGGGACCCAGTGTTGAGCCCACATACACCTCGCTCAGTAAGTAGTCCCTAAGGACTGTGCAGGGCACCAGGGACACGGTGGTGAGTGAATGATGGTCCCTGGTCTCACATCTGTGTCCGTGCCAGTGCCAGGGGGCCTGGGCTGTGGGGAAAGGAGGAATCGAGGCGCTCAGCTCAGGAGGCTTTTCAGGAGCAAAGGGTGCACAGTTGGTTTCAGGCAGGGAAAGGTGTGAGCAGCGGCTGGGAAAACACACACCAGAATGTCACCTTCCGAGGCCTGAGGCCCCACCAGGTAGCCAGAAGGTCCAGGATACAGTTTAGTAATTAAGACCTTGGGGCTCTGCGGACACGCTGCCTGGGGTCAGACCCTGGCCCCAACACTCACAGTTTGTGGCCATGAGGGACTCACCCACCTCTTCACGCTTCAGTTTCCTTATTTATAAAATGCGCGGAAAAATCACAGAATCCTCTTGATCAGGTGGCTGTGTGGATGGATGAGATGATGTGTACACAGCCCTCCGTATAGAGCCTGGTGTGTCCTCTGTGAATACTAGGAATGACATGGAGGGCAGGTCAGGGAGGAAGCCAGGTCACCCAGGCTTCCCCCACCCCCCGCCAAGCCAATCCCTGGACCTAGCCCAGTGGGTGGAGGTCAGGTCGGGCAGGAGGGTAGGTCACCCAGGGGCGCCCCCGCCAAGCCAAGCCCCGGACCTAGCCCAGTGGGTGTCAGGAACGTCAGGACCCGCTCTCCGGAGATGAGCTCCGGAGAGATCCAGGGAGGGAAAGCATTGAGCATCATTTCTCCCAGCCCTCTCAAGGCCATCTCTGCCTGCCACAGCTCTGAGCGCAGGGCCTGGTGTGGAGTGGGGGCCCATCCATGTGTGCAGACCCCGCTGGAGCAGGCCAAGCTGTCCCTGGCCAGGGGCCAGCTCCCCACCACTCCACAGGCTCCAGCCCTCACACGCCTGGCCCTCTAGAAGCCCTGCTCACTACCTCTGCCACCATCTGGCTGCCCCTCTGTCCTCTGCAGCCCCATAAACCACCACCAGAAACTCCCCAGGAAAGAGCCCTACCCTTGCCCTGCTCAAGAAAGGCAACGTGGTGCCACCAGGGCTACAGGCCCCGCTTTGCTGCTTCCCTGCGTGCTGTGGACCTCCCAAGGGCCCTTGCCTGTGAGCAGGGAAAATCCCTACCTAAAGGGGTGGCTTTGTCACCAGGACGAAGTGCCCAGGGATATGGGGTCCCTGGCGCTGCCATGACAAATGACTGCAAACTGAGAGGCTTAAAAGAGCATATTTATTATCTTCCAGTCTGGAGGTCAGAGGTCTGACACAGGCCTCACTGGGCTGAAACCAAGGTGTGGGCAGGGCTGGTTCCTTCCGGAAGGTCCCAGGAGGATCTGTTTCCTTGCCTTTTCCAGCTTCTAGAAGCTGCCTGTGTTCCTAGGCTGGTGGCCCCCTCCTCCATCTTCACATCCAGCACCGCTGGTCGAGTCTTCATGTCATGCCTTGCTGAGCCTTTTTCTGTTGCTACAGCTGTCTCCAATACAACCAGGAACGGTCCTACACTTTCACGGACTTGGGTGATTAGATGGGTCCCACATGGATAATCCAGGCTAAATTCCATCTTCAGGTCCATGACCTTAATCACATCTGCAAGATCCCAGAGCTGGCAATTGGTCAATGTTGGCTGAAGTTGGGTTTGGGGAGGCTGAGGCTGCAGGATCCATCACCACCCTGGGCCTCCGCACATGCCTGCCACTTCCACCCCTGGGGTTTGAATCCTGACCCCTCCACTTATTAATTCTACTAACTTGGGTATCAGTTAAATTACCTCATCTCTCTAGGCCTCCTGTTCTCCATGTGTACAATGGGTATAACAATAGCAACCCCCATGCTCTGCAGAAAGGATAGCATGCAGCCACAATGAGACATCCCTTCCCTGTAGGGGCCGGGTGACCTCCAGCACAGCAGGACTGCGGGGTTCAGTCGAGTCACCCCACAGTACTGAGGAGGAGCGGCATGCCCTCCCACTATGTACACACACAGTCAGAGAGGTTAGTGAGTGGCCAGTGACGCACATCCAGGAAGTGGCCACCTCCTCCCTGTGCTCTGTCCTGGAGCTGTGGAACTGAGCGCCAATGAAGCCCCTGCCAGCAGACCCGCAGAATAGCACCTGCCTTCCTCCTGCTGAACCTGAAGCCCAGAATTCCCTCCTGAAAGCCAGAGGCAGGGCCTGGCTCCAGGCAGGGTGCAGGGAAACCCAGGCGTGCGTGGGACACTTACCCACACACTCTCCTGTTTAGCTCAGCCATTGTGGCAGGTGGGGCGGGGCCTCTCTGGCTTCCTGAAGAATCCAGGTACCCTGTGGTTTCTCTCCCCCGCAGGCTTCCATTCTCTGGGACCCTCAGGCACGTCTGTGGGGGAGCACTGGATGAGGAGTTATGTGCTACCTGTGTGATTGCGAGCTAATTCTTTAACCTCTCTGAATCAGTTTCCTCATCTGTATCATATTCTCATGGAGAGTGTGAGTGTGTGTGGAGATCATGATGGGCTATGCACACCTGCTGCCAGACAAAACAAGACAACTATCATTACGGAGTGTCATGTGCCAAGCACTGTGTTTTGCACTATCCAAGTTAATCTTGTCCTTCCTCTCCCACCACAAACCTACAAGATAGGTCGTCTTATTAGCTCCATTTCCTCAGTGATGAATTCAGAGCTAGGGAAAGTTAAGAGCTGCATTAGGAGCTAGAGGGAGCAAACCCTTGACGTGAACCCAGCTTCCCAGTGCAAAGCCCATGGGCATCCCCACCCACTGTATTGCCTCCTGATGGGCTCCACCTCCATGAGGTTGGACTCACTAAAAACAAACAGCATTCTGGACCTCGTTTTTGATGTAACATTTGTTATTTTATTGGAAAAAGCTGGTATTAACATATTTATAGTTTTATTCAACAATTGGGTAATTTGTGAGACACCAAAGAAAAAAAGAATGCACCTATGAGTTACAGAGTCCAAACTGATCAGGGCTGACAACTTGACCACCATGTATCCCACACCACCACCCCCACCACCACCACCACCAACAGCTTCGTCCTCAGAGAAGAGCTAAATTAAAAACAAAACCAAAAAAACCCCAACAACTTCACAATGACTATGTGAACGCCCGTACATTCGAGAGTACCAGGAAATGTAAGCAGAGCCAGGATGCAAGTCTGTGACTATTACACTGGTCCTTCCACCGTTTCTGGTTTTGTCCCTCCCCTCGACACCTTTTCTTAACACACATTTGATCTTCACAATTTGCTTTGGACATCATTATTTTCCAGGGATCCAGAGACATACTTTTCTTCAAAGAAGATCTTTTCCTTTCTTTTTTCTTCTTTTTGGTTTGGTACCCAAAGTTTAAAACAGAAGTAAGGAACTAGGAACTGTATTAAGACCTCCTTTTGAAGGACATGTAAGATTTGTACTTTGAAGATGGTAAATGTTAAATCTATGATGTGACAGTAACCTCTAGCTGCAAATACAAGTTTCTTCTCTTAACATTTGACTCACAAAGGGAGATGGATCGTAGCAAATATCCAAGTAATGGGTAAGGCCCTCAGAGCTGGGTTTTGGCTTTAACACGCTATCTATACAATTGACCACATTCTCGAACCTCTTTACAAGGGGGAAAAAAGTAATCCAATCCTTTGATTGTTAAATTTAATTAGAATAGATATGTACATATAATACTGTCCAGGTCAACTGGATTTTATAGTGATATATAAACAAACATTCTTCATTCACGTTGATTAAAAAAAAATCAATGATCCATTTCCCTGTGTAAATGTTATATGGCCAGAAGTGAGTACACATGCACTTTGTGCTTTTACACACACAAAAGTATACTGTAATCCACTGAGAATAACCTCAGCTGGGTCTGTTTCCTGGGTTATGTTATATCTTGTAAAAAACAAAACAAAACAAAACCAAAAAAAAAGTTTGGATTTGGCTGGGTCTCTGCTCCCCACTTTCTGAATCAAAATGCCAAACTACGTGGCTCTGCTGCAAGTCCATGAGCAAAGACGACTCAGAGGGGTGGGCAGGTTTGGTATCACCAGAACAGGAGCATCTACCATGGAAACACCACCTTCTCTGTGGCCCTCATTGTCAGAGGGGCAGAGTTCCCGAGGGATGTGTCCTCTGGGACTGTGTGGTCCTTAAAGTAAAGGTATCCTAAAATGGTCAGAACATGCAATTTCCTTTCAAAGGCAGTTCAGTGCATTGGCTCAAGGAGGGTGCAAGCCCAGGATGAAGTGGAGTCCTGGGGAGGGCCACACTCCTGAAGCCACCAAGCAGAGCGAGGAGCTCCGGGGGGTCTTCTCTGTCTTCCATCCTGCGTCTCAGTTCTCCTGGACCCTTGTCGTCGCCAAGTCTGCCATGTCCTACTTCACAAGACAGAGGCATTCCTTTCCAAACCTTCCATTTGAATGTCGCTCTAACATGAGCCGCCCACGAGATGGACTGGAGAGAACCTTGTGTGAAGACCCGGACGGGTTCCTGACACCACTGCACGGCACCTGCCATGGGTGACCTGTGCATCCGCTCAGAGCCTCAGCTTCTTCTCGTGGACAGAGGGGATCCTAAGGGTTCCCGCTTATCCCCAGCATCCAGCCCAGAGCCTGGCACGCTTCGAGAAGTTGGTGTTTATGGAGGAAATGAATGAACACCCACCTCACAGTCAGGAGGAAGATTCCAAAAAATCGTGCATGGGAGTCAGTGTCCGCTCCGGGAAGGTGCCCAGTGAATGCTGAAGGGTGAGGCGGCAGGGAGGGCTGCAGAGGGTAAGTCAACTGCCTCTAGGGCTGAGCACCACGCCTGGTACACAGCAGAGGCTCAGCAAATGGCAGGTGAATCAGATGAGGACACAGGCACACAGAAGACAAACCCCACTCCGCTCCTCTCGGGAAACCGCACCAGACCTGGGACCTGGGATGTTTCAAGACATTCAGAAGACCTAGGAGAGGAGCTTGCATCTGCAAATTCTCAGCATGAATTCACCATCCAAAAAACAACGGTGAGGTCATCAGCTCTGAGACAGGGCGAATTGCCCCATTTATAACCAAAAGAACCCCTGGCTGGCTCGTTTGAGACTCATCATCTGTCCCTGGAGCCCTGATCTGGGACCAGTGAGGCATGGGGGAGAAGCAGCTCCCATCAGCTCCGGTCCCTGCAACAGGACGCACTGGAGTGAAAAATTAACCCGGACGCATAAAAAGTCCTATTGATGTGGTAAAGACCGCAGACCGAGACAGGAAGGGACGTGAATGAAAGAACCCTGAACTGTAAGACTCCACAGTCATGTCCATTTTATGATTTGTGGCGGTGAACGCTTCCTTTCCTTTTTATTTTTTTAAACAGACAATTACTGCCAAACACAATTCTGGCCTAGGAAAGCTGGGGCAGGGAGGGGGCCCAAACTTCCTGTGTCCACACACTGCCACCTCTGCAGCTGTCCTCATCAGTGCTGTGACTTTCTTCCCCTCCTTGCATTGCGGTCGTGAAGGTCATGTCGGGGATGACTTGCATGAGGCTGGGTGGCAGGGGCCGGGAACTGCACATACCTAGTGCATGTCAGAGTTTACCTTGTCCTGGAAGATGTACAGGTTGTTGGTGGCGGCGATGGCAATGATGTTCTCAGCCGGGTGCCAGGCCGTGTGCAGGATCTTCTTGGTGAAGTCCAAGCTGTCCACACTGATGTCATCACGCCGGCGCTTGCCCCCCACGCACACGCGCCGTGGCTTGAGCACAGCCCGGGGCTTGCTGCTTTCCCTCGAGGCCTCCAGGGTCACGTCCCGCTTGGTGTTCCGATCGAACATGCGGAAGAAGTTGTTGTAGGCCCCGGTCATGATGACGCTGGTGGGAGAAGGAGAGGCATCAGGTGAGGAGGAGCACAAGCCCCTTCTCGAGAAATAAGCCCAGGTGTGGGGGCTCACGCCCATAATCCCAGGACTTTGGGAGGCCCCGGTGGGAGGATTGCTTCAGCCTAGGAGTTCAAGACCAGCCTGGACAACATAGCGAGACTCCACCTCTACAAAAAAAAATTAAAAATGACCGTAGTCCCAGCTATTCAGGAGGTTGAGGCAGGAGGATCACCTGAGCCTGGGGAGGCAGGAGGATCACCTGAGCCTGGGGAGGCAGAGACTGCAGTGAGCTGTGATTTACCACTGCAGTCTAGCCTGGGTGACAGAGTAAAACTCTGTCCCAAAACAACAAACAAATGAAAAAGCAATCCCAGAGCCTACAGAGCCATCACTCCCTGGAAAGGGAAACCACACCTGCCTCTATTCCCCTGTATCTTGGGGTCTCTTATACCCCCTCACATGTCAGCTGCCACCAACATGCAGACTTTGGGGCCAGGAGCTAAGATCCTTTTTATCCTCTGCCCCAATCATCATGAAAATACCCTCCTGGCCAGGCGTGGTGGCTCACACCTGTAATCCCAGCACTTTGGGAAGCCAAGGCGGGCAGATCACCTGAGGTTAGGAGTTTGAGACCAGCCTGGCCAACATGATGAAACCCTGTCTCTACTAAAAATACAAAAATTAGCTGGACATGGTGGTGGGCACCTGTAATCCCAGCTACTCAGGAGGCTGAGGCAGGAGAGTTGCTTGAATCCAGGAGGCAAGGTTGTAGTGAGCCAAGATCGCGCCACTGCACTCCAGCCTGGGCAATAAGAGCAAAACTCCGTCTCGAAAAAAGAAAAGAAAAGAAAAGAAAAGACCCTCCTGTAATTTCTGTTAGTCCAGGAGAGAAAGCTCTGGCCTTCCAAACAGACTGTGCAACCACAGCAGGAGGTAGACATGGAAGCAGCTGGGACAGAAAACCACCAGGCCCTGCTTCCCTCCAGGGGCCCGCCTGTCCCGAGGACTCGGGCGAATAAACAAACATGCATCGCCATGAGGGTCGGGGCGAGCAGTGCTGACGTGCAGGGGCTCGCTGCCCTCACCGTCCCGCTAAAGAGAATTCCACACCATTTCTCTGCTCTCCCTGCTCCTAAGGAGAAGGGGTTCCTGCCGGTGGGAGGAAGGGTAAGTTCATCCACATAGTAAGAGGCAGGAGAGAAAGCACAGTTCTGTGGGCCTGCGCCCAGAGGGAGGGTTTTGGGGTTTGGCCTCTGCAGGGCCCTGGAGCAGCTGTGAGGTGCAAGGTAACTGGGGAGGAAGAGGATGTTACGAAAAGCGACCATAAAGAAGTTGTCCTGCTGAAGGCTCTTCAGGGAGGAAATCCTGTTTCCTTTTGGAAGCTGAGCTGGGCTTCCTGAGGGTGACACTGCTCTGTGACAGAACCAGGTGGATCCCTGGGTCTCCAGGGGTTATGCACAGAGGACAAAAGCTCACACGTGAGCTCCGGCACTGCAGTCAGGGGCTTGGGCTCTGGCCAGTCCGCCTGGGTCCGGATCCCAGCTCTGCCCTACCCTGACATGCGCACTCTCTTAGTTTTCTATAAGAACTGGGATCAACAAGGGAACGCAGCCCCTGGTGAGCGTGAATCAGGGGACATAGGCTGAACACCCCGCACAGTGCTGGGCTTGAGGCACTTTGCTTCTTGTTATTTACCAGGTACTCCTCGATCCTAATCGTCCATGTGACCAAAGCCGCACCCGCTTTATATGTGACTCAGAGCCTGGGACAAGGGAAGCAGCATGCGAGGGGGGCCGGGTGAACGAGTCCCACAGAAGGGCCCTGCCCAGGCGCCACAGGCTGACTGGGGGAGGCCACACCCTCCCCGCGCCAGCACAGTGGGGAGGCAGCCCCCTTTGTTCTTCAGGGAACAGTTCACAGAATGAACCTGGGTGATTTCACACAATGCTGGTTCTTCTGATCCATTTAGTGGAAGGAGAGCGACATAATTAAAGTCATTTGCAACCCACACAGTTCCTGATCCTCCCCCTGTTCGGGTGTGGAATTCAGCTGACACGTGCTCTGGGGGAGAGGGAGGGGCCCCTCTCATCCTAGAGCACCAGGCCGCACCACCATGAGAGCCATTCCTCACATTCAGGCAGGTTTCTTAAATTCCAGAAGGTTCCCTTAACAGGGAAAAGGGCAGGGGAGCTGCTTCACCTCTCCTAGCCTCATCTGCATGTGGGACCACAACGCCGGCTGCTTTCAGCCCCAGTGCTCCGCTCCTCTTTCCTTTGGGGAAAGAAAGGCTCCTGCCCTCGCCACCCGTGGCGCCTGTAATCCCAGCTACTTGGGAGGCTGCGGCAGGAGAAGTGTTTGACTCCAGGAGGCGGAGGTTGCAGCGAGCCGAGATGGCGCCACTGCACTCCCTATCCCTGTGAGCGGTCAATCACAGTGCTCTCCTCGCCCCTTGGCCTGGCCAACTTGGGCATGTGATATCCCTGTCCATGCTGATTGGTGCAAAAAGTGGGCAAGTGACCCACACAGAGCCAATCAGATCCTTCCATGAGAGTTTTACACAGTCCCTGGGAGGGGTTGGCTGGCTGAGGATAATGGAAAGGGGAATGATTTGGGGGTCATCTCTGAAGAGGGAGAGGATGAGGCCAGTGTGTAAGAAGAAGCAGGGAGGAGCGGAGATGGGGAAGCATGGAGAGAAGAAAACGGCCGGAGAGAAAAAAACAGCCCTAGGGATACAGCATGGGCCCCTGGGGGAGCCTTGCCCAGGACTCCTCAGAGCAAGTGTAGGTGTGTTTGACTCCCGCACCCGAGCACGCTCGGCTGGCACAAATCTCTCCCCCCAGGCAGGACAGATCAAGGAGAACTTCATGGAGGAGGGGGCGTTGAAGCCTGTTGTGGGAGGGCCTGCGGGATTCCTCCGGGTAGGTAACCTGGGGAAGGGCAGGCCTGCCAATAGGATAGTCCACGCAGGATCACTGCGGCACCCCTGCGCATACGAACTGGGATCTTGCTGAAGGCATCACACATGGTCTCATCCCCAAAGCGGCCACGAAGGCCAGTTTCCTAGAACCACTTTCCAGCCGAGCTGACTTAGGGGCTTCCTCAAGCACACGGTGGCGAGGGTAGAATGTGGACCAGAGACTGAGAGAGTCCAGCAGGAGAGCTGCTGCCTCTCCACAGCACGCTGCCCATCTGCGTTCTGCCGGTGCTAGGAAGCCCCACGGCAGGGGCCATCGGGCAGCCACCACGCGGCAGCAGCGGCGCTCTGCGGGCCGGACCAACTGTCAGAGGGGGTCACCAGGAATAAGAGGGCAGCAACTGGGAGCCTGCCAGGATTCGAGTTTGCTTTGGTCTGCAAGGATGTGGGAACCTGGGGGGAATCCTTGCTTCTCTCCTGAGCCTCTGAGGCCCTGGAAGGCAGGACCCAGGGTCTGTTTATCTTGGGACCCCTGACCATGGGGCATGTTGTTCTCAGAACAGTGCTCAAAGTGAACTGGGAGGTGGCACACCTCTATGCCTTCTAGAAACACCCACAGCCACTGGACACACCTGAGGTCCCCAGTGAAGGGCTCAGAACAGGTTGAGTCATAGTAGCCCCCCAGGGCACCCCACCCATTGCGGGAGGCAAACAAGGACAGAGGTTCCAGCCGGGCAGAGCAGAGCCAGCTGTGGAGCGAGAGACAGTGAGGCGGGTGGGGGACCACTAGGACAGGGCGTGGCTGGCGTGTAAAGTGCACGCAGGAAGTGGCGGGTGGGAGGCAGGACAGGAGAGCCCAGGCCTAGACACCACTGTCAGCCTGGGGATGCTTGGCGGCTTCTCCAGTCCTGGGAGCAGGCATCACCTGGCCGCGGGTGCCCCCTGGTGGCAGCTTGAAGGAAGGACGGGCAGTGGGTCGCAGCCAGCGGGGACCTACCCCGCAAAACGCACATAAAAGCTGGAATCAGCTTGTTACAGCTGCAGGTCCCTCTCGTCCGATTTGGATAGACCCTCTTGGGACCCACTGCACCAGGGAACCCCAAATGCAGCTCAGCAGCATGGGAGGAGCCCTGTCTGCTGGGGGTGTCTGGGATCTATCTGGGGGCAGGGCCTAGAGAGAAGGTCCTGTGTCCTGCTGACCCAGCTGTGCCAGCCCAGCCCCGGGTCGGGCCTCCATCCTGGTTTTCTAAGCATCCTTTAGTGGCCCCCTGTGATCACCATGCCAGCCCCTTGCCTGAGCTCGGGCTCTGCTGAGAGACCCCTGCGGGCTGGGGGAGCTCCAGGATGTTGGCAACTCTCTCAGAAATCTCCTTCCCTGGACACAATGACTTGGCCCCCCACTTGGATCCAGCCCTGCTTCCAGGGGGCTCCCTCCTGGTCCTGTCTCTGCCATGTCCAGCCCTCCCCTCATCCCACACACCAACCCTGATGGTCCCAGCCCTATGCCCAGAGCCACAGAGAGTCATAGTGCGGCAGCTCTCACATGACCACCACAGTGCCAGCCACCCTCAGAGGTCTGGGAGAGCCCAGACCTGTCATGTTGACTGATGCCATCCACAGGGTGGACAGCCCCCCACCAGGTGATGCCCAAGTCAGGGCTGCTGGCTCTCACTCCACCCTCCTTGCCCACCACACTGGACAGGACTGCGGGGAGGAGGTGACAGTACATGGGCTCCTGACAGGTGGTATTCTGATCTAGCAGCCAGTGTAGTCTTTATCTCCACACTGTGTATCATCTGGAGACCCACTTCTGAATCTGGGCGGCTGGACAAAGAGGCATCCTGTCCTTGAGGAAGCAGCTGTAGGAGACACTGAGAGGCCACCTCTCAGCTTCTGAGATCGAAACTCACAGATGGAGAGTAGGCTTGTCCATTTCAGAATCTTACGCCTGGCAGGACCCTGAGCACAAAGCTGATGTGATTTGGGAGGGCAGAAGAGGGATTTTCCCACCTCCAGAATGGAGGAAGAATCCCAGAGAAGAGACACAGAGGTAAGGACCCACGGGTAGAGGTCAGGTCAGGAGCCCCTGCCACAGCCCCCTTGTCCATGCCCGCCCTGGGCTGAGCCCAGGCTAGGGAGACACAGGAACTCACTTCTGGCACTGGGGCGCCACTTTCCAGGCAGGTGGGGTTGAGAGACGGCTGGACTTGTGGATTGTGACAAGCCCTGGAGGGTGTAGGAGCTCCAAGGTGCCCCTGAGCCTCAGCGGGCCCGAGTGGGGTGTCACCAGGAAGAGAGGGAGACAGTAGTGGTGATGGGAGGAGGGGTGAGTAGACCGATGGTCAAAGCCACAGGGGTGCAGGGCTGTCTCAGGACATACAGGTGTGGATGGATGATGGTGACCGGGTGCTGGGCTATAGCCCTCGCCCCCGACAAGCTGGGAGAGGGGAGCACATCACCGGGGACCCTGAATTAACTAAACATGTTCCCACTACTGCCCATAGGGCAGGCGCCAACGTGGCTGTGAGGTTCAGTGACAGAAGATGAAGAATTTCATGTCCTGCCCCTTGAATCTGAGCGCTGAGAGTTGGACCTGCTCTGGAAAGCGTGGGCTTCACCCAGACACCTGGACCCATTGAGGCTGAGTAGCCCCATGCTGCGGGTCACCGGAATCCCAGCCCAGACCCCTGCAGGGCAGAAACCCTCCCTACGGTGAGGTGAGGTGCGGGCTGAGGTCAGGGCTTACCTGTCGCTCCCGTTCCAGGCACATTCAAACTTGTCGAAAATGCAGTCGTTCTCGTACAGGGAACAGAGCTTGCTCCGAAGGTAGTCATGGACCTGGTGGGATAAGGGATGAGGTGAGTGGACGGGGCGTCCCGACCATCCTGGCCCTTCCACAAGAAGGGTCTCAAAGAGCAGCGAGGGTCTGCATGCCCTGACATGGCCCAGCGCAGACCTGCTCATCTCAGCGAGGGTCTGAATGCTCTGACACAGCCCGACACAGCCCTGCTCATCTCATCGGGAGGCCCATGACCAGGCACACGGCTGACCCCGACCGTGACACAGCCCAATACAGCCCTGCTCATCTTATCGGGGGGCCCACGACCAGGCACACGGCTGACCTCCACCGTGACACAGCCCAATACAGCCCTGCTCATCTTATCGGGGGCCCACGACCAGGCACACGGCTGACCTCTGAGCTGTGGCCAGAGACGGGAGTAGCACCAGGGAGCAGAGTCCACTGTGACAAACAGAACGCTCACAGCACAGGGGCCAGGACCACCTGGGGTCCAGATCCTGGCTCTGCCCTCCCAGCTGTGTGATCTTGGACAAGTGATTTCATCTCTCTGAGCCTCAGTTTCTTCAAACTTAAAGTGATAAGAGGGCGAACCTCACAGTGGTTCTGGCATTAAGTGCAGGGCAGGCCTTTTGAGGGTAATGATCTCCGAGAACACAGGGTGGCGGCCATCAAGAAAGGGGAAGAGGGAACCCACAGAGGTTTCTCATCCATCCACAGCACGAGGCACTGAGGCTCACAGGGTCACACAGCCTCTAAGAGGCTGACCAGGACCCTTCCCCAGGATTCCCGTACCCCACAGGAGAGAGGGTGACACCCCAGGACCTGCATCCACCTGACTGCAGCCGGTCCTACAAGCCCTGTACCCGGAGGGCCGCATGAGTGCCAGCCCTCTGCTGAGGCTGGAGCTGCCAGGACAACAGGGCACGGGCTCTGCCCTCTGGGTGCGGAAGGGAAGGTAACTGGGTGCCATGGAGCCTGGTTTCAACTCCCAGGAGTTGAAATTAACAACTCCAACGAACACAGAAAATGTGAAGGGTGGTGTGAACGTCAATTTCGTGTGTCAGCTTGGCTGGGCCAAGGTACCCAGATACTTGGTGTTTCTGTGAAGACATTTTGTAGGGGAGGTTAACATTTAAGCTGATATACTGAGTAAAGCAGGCTGCCCTCCATCATGTGGGGGGCCTTGTCCAATCAGTCGAAGGCCCTGATAGAACAAAGACAGACCTCCCTGAGGACCGGGGGATTCCGCTAACAGATGCGTGTGGGCTCGCATAGTCACTCTCCCCTGGGTCACCAGCCTGCCCGCCTGCTCTGCAGATTTAGAACATGCCACGTGAGCTAATTCCTTCAAATCTCCCTTCTTTCTCAGTCTCTATCCCCATCCTGTTGGTTCTGTTTCTCTGAGCCATCTGACTAATATGGTGGCAAGGACTACACAGGAAAACAGAGTGGCACTAGGGGAAGCAGGATTGGGAGGAAGGGCCTGCTATTCACTGCACACAGGATGGTTAGACAAGGCTACCTGACTCCCGCCTGGGGCCCTGCTCATCCCTCCCCAGCCCCCGTGTCCTCCTGGTGACCCTTGCCTTCCCCTTGGGCCCCTGGGCTGCAGCCCCACCAAGCTGAGGGTCACTGTGTTCCTGTCTGTCTGGGACCCTCGAGGGTGAGGCCGAGGTTCTTCCTTCTCTCTGGGTCCAGGGTCTAGCACTGTGTTGGGCACAGGGTACTGGCTCAGTATGTGTAACAACTAAAATCAAGGGGGATGAATGGCAGCAGGTTTTAGTGTTCGTGTCCCACCCCCGGCTCTGCATTTTTGTGTGTCCTCCTTACTCAGCTCCCAGCAGCCTTGGTGATGCACGCGTCCAAATGCGCATGCTGTTCTCTCTGCCGTGCACTAAGCATCTCCTGCCCTCTAGTGGCAGGGTGAGGAAGAGCTCTGGAGAAAGACTGTCAATCTAAGGTCCGCTGCTTGCTGGCTCTGTCACAGATTTGCCATTTAACTCAATTGTCTTCCAATAAAATGGGATGGGGAGAATACCGGCCCCACCTCCCAGGACAGCTGGGAGGCTTAGATGAGGCAAAGCATATTATGGACTTACCTCAGTGTGGCTCATTCAACAACCGTCCCCAGCCCCTTCACCCTTGCCTTCTTCAACCACAGAGGCTGTTAAACCATTAATCTTCCCAGCCACTATGGTGGCTGCCAGGGACCCATTCTAGACAATGAGGTGTAAGAAGTCTTCTGAGAAGCATTCTGGGGAAGATTTTACAATCACAGTGAAACACGCAACAGACCCCAGGGGTGAGATCTAGTGCATTTCCTATTTCCTGCCTGGAATGTAGGCAAAGTGCTTGGAGGTGTGGCAGCCACTTTGCCACCATGAGGTACCACATGTGAAGGTGGAAAACCAACGCCCAAATGATGGTGGACTGGATCACAGAAGGAACCACTGTGGCGCTGCCGGGGTCATGGAGCCCCCCCACCTTCCTGGACTGCCCTCTCCAGACTCCCTGTTGTGGGAGAAAAATAGCCCCGATTTGTTAAGCACCGCACACCAGCCGAACGCAGTCCTGCTACACACAATTTCTAGCACATCACAAGCCACCAAAAAATGTTGGTTGTTGTGCTGCTTTTATGTAGTTATTGCTATTATTTTAGCATCAATAGGTCAGCTGGGCCAGATGCCAAGTGCCCAGCTTACGGCCTCACGCTCCAGAACAGTCATTCCCCTCCTTCGTGGGGTCCTTCATGAGAATTTCAGAAAGCTGTGTCCCCCTCCCCCTGAAAATGCTCATAGAACACATTCCACGTAGTTTCAGGGGTTCATGGGCCTTTGCTGACCTCAGGGATGGAGGTAAGTGACCGGACAAGGGGCCGGAGGGGGTTGGAAATGTTCATTTCCCTGAGCTGCCTCCAGAGGGAGCCAGAGAGTTGCTCCTGCAGGCTTGAGCCGGGCTTATCCTGTCCCTCTCCTAGTCTGGGGTCTCTGCCATTCCCACAGGGACAGAGGAGGGCTGAGTCCTGCCTGGGGTGTGCAGTGTGAGGAGGGGGCCTGAGGGAGGAGCTGGGGCAGTCGCAAGAACTCAAGTAAACACACGTGGCTGACAAACAGGCGGTCCCCATAGCGGTCCTTGTGGGTGTGTGGCTTCCAGGAGCGTGAGCTGTTCCTCTGGGGCCCAGGTCAGATCAGAGCAGCCCACCCTCTGAGCTCTGCACCAGTTCCCAGCGAGGCCTGCGCCACCCAGGACGCTTTCCTACTAGGTCTTCGCACGGAGGAAAGGAAAGCGTAGGGCTCTGAGCCTGGGCTCTGAATCTGTCACCGCCCAGCCGAGAGACACCTCCCTCATCTCCCTACCTCTCAGTGCCCGAGTTCCCTTTCCACCAAATAGGATGATGGCTCCTTGTCACCGGACAGTAAAGAATGGAGGTGACAGATGTCAAGCACGTGGCACCCCATGTGTGAGGAGTGACACGGTGAGGAACCGGCTGGGGTTTCTGGTGGGGTGTTTTCCCACCCATGTTTGCACGGCCAGATCTTACCCATCCTTCAAGGCCCAGCACAAATGCCACCTCCTCCAAGAAGCCTCCCTGATCTCCCCACCTAACTGGAACCAGCTTTGAAGCCATCCCACATTTCTTTCAAGTCCACATTTTATTTTAACATCACATGAGTTTTGTTGTCTACCCCCTAACATATCTGAATGGATGATAATAGCAAGATAATAAATAATACTGTCCAAGAAGGGCCCAGGCTTCACCTAGACTCCAGGCTTATAGGCCTGTGCTGAGGATCTGGAAAGGAAACATGTGCTCAGTTCACCTCTGCGTGCACTGCTTACGGATGCACCCTGGGAGGGCAACGCTTAACCCTCTTTAATGGTACAGCTCCGATGCAGGCTCCCAGGGAGTGGGGAGGGAAGCCATCGTCTACATGCTCCACTGGGGCCCAGCCTGACGCTCATCTCTGTTCCCACATCTCTTTCCTCCCTGGAATTGAGGCCCCTGGGCCCTGGACTGCAGGCCTTGCTCAGGGACATCCAAAGCTCCCTGTGAGGCAAGACTGAGCACTCCTGCCCTCTGCCAAGCTACGTGTGGGGATGAGTTGCTGGATTTCTTCAGCCTCCGTGTCTTCACCTACATACCGGGCATATGAAAGCCACGCCTGGCTAGGAAGGCCCCCTCCATGGGGATCTCAGCATAGGGAAAAAAGACCCGGGATTGGGGGTCTCCTGCTGTGGTGCCCACCTGGTAGGTCTCTATGGGTCTTGCCTCCATGTTCAGGTCCCAGACCTTGACTGTAAGGTAGTCCCGGGTGAGCATGTAGCGGCCGCTGTGGCTGAACTTCACGTCGGACACGGAGGAGATGATTTCCGAGAAGAATGAGCGGTTACTGGGGTCCTCAGGCTCTTCAAAGACTGTGGAGACAGAGAAGCAATGGCCGTCACTGCGCTGCTCCCGCCCATGGGGTTGGCACGACGGATGACTCTGTTTTGCACCTGGGCCCATGCTCTGTTTATTCAGTCATTCATTCATTCCTCAAACCTAGAACTAAACACTTACCAGGGAACAAGCCTGGTAAGATTCTGTGCTGTGCAGAAATAGCCATTACTATCCCCATTCATAGCCAAGAAAATGGAGGAGCAGCTGGCTAAAACCCATGCCTGGGGAGTCAGTGCTGGAAGAAGGTGGTAGAGTCGGGATTTGAAGCCAAAGCTATACTTGATGTGCTGCCCTCTACTGCCCCCTACTGGTGATGCTGAATGCCAGATTGCAAAGGTGTCCTGACATTCTCAAATGTGCTGGACAATGTCCTCTACCAGACTGGGCACTGCTTGTGGCTCTGGCACTAACTGGCCCTGGGACCTTGGGCCAGTAGTTATCTCTGTTCATGGTGTCCTGGGCAGGCATGGCTGAGCCCTACTTATAGGTGGGTTTTGTTTCATTGCCATGGGGTTTGTAACAAAATCAAATCTGACTGCCACAGAGTTGGTACAGTCTCCTGTATGCCATCCACTGACCATCTCCTTTTTTCTTGGAGCACCTGCTCTGCACAGGAAGTTGCTTATCTGGTCCCTAAAGGCAACGGTTTGCTGCCCACCTGGACAATTATAGACTGGGACAGAGTGGGCAATGAGGACTCCCCAGACAGTGTCCCCTCCCCACTGCCCCCATAACCTGGCCTTCCTGAGCTGCAGAAGTTCCCAAAGTGGGACAAGGTCTCTAAGCTCATTTCTGCTGGTATCTGTCTCACTGGTAGCAGTGACCCTGGGGCTGAAGTAGCGTGGGGACTAGGACCCCTGTTGGGCCAGGCACTAACTCCCTAGGACCTGGGCCACAGAGAGACCCAGGGAACGATGGGAAGAGAACAGGGTGGTGGAGTTGACAGCCATTCACCAGCCAATCTGGAAATACCTAAACCTATGACAACCTGTCCAGCTGTCCCCATGGAAACCGGCTGAGTGGCAGCCTTGCCTGCTGGCCTGCTCTGGTCTCTACCCCAGAAACAGGGAAGCAGAGCTGATCACAGCACCCTGAGGCTCCCGAGAGGCCCCTCCCTGCTGGCCCCTCTCAGCCACAAGGGCTCGTGTCCTGCCTCCCAGGTCTGTCCCAGCCCCTTATCCCCTCATGGGAAATGGCAGCACCCCATTCTCCCTCCTGTCCAAGGTGGACACTGTACCTGGCCACTGCCTCTCCAGAAATACAACTCCTGTCCAGCTCCCCTCTGCAGGGCCCACTGGATGCCCTGATGGACTCATTCATTCATTCATTCATTTATTCACTCAGTCAACCAATGCAAACAGCACCTACTCTGTGCCAGGCCCTGGGATGATGCAGTGACCAGCATAAAGCCACTGTTCCTGTGCAGCCAACATTCTCCTTGCAGATACAGACAATAAAACTAAGTGGCGCCCTCCACCGCCAGGGAGCAGCAAGTGCTGGGGAGGAAGAGCCAGCAGGCAGATAGGTGCTGGGGGCTGGTAGTTTAGGTGAACAGGGCCTCCGTGGGAGGTGCTGTTTGACCAAGGTCTGAGTGAAGTTGGGGAGAGATTGGTGGCGATGCCTGGAGAGGGGTGTGCTGGGCAGAAGGGACGGCACACGCAAGGGCCCTGAGGCAGGGACACGCCAAGGGCCGTGCAGGCAGAGAAAGGAGTGAGCAGGGGGAACAGGGACGCAAGGGGCCACCCACGCAGGATCTCATGGGCCACGGAGAGGGGTGAGGAAGTCACCATTAGGGAAACGGGAGCCACTGAGGGTTCAGAGACAGGGAGGATGAAATCTGAGTCAAGGAGGTAGGGAGGGGCAGGCAGGAGGCTGGAGTCCCCTCCCGACGGAGGAAGGAAGTTCCAGCACCCGGTGGGCCAGGGCTGCAGAGCCCAGGTGTCACCATCCTGATCCCAGGCCACTGCATGCAGGGAGGTGAGGGGAGGTGAGAGGAGGGGGAGGGAAGCTGCTTACAGGGCAGGAAAAGGCTCCCACGTTTATGTTCATGCCTCTGGTATCCCCCCAAATCAGAGCAGGCAGCAGGAGGAAGGTCCCCCCCACCTCTCTTGAGAGCAAGGCCTCCAAACACCTGTCTCTGAAGCAGACCCCTGAAGCTCAGGAGATCTATATCCCTGTCCTTAGCCTCTCCACAGCCTCTGGTGAGCAGTGGCAGCCTTCAACCCCACACCTCTGCCCTCAAAGCCATGGCACTGCACCGGGTATCCTGAGGGCAGGTGGTCGCTCCTTCCAGTCCTGGCGTCAAGATCAGGAAGGAGGGAGGGAGCCTAGTTTATCCACTAATAAGTGGTGTCATATTTTGGAATTAGAATGCTATCAGGCTGGCAGGTGTTTAACGAAACTCAAAACTGACAGTAGGCGCCTCCCTTTCCAGGAGCCCAACCCACCCCTCCACACGCCCCCAGTCCCCAGGCCTGCCTGCGACCTCAATCTCCCTCCATCGTTCACAGGGGCGCCCTTCTCAGTGGCCCGAGCTTTCCTCTTTCCACAAGGGCACATTGAAGGGAGGACCAGAAAGAAAATCAGCACCATGGGAAGGAAGGGTGAGGCCGCTCGCAGAGGGAGCTGGGAGAGAACAGGCTGCCAGGGTCTCAATCCCCGAGCCCCTCGTGTGGCCTTGAACGCCTTCACCTCCCTGAGCCCTGGCCTTGCTCCTCCCTACAACAGGAGCCAAGGGCGCTTTTCAGGAAGGGGCAGGAGGAGGGGGTTGCAGCCAGGCCTGGCACCACCCTGGGTACAGGCAGGGCCGCAGGCAGCAAAGATGCTGTACAGAGTGAGCCCAGTGCACGATGAGTGCTGCAGCCCTACTGACTTACTTCCCTCCCTCCCTCCCTCCCTCCCTCCCTCCCTGCTTCCATCCCTCCCTCCCTCCCTGCTTCCATCCCTCCCTCCCTCCCTCCCTCCCTCCCTCCTTCCCTCCCTCCCTCCCTCCCTCCCTCCTTCCCTCCCTCCCTCCCTCCTTCCCTCCCTCCCTCCCTCCCTCCTTCCATCCCTCCCTCCCTCCCTCCTTCCCTCCCTCCCTCCCTGCTTCCATCCCTCCCTCCCTCCCTGCTTCCATCCCTCCCTCCCTCCATCCCTCCTTCCCTCCCTCCTTCCTTCCCTCCCTCCCTCCTGTGAGCCCTCCAACCCCTCCCTGCCTGTGGAGGAGGATGGGTACGGTAGGGGTAGTAAAATCTCCCTGGGAGTCACCTTGAGCTTCTGAACCTCTGAGTTCTAATTGGTCATCTCACATGATAATGTTTTGTGCCCCGATAATAATAATTAAATTGGCATCTTTGTTTCTGTATGTGTGTGTGTATATATATATATATATATATATATATATATATATATATATATATATATTTGTAGTTTTTCTTTGTTAAGCCAAAGAAGGATCAACCACAGTTCCCTTTTCTCTCTGATGCCTACCGTAAAGAAAATCACTTCGAACGCTTGATTCCCTAAAGGGGTGATGTTGTGCTGCCTTTCCATTAGCAGTGGGTAGAGACTCATATTTGGGAGAAGCAGGGAGAGGGCTTGAGAGAAGAGGGACCCCCGGTGGCTAAATGGATGGAAACAAGGAAGAGAATCTCAGCGGGACCTGGTGGCCCCCAGCACCTGCCCAGGTGAGTGGCGGGAACCCTGTCTGGCCTGAACTAGGCTTTCTGTCACTTGGAGGTGAGGCGGAGGTGAGTCCAAAACTGAGCCAGGGCGGCCTCTCACAGGCTGACTTCCGGAGTGGCCTTAGTACCCCCTCGCCTGCTCAGGGGTCTCTCAGACCAGACTCCCCCAGACCTTGAGGGCTGGTCTAGGTTCCCAGCAGGACTTGCGGGTGGATTCAGCCAGAATCACAGGGGGCACCGGTGCTGGGTGTCACAGGGCAGAACGAGTGGCCAAGTATCCTACCAGCCTCCAGCAGGAAAAACCGCAAAGATCAAAGGCTGAGAGAACAATTGAATCGATAGTGGAAACAAAGCCAAACGGCGCTGGCCCTTGTCGCCCCACTGCTGGCTGTACTCGGGCATTTCTGAGGGTTTTTAAGGACACAAGGAACAGGAATGCAAACGATAGATCGGAAGGGATATTAATAAGCCTGAAAAACCATTCCTAAAAGTTCCTCTTTTTCTTTTTAGACGTTTCTATGAAATTTTTGATACAATAGATTTTTTTCCAAAAGATAGTGGAATCTACTATTCCATATCAATCGCTGCCCCCGAGTACGCACGCAAACACACACACATACACACACACACACCCCGCTGCACCACCTTCAGAGCGCTAACAAGAGATAAGGGGTCTCCCCTCTAATTGACTGAATCGCTAAGGACATTTCACAGTAATTATTCCTGCCATGGGTTTAAAGAAACATGTCTCAAAGCCCCCATCACTTGTGATGGGCCCAGTCCCATCTCCACCCACTCCCCCACACCCTAATTATTTAAAAGTTGGAGAGCTCTCAATCAGCCGAAATCTCCATCCTGTTTCTTTTTAATGATTTTGCATAATTAGGGCTCTCATGGCTCGAGCCGGTTCCCTGACAACCACATCCTCTTCCTCCCTGGGTGTTGCACGGTGTTGTGGCCACAGAGAGCCTTCCCCACCCCCATCCCTGGCTCAGGCCAAGGTGGAGGGGACCTGGGGAGCCCAACCAAGGTGTGGGGCGGCTCTGACGGACCTGTGAATCAAAGGAAACAGGAGGTGAAGCCTGAGAGCAGGTGCCCACCTTCCTTTCCAGCCTCACACAGAGCCGACGGCACCTCCTTCTGCTTGAAGCCCTCCTTGGCTCCCCAGTGCCCACAGGATCAAGGTTTAGGCTCCTACCTGTAGCTGACCAGCTCCTTCTCAATGGGTCCCAACCAGCCTGCTGCTGCTGCCTCACACACGCAAGTTCCCCTCTGCCGCACACTCCAGCCCCCTTCCTGCTGGGCCCCTAGGGCACTGCATCCACTCAAAGGCTCTGGGGGTGGGTGTCTCCTCAATGTTGAGCCCTAGGCATCTCCCCCTGCCTCCCGTAGCCCCTGCCCCGCCATGTGCTGGGCAGAGAGCAGAATGCATCGTGCTCTGTGTGACCTCAGGCAAGGGCCTGGTCCTCTCTGAGCCCAGCTTCCCTCATCTGGAGAAGGAGCACGATGGGATCTTCAGAGGTCATGCCTGGAGGCGATGGCCCAGTGTGGGGCTTGCAGTAGCTGCTCAATAAAACTACGGAGGGATTCCTGGAGTTATTTTTCACATCATTTTCTCTCCCTGAGATCCCTTTCCCATTTTTAGCTGGTCTTTCTTACCAACTCCTATACATCCTCTAGAACCCCAGGCTCACACCCTGCTTTCTGTGCATATTGTTCACATGCTCTCTAAAGAAATCCTGTGCTTACCCTCTGCTGCCCCCAAGCCGCTGGGTACCTTCTCCTGTGGCACTGGCAGGAGGGCAGGGTCCCCTCATGGGGCTGTAAGCTCCCTTGGGCCAGGGGTCCTGCCTTGGTCATTAGTCACTGATCATCTTGGCGCCCCTGCCTAGCACAGACCCTGCCTCATGGCCCCGCCCTGCTCCCTGAGCAGAGAGAAGCTTGTGCAGCTGCCTGCCGTTTCTGCTCCAGCCCCTCACTGACATCTTTCTTCCCCAACCTGATGTGGTTCCACTGCAGTTTCCAGGCCTGGCAGAGAAGCCTCAGCCAGCCTGGGGGTGGCCCCTGTGTGCCCGTGGCACTTGCTCTGTGGCCCTCTTGGTAGCACCTGCTGTGCCCCACCCCCATCGTTGTCAGTGTGTGGACGACACTCCTCTGGGGCTGGGGTGGAGGCCGATTGGGTTCACACAGTAGAAATGCATGGGCTTGAGCCATGCATTCAGGGACAAGTGCAGTTCAGTGAGGCCTCCAGAGAAACAGATGAGGGTGGGAGGGACCTGCAGGTGGGTGGAGGTGGGAAACATGGGAGGAGGTGGCCTGGAGGGGGAGGGGCCTATGGGGTCCTGGGCAGTGATCGCCCCTGGCTACCCTGGCCACGGGTCCCTCCTGTGATCTGATGGGATACAAGGCCATCCACGAGGGTGGAGTGGCCTGGGCCAGCTGGCCTCACCTCAGGCCGCGCTCCAGGAGGAGCTTGGAGGGTCCGAGAAGCAGAAGAAGGACGATGGGGGTTATGGATCCCCGAGCACCCCTGGACACTGGCTTGCTCCTGGGTTCCAGGTGATGCCACTGTTTGGGGAGGGGCCTCCTGTTCGGCCTCTTTCCCTATCCCTGAGGCTGTACACAGTGGGGAGGGAGCAGGGAGTTCCTACAATGGCACAGGTGGGCACAATGAATGCTCACTGATGAAGAGATGACAGTTGTCACTCCCTGCCCAGCACCATGTGATCGAGCCCCATCAAACAAAAAACTCAAGCCCAGCTGTGGCCCCCAGGCCCGGCACGCTCTCCCCTTAACCCATCTTTGCACACAAGAGCCCACCCCTCCACCTGTTCCAGCCACACGGGTCCTGACGTCAGCCAGGTTCCTCTCAGACACTACTGTGGGGTGGGGCACCCCCGCCCCCATTCCCAGGCTCTTTCTCATCCAGGGACACCTCTCCTGACCCCTGAGGTGCAATGCATCAGAGGGCTCCTGATGCCCTTCATGGAAACCTTCCCACTCCAATGCACCTACTTATTTACTAGTCCCCTTCCTGTGGTCCCTCCACAAAGCTCCACACAGACGGGAGCCTGGTCTCTGTACAGAGCCTGAAGCCATCCCCGACCCTCCCTCCCTCTCCATCCAATCCAGCAGCAAATCCAGCAGGCCCCACCTGCCATGGGGGGCAGGGCCCACCACCTTCCCCACCTGCACCGGCCACTCACTCTGCGCACCAGCGTCTCTCACCTGCGTGAACACGCTAGCCCCCAGCCAGCCCCCACTTCTACCTCACCCCTCAGCTTATTCCCCACTGGGCAGCCAGAGGGATCCTGTGAACACATGGCCAGGCTGGCCCACTCCCTACTCAGACGGCCTTGTGGTTCCTGTCCCTTTCAGAGGAAACCCGAAGCTCTTGCTCTGGCCTGTGAGGCCTCCTCCAGCCACACACCTCTCTGACCTCACCTCCTCTCTCCAGCCTCTGTATCCAGCCACAGGGCCCTCACATGGGCTGTTCCCACTGTTGGGGAGCTTTGCCCTGGTCCTGCACCTGGAGAGCTGCAGGGTCTGGGCTGAGGCTGGTCTTTCTGCAGCAGATCCATTACTAGAGTGAGCCCTGGGAGTTGAGCCCACACAGCCCTTTTAAATGAACCCACTCAGGTGGGGGGCGGTGGCTCACGCCTGTAATCCCAGCACTTTGGGAGGCCGAAGTGGACAGATCACCTGACGTCAGGAGTTTGAGACCAGCCTGGCCAACATGGCAAAACCTTGTCTCTACTAAAAATACAAAAAGTCGGGTGTGGTGGCCGGCACCTGCAATCCCATCTACTGAGGAGGCTGAGGCAGGAGAATTGCTTGAACCCAGGAGGTGGAGGTTGCAGTGAGCCAAGATCATGCCATTGCACTCCAGCCTGGGCAATAGAATGAGACTCCATTTCAAAAAAAAAAAAAAAAAAAACCCAGCTCACCCACAATTCCTGTAAGAGTTTTAGTTCTCAAGGCTTCTGTGATGAGAAAGGGAAAAAGAGTGCAGGTTGAAGGCATGAGACTCTCTGAGGCTCTATCTTGGCTCTACTTAGCTGTGTGACCTTGGGCAAATGTCTTAATCTCTCTGTGCTTCAATGTAGCAGAGAACAATGACCCCTAAAGGCGTCTATCTACATCCTCCACCCTAGAATCTGTGCACCTGTTATCTCACATGGCAAAAGGGGCTTTGCAGATGTCATTAAGTGAAGGACCTTGAGGTACGGAGGTGACCCTGGATAATCTGGATGGGCCCAATGTCATCACAAGGGTCTGTATAGGAGGAAGAAGGAAGGTCAAAGATGGAAGAAAGAGATGGGATGATGGAAGCAGAGGTTGGAATGATGAGCTGAGGAGTGCAGGCAGCCTCTAGAAGCCTCTAGTAGCTGGAAAAGATCAGAAAACAGCCCCACCCTGCAGCCTCCAGAGATAACACAGGCCAGCTGACGCCTTCATTTTAGCCCGAGTTCCAGAATGTACAACAGTCTTTTGTGTTGTTTTGAGCCACTAAGCTCATGGCAATTGTTCCCGCAGCAATGAGAAGTGCGTATACAGTTGCCCCTTGACCCTCACACAACACAGGCTTGAACCTGCAGGTCCCCTGATGTGCGATTTTCCCAGTAAATATACTGAAAACATTTTGGAGATCTGCCACGATACACACACACACACACACACACACACACACACACACACACACACACATACATATATATACATACATATATATATAAGAAAAGAAAAAGTTAGGTATGTCACAAATGCATAAAATCCACGTAGACATCAGTCTCTTCAAATGTTCATCAGCTGTTGATGTTACTGGTAATGCTCCCCACCAACAGCCGACTATTAGGAGTGAAGTTTTGAGGGAGTCAAAAGTTAAGCATGTACTTTCAACTGCATTCAGGCACTGTCTGAACCCCTAACTCCCACATCATTCCAGGGTCAAGTGTATTCAACTTCCTCATCTGTAGGATGAATACTATAACACACCCATCATAGGTGCTGAGTATTTAATGAGATATAAACTGAAAACAGCATGTGTTTGCACTAGGTGTGCAAAGAATGAGCTGCGGTTATTATTTCACCCAACACCGGGCCAGGCACGTCGTTGGGGGCCTATGAAGGGTCTTGGCCATCATCGGCCCCGATTCTAAGAAATCAGGGTCTCAGCCATCATCACCCCCAATTCTAAGAAATCCCAGTGTTCCGGGCACGGCCCTTTCTTTCCGCAGGCTCTGTGCTGTCATAAGCAGAAGTAACTGTCTATTTTGAGGACTCATGTACGGTTGTTTCCACGGTTACCCTGTCACACTGCCAAGCAGTCACAAGACGCGGATTTCCAGTGCTTCGGAGAAAGGTGGGAAGCTGCAGAGGGAACAGAGTGGCCTGTGTGCCCCCAGCTCTGCCCTGATAGAGGAGGGGTCCAGGGAAGTCACAGAGCTTCTCGGACCCTCGGTCTCCTCATCTGTCCAATGGCAGAAATGCTCACCTTCCTGCATCCAGGACGCTCTTCATTCGCGGTCTGATTCTGTTAGGAAAATGATGCTGTGAGCACATCTCTGGGGTGTCACTATCAGCCACTCCCTGAGTTTTGAGCAGTAATTGGATACATGGATGGAAGTGGGAGGTGAAGAACTAATCCTAATCCCCAAATCCCTTTTAAAAAATTAGCTCAAATAACAGCCATTTGTGTTCAGATTAAAAACAGCCGCCACCTGCTAATTGGAAAGCGGCTGCGTGCTTGATTTCCCATGAGAGCCACAGAGCAAAAACACAGCCCGGACAAGGCATGCAGAAGGACAGACACTTCAGCCACTCGCCCCAATGTGCGGCAAATTAAATGAGGAGAAATGGAAGCTGTAAAAGCATGCTAAAAACTGCTGCGCAATCTTTTTGCTGGCACGAAAGAGAAAGTTTCCGTACAGGATATTGAGTTTGATAATGAAAAATATTCTAGAAAAATTTTAAATAAAATTTGCATAAATCAATAATCAAAAAAGAAATTAAGCTGGTTGTTTAAAATTTTTCTTCTCTTGGCCTGGTATGGTGGCTCATGCCTATAATCCCAGCACTGGAGGCCAGGAGTTCGAGACCAGCCTGGCCAACACAGCAAAACCCTGTCTCTACTAAAAATACAAAAAAAATTAGCCAGGCATGGTGGCACACACCTGTAATCCCAGCTACTCCAGAGGCTGAGGTGAGAGAATCCCTTGAACCCAGGAGGTGGAGGCTGCAGTGAGCCAAGATCGTGTCAGGGTGATGGAGCCAAATTCTGTCTAAAAAAAAAGAAAAAAATTCTTCTCTCCCTCAAAAGGACACCAAATAGATTTGCACACAAGTTTTCCTAAGATTTCAAGGAGCAGATATATTACATCAACTGCTCCAGAAAAAGAAAGAAAAAGCTGCCCAGTTCATTTTAGGAGAGTTGAATAATCTTAAAATTGGGCAAAGAGAGTATAAGAAAAGAAAATTATAAACCAACTTCACCTATGACTGTGTGTGCAAAAAGCATACATAAAACCTTAGTACATCACAGGCAGCCCCACCCTGTCTACAGACTTGGGATCACTGGTGCGGGCAAGAGCCGCCAGAGGTCAGCATGTTGCCAACCTCCCAGGTGAGTCACTGAGCACAGCCAACAGGCCCTTGGGGATTTGTCAGCAAGGACCTGGCCCCAAGGTCGCCCAGGCACAATCAAAAGTCCTCAGTGGCCTGGAAGACACCATGTCCCTCTCTCCGCACCTCGGCCTGCCAGAGCCTTCTGGAACCTCAGTGCAATCCGGAGAGGAGTGGAATCTGCCGAGGCCCTAAAAGTTAACGTTCACTGCAGCCCTGGGAGCTGGGGGTGAAGAATGAAATTGAATTGAGTCATCGAAAACACTCATATTTCTCGCACTGTTGAGTTCATTGGCTGATTCACACAAGGCTCATACATCATCAGGCATATGAAATTACGTGGCTGAAATGGATGTGTCTGTGCTTGGACTCACGAAATGTGCAAGGTATATGTGACCGCTGCTTCTGCCCTGGGAAACCGGATAGCACAGGCTTCGGGAGCCAAAGGGGGTCTGACTGCCCCCTCTAGCCCACTGAAAAATGTCACACAAACATTGAGGGGTGCACAAAACTGTCCTATGCCCGTCTCTGTGCTCTCTAAATTCCACCCTTCCTGCACACACATGTGTTTTCTGATTCAAAGTTCAAATCCATCATGAAAGTAAAAATACACAGAAAAATAAAAAGAAAATATTCCATCAGTTTCTTATAGCTCACCACTCAGGGACAACTTAGTGTATTTCTTTCCAGAGTTTTCTCTGTTTCCACTTTTCTGGTGGTCATAGCCTTATTTTGTTATCCCCTAAATCTTTCAACATAATCACTTCCCTGTGGCATTAAAAATTCTTCTAAAACAATAGCTGACATGACCGAACAATATTCTAGTACATGGATGTCATCACTGTCGACATCATTTTCTCGGCATTTTAAACTGGTTGCTTAAAATTTTCCTTCTCTCCCTCAAAAGGACGCCGAATAGATTTGCACACAAGTTTTCCTAATACTTCAAGGAGCAGATATATTACACCAACGGTTCCAGAAAAAGAAACAAAAAGCTGCCTCACTCATTTCAGAAGAGTTGAATAATCTTAGCATTTAAGATTGGGATATTGAGGATGTTTCTGGATTTCCACCCCTATAAACAACAGGGTGCCAATGAAGCCCCATCCTCCTTCCCACAGGGCTCACACGGGGTCAGCAGCGGACCAGGAGCAGGAAGAACCCCCTCTCTTCCCCAATATTCTCCCATTCCATTCGGACCCAGACCTGGCTGTACACAGGCACAGCTGGAGGCACATGTGGCCTGAGTGAATGGGCGGGAGGCGTAGGTGGGGGGGCAGTGTCCTGTAGTAGGCGGTGGAACGGCCCCCAGAGACGGCTGCGTCCTGATCCCTAGCACCTGTGACTATGTTATGCTACACGGCAAAGTCAAAATAAGGCCAAAGATGAAATCAAGGACGCAACTCAGCCAACCTTGAGATGAGGAAGTCATCCTGGATCATTAGGGGTGGCAGGAACAA